>NC_000006.12:37635757-37938787 GCF_000001405.40 Homo sapiens
CCGTCATCCATAGGGGATGAAAGGTGGAATTTCAGGCCATCGCAGGCAGCTTGAGACTACAGAACAGGGCTGGACAGAGTCTATTCAGCCAGCACCCTACAAGCGAACACATCACTCAGGAAGGTGGACACACACGCTGACGTACACGGACATTCATAGAAACGAATGGGTCTCAATCCAGTCTCACAGGCAGATATGTGAGATTGCACACACAGACCTGTGTTTGCACACACTCCTGCCCAACAATGTACCCACGGTGGTACCTAGACACAGACGGGCACAAACACATACACACATATGCACGCATGCCTAAAGAGTCATTCTAGAAGGGGCTGGGCCTTCTCTCTCCCATGGATGGCTAGGTGGGGGCTCAGGTGATGTCAAGGAGGAAAGATCTAGATCCCATCATGTCAATCTCAGGTGCCTAACCCAGGACCCAAGGACAGGGATCCCTTTCACAGCTCCCAGAGAGTGAGGGGACTGGCACCTGCTCCCTCCACCAATCCCAGCTCTATAAGCCCCTCCTCCTTCACTGCCCCTGGGTGGAGAAGGGAACTTTCAACTAGACAGTGCTTTTTGGCATTTTGCCCTGTACACACCCTCCTATCCAGGGCACCCTTTCATGCCAAGTAGATAAGAAATGAAGGCCCCTCTCCACTTCCAAATTCATTGTCTGATATGGGGGCACCAAATCACAGAAGCGGGACGTCTCTTCTGCCTTTCTCCAAGTCAAGCCTCACCCCAGAAAATGGGCTGGCCACCGCTCCCCCAGCTCCTCTGAGACCCAGCTGGGGGCTGAGGCTAGGAGAGAACCGTGTTCTCAGGAGTCCCACTGCTTGTAGGGTGGAGTGGGGAAGTTATCAGTCTTCAGACTGCCCAGGCCCAAGACCCTGTGCTGGGTCCCTTCAAAGGGTGCACACTGAGGAGGGAAATATGGTGTCCCAGAAATAGGTCAAGGAATCTGGGGTGACCTATGGTCTCCACCATCCAGTGCTCACTCTGGACAGAATCGTGTGCAGCAGGTGCCCTACCTTCCTTGTCTCCTGGACGTGGGACAGTCACAGAGCTCGCAAAGTCCCACCTGTTCGTCCTCTGATCCCTGCCTCTCCCATCTCAGGAGTCCCAGAGTCTGACCAAGGGAGGGGCTCCATGTCTGCCCCACTTCTGGCTCCCTTCTGGCAAAGCCACCAGGCTGGAGTTCGGCCTTGACTTAGGGGACAGGGTAAAGTCAGAAGCACACCACGAGTGCAGCAAGGACAAGGCCTATGTTGCGCCGAGGTCCCTGGGTTGGCGGATGCCATTCAGGCAAGTCCCCTGTCTTTGCAGTAAAGAAGGTGCTGGCAGGTCAGATAGAAACTTGTGCTTTAATATATCTCTGTGTGTGTGAGCATGAGTGTGTGCGTGTGTGCAAGTGGAACAGCTGTCTCCAGGGCCTCAGTGCCTGGCCTCTGTCCTTGTTCTCTGCTCATCCTTGCAGCCAATGCAGGCCCCCTCCCTGGCGGGCCGGCCCTGCCCCTGGGCACCCCAGCTGGCGGGGGTCAGTCTTTGGTACAATGTGGACACTTTGGTGTGCCGGGGGCAAGGTTGGGGGGGTGGCCACACAGCTCTCATCATCTCTGCAACGCCAAGAGGAAGATGGCCATGGGCCCCCACAGCTGTGGGCTGGACTGGCAGGGGGCTCCACTGCCCGGCATCACCACCACTGCAACAGGGGAGAAAGAGGAGACAGGCCAGGGCTCTGGTCAGCTCTGGCAGGGGCAGGAAGTGGCAGGCAGGTCGGCACTGTTACTCTGCCCACCTCTTTGGAGGGCCTGAGGGTGGGCACTGGCCTCAGTGCACACAGACAAACTCACCGCACAGACATGAGGTGGCGTGGGGTGGGGTGGGGGTTAGCTCAGCCTGCCAGGGTTCACATTCACTAAGACTTGGAACAATTTACTTGACCTCAGTGGGCCTCAGTTTCCTCATCTGTAAAATGGGTCCAATGGTGTGTACTACCCCAAAGGACTGTTGTGAGGATTAACTGTTGTGAGGTAAGTGAAACATGCATATACAAGTTTGTGTGCCTTGCCTGGTACAGAGTAATTGCTCAGTAAGTAGGAGCTGTTAGTATTGGAAACCTCTGGCCCTGGAAGGCACACGTTCACCTCTGGAGCCAGAGGTACGCACAGATGTATTCAGACACAGGCACAGGAGGCGCTCTGATACCGTGAACAGGTCAGTATGCTCATCACGAGGGTGGGGGCCAGGCTTCTCATTGTTTACACAAGTACACAGCCTGAGTGAGTGTGGGGCACACCTTCACACAGTCAGAGCCACATGATTCCCATCACTCAGACATTCTGAACCCCTATTCAGACCCAAACACCCTCCCTCAACAGACAGGAACCCCCGCCACGCACAGCTCCCTCCAGATTCAGCTCCCCCACCTCCTTCCCGTCTTGCACCTTTATTGGGATCCGTCTGCTTCCGGGGACACTCCCCCTTCTTCAGTGTGACGTCATCTATGGCAATATCCCCCAGGTAGCCCGGGCCTCGAACCCCCTCAAAAATAATCTGGGGTGGGGTCAGAAAGCAAGGAGCAAGGGTTGAGGAGGTTCTGCTGGGTACCAGAGTGCTCCCTCGACCCCACCTTTCCCCTTAATCTACCTGGAAGTTCCCCCTAACCTGACTCTTTCCATCCTTAGCCCCCAGGAAGAAGGACAAGGTTTTCCTAAGTGTTTCCTGGCCACAGCAACCACCGAAGCCGGGGAGGGTCCTCTGGGCCCTACGGACTCACCTGGAAGGGCCCACTGGGGCTGATGGGCACATGGGCCTGCTGCCACACATTGCCCTTATTGCCACTGAGAGACCAGGCGTGCGTGTCCAGAGCCCCTTTGTTCCGGGACCGCACCAGGAGGTTGAGGGAGCCTGCGGTGGGTGTGAAGACAGTGGGCAGTGAGATCTGGCCAGGGCACCCTCACCTTTCCACATTTACCAAGCCCTCTTCTCCCACCATAGCCTGCAGCCCTGTCCCTGTTGACAGGACCTCCTCCCCATGCCCAGCTGGGTGCAATGTCCCATTCCTGCAGGGACACCCTCAGTGTGGGAAAGAGAAGACTTCAGCAGGATTTCATTTCATCAGGATGACTTGCAAATTTTCTTTCATTTCTTTCCTGCCCTGCTAATCAGCTAATCTCCCCAACCCCAAACACACACATGCACACACACCCTACCCTTCCCCTCTAGGCAAGGGAGCTGTCCCAGGGCAGTGGGACCTCTGTCTGGGCACGCAGCAGGGTTTCCAAAGAAAACAGTGTGTCCCTGTTGGCAGTACATGACTTGTGGAGGGAGATGAAGGGCTTTTAAAATGTTTAATACCCAGTTGGCAAGAGGAGTATGTTGGGTCCAGTAAGGCCCAGTAAGGTCCAGTAATACCCAGTTGGCAAGAGGAGTATGTTGGGTCCAGAAGGCCAGAGAGGACAGTCTGTGTGACTGTCCGTGCTCTGCATTCCCCATGGGGTGGAATAAACACCAGCAAGTGAAAGCTTGCAGGAGGCAGATTTGAACTGCATCTAAGGAAGACCCTGGATGTATCGGATTTGCCCAGCAAAAGAGTGGGCTGTCTTGGGGGAGCATCCTGTCCCTGGACAGGACTATCCAGCAGGGCTGCTGCGGAGGGGACCCCTGTCTCCAATCATGTTACCCCCTCTGCTCAGTCTCCTTTGAGGCTTCCCATCGCTGTCCTTCTCCTGGCCTTCCACACCTGATCTGGGCGCTGTCAGCTTCTCTGATCTCATTTGCTGCCACTCGGGTCTAGCAAACTGGTATCCTTGCTTTTCTTTCAACACTTGAGGGCCAGTTCCTGCCTTAGGGCCTTTGCTTGTGATGTTGCCCCTGCCTGGAACATTCTTCCCTCCCTCAAGGAAGTCCCTGACCACCCCATGTAAAATAGCTCTCTGTTCTTTTTTCTGCATTATTTTCTTTATAAGGCTTGGCACCAGTAGACTGTAAGCTCTTCAAGGACAGGGGCCTTTGTCTTGTTCTAGTGTCCTAGAACAGTGCCTGGCATATAATGGTGCTCAATTAGTTAAGTGAATGAATAGATGGATGAATAAATGAATGATAGGATTTGGTCTTCATGAACCCTGAGGTCCTTCCAACTCTGAGATTCTATGAAAGTCCTTGATAAGAGTTACGGAAAATTCTTCATTCAGAATTTAATTATTGGAACTGATAGGAGTTTGACACAGACCTTCCTGCAAGGAGTCAAATAGGGAAGGGAAGATGTGAATCCCAGGGACTGCCATACCGCAGAGCAGAGAGTGGTCTGGGCCTGGGGAGCTGTACGTTAAGGACTCAGAGTTCACCGGAAGGATAGAGGGCTCCCAGCTCAAACCTAGGAAGACTTCTGGAGGAGGTGGTGTTTTTGACAGCCCTTGAGGAGTGGGAAGGATTTGGCCAGGGGAATGTGGTAAGAGGGCATGTTAAGCAGAGGGAATAGGCTGAGCAAAAGCCCAGAGGCTGGAAAGCTGGAGTCTATCCAGGCACTAGCATACAGTTCTGCTTGGCTTTAGATGTGGCAAGACAGATACGGAGGAGTGTAGTGAGCAAAGCTCATTCTTTTTTCGGAGGGGGCGGTGCGGGGACAGGGTCTTGGTGGTACAATCATGGCTCACTGCAACCTCAAACTTCTGGGCTCAATAATCCTCCCACCTCAGCCTCCCAAGTAGCTAGGACCGTAGGCACGCACCACCACACCTGGCTAATTTTAAAAGTTTTTTAGTAGAGATGGGGTCTCGCTATGTTGCCCAGGCTGGTCTAGAACTCCTGGCCTCCAAAAGCACTGGGATTACAGGCGTGAGCCACTGAGCCTGAACAGGCCCTTTTCAAAAGGAAGGTTGGGGGTCCTGGATGTCCTCTGTAAAGGGATGTCAGGAAGCCCCTGAGCAGGGGGGACATTGGAGCTGATGGGGTGCTGAGGGGAGGGGACGGTGAAAAAGCAGCCTTCCCCATCAGTGTCCTTGGGGCAGGGCAGTGGAGGAGGAAGAAATGGTATGGGAATTGAGGCTAGATCCCAGGGGAATGGGGACAGGGGGCATATCTCCAGGAGGGAGAAGAGAGAGCCGTTCCTTTGGGGCTGGTGAGGATCCTGGAAGACACTGGGGCTTGGGCCCTGTGAAAGCCAGGGTGAGTACCTCCTGTTCTACTGGGTGCTGGCACAGCCTCTCAAGGTCCCACCCCCTGCTGGCGAAGGTGCCTCCACATGCCGGGAAACTTCAATGTGCTCCTCTGCCTGGCTTTGCCATGGGGGACAGGGTGTTTCTTGCTATCCTAGTTCCTCTTCCCTCCTCCCCTCCCACTCTGCCTGGCAGCTCTGGGCACCAGCTGTCCCCAGACCTTGTGTCTTGCTGGCTCTCCTTGGTCCAAGCCAACTCATTTCATCCCAGGCAGGTAACATTTGGTGGCTCTCTCCCACCAGGGGGTCTGTCTATCTGGTGTCACAGATGGTACACCTTTGTCTATGGGAAGTGCCATGGAAATGCCAGCCAACGGGCACCATCTAAGATTGATTCCCCTTCCCTCAGAGCCAGGTATCTCATATCACTGCGGGCTGGAGGTGAGCTGGAAGGGACAGGGAGGGGGCATTGGTGTTGTCTGGGCACTCTTAGCCAAGTTCTGATCACCTCCTTCTCCTCTAGCACCCCTCAGTTACCCCAGAATTCCAGGTCCCTATGGCTATGGGCAAATGGGCTGAGCACCCCCAGGCTAATGCCTCCAAAATCTCCCCTTTCGCTATCTTGACCAAGTTATGTAACACATGTGCTAATATCTTTCTTTAAACTAACTCACTCTTTTTTTCTTTTTTGAACTTTGTCATAAGCATCAGTATTAGAGAAATACTGAGTTTTAAGGGCTAGCTTTATTCACCACATAAAACATAGCCAGTGCTAAAATTAGGAAAGATGGGAGTAAACCCAAATGAACTGGTTGTCCTACCTGGGGAAGCCAAATGGAAATGAGAGGACTCGGCAGGGTGGTGGAGTCCTGGTCATCCACTCTCACCTACCCCAGAAGAAGCTTCTTATGAAGTCCAGACCCAGCCACGGGCAAAATGATCTGTGCAAATGGTTTGGGAGCCCCAGTGGATGCAGAATCTTCTATCCCACTCCATTCTTGTTCATCAGTTCAGCTTGACCCATCACCCTAGCTGTGGAAACTTCTCCACGATGAGCCTTTATATCTACATTTGCTTAAAGTCACTCCGTCTACCATTACGGCTGAGGAAAACAGTGAAGATGCTTTCTGTGGACTGACAAGGAATAATCACCAAGATGATGTACAATTCAGAGGGAAAAAGCAAGTATAGGATGGTATGTGTAAAATGGGAGGAAATAGATTATATATATGTATATATATATATATATGTACTGGTTTCTTTCTTTTTTTTTTTTTTTTTGAGACGGAGTCTTACTCTGTCACTCAGGCTGGGAGTGCAGTGGCGTGATCTCGGCTCACGGCAACCTCCACCTCCTGGGTTCAAGCAATTCTCCCTACCTCAGCCTCCTTACAGGCACCTGCCATCACGTGAGCCTGGCTAATTTTTGTATTTTTAGTAGAGACGAGGTTTCGCCATGTTAGCCAGGCTGGTCTCGAACTCTTGATCTCAGGTGTCCCGCCCGCCTCGGCCTCCCAAAGTGCTGGGATTACAGGTGTGAGCCACCTCACCCGGCCATATGTACTGGTTTCTATTGGATAAAGTATCTCTGAAAATTTGCCCTAAAATCTAGTCTATTAATCACCTTTGGCAGATCAACTGGGATGGGAGGGCGTCTGCATTATGTGCCCTTTTGTACCTTTTGGCCTTTGTGAAATGTATTACCTTTCCTATAAACAAGTAAACAAACAAAAACAATTTTAAAAAAATCATGATGTCCTCAGCAGAGTCTTCCATGACCATGCCGCGGGGTCAGGCAGGTCTCCCTGTTACCACCAGTCTCAGCCCCTGTCCTTCCACTGCCACAGGGGTCACTAACTCCTGGCTGGTAGCATGAGTTGTTTAATACCTGTCTCTCCCACTTGCCTGTAAATGCCAAGAGGATGGGGAACTCGTCCACCTCGTTCACTACAGCACCTGATACCTGGAACTGAGCAGGAGCTCTGGAAGTGATGGCTGACACTGGTTATGTGACGCTCCTACCAGTACCATTGCCTGCCAAAGGGCACTCCTTATGTTCACTCCCTCACTTGGGAAGCAGGACTTCCTCTCACTGCCCACAAAGAAGCACCCTTCCGATCTCATGTTTAGGGCTTGGAGAAGTCACACAGATCTAGCTTACTGTGTGGTCTGGGAAAAATGCTTGACGTCTCTGAGTTGGATGGTAACACTTCCCTCATCTGGTGGCTGTGAGGGTTAATGCAATCAAGGATGCGGCGCACCCAGGACATCACCTGGCAGTCACTCCATATTTGCATCCTCTTAGTTGTCTTCTCCATCCCCTCCACTTCCATCTCATCCTGCTGGAGTCTTTTCTTTTTCCTTTTTTTTTTTTGAAATGGAGTTTTGCTCTTGCTGCCCAGGATGGAGTGCAATGGTACAATCTCAGCTCACTGCAACCTTCACCACCTGGGTTCAAGTGATTCTCCTGCCTCAGCCTCCCAAGTAGCTGGGATTACAGGCACCCACGACCACACCCAGCTAATTTTGTATTTTTAGTAGAGACGGGGTTTCACCGTGTTGGCCAGGCTTGTCTTGAACTCCTGACCTCAGGTGATCCACCTGCCTTGGCCTCCCAAAGGGTTGGGATTACAGGCGTGAGCCACCATGTCCGTCCCCTGCTGGGGTCTTCTATCTGCAGGCTCAGGACACCCTGATCATCTCAAAACCTCGGACAAGCTGGCTTTCAACTCCTCTTGCCAATTCTCTGTGCAGACCCGTCCAAGGACCTCTCATTTAGCCAAGTGGGGAAGCTGAGGCCTCACATGGGCCAGCCCATCGCCTCCTGTGGACCCCACTCCCCTCCCATCCTCCAGCACACACTTGGTGGAGACTACCTGGCCCCCCAACTCACCGATGTGTTTCCCGTACATGTGGTAGAAGAAGGAGACACAGTAGAACTTGGCGCTGGCATTGTAGAGGGGACTCACTAACCTTGCACGGTCCCCCAGCTCCCGAGGCCTCGATGTCTCGATGAACATGTAGTAGCCTGCGGGGAATGGGGAGATGCGCCAACAGCCCCCAAGACAGCCAGGCCTCTTCCTACCTGATTCCCTCTCTGCCTAGGCCTCTGCGGGCTGAATCTGAAGTGCCTCGCCCCACGCATCCTGCCTCACCCCACGCATCCTGCCTCACCCCACACATCCTGCCTCACCCCACGCATCCTGCCTCACCCCCACGCATCCTGCCTCACCCCCACGCATCCTGCCTCACCCCACGCATCCTGCCTCACAGCACAGGAGTCTGGTCAGTGCTCATGAGTCCTTGGCTCTACTGTAATTCCTCTTCCTCTTGATCCTCTATCAGGACAGGGCTGCATCTCCCTCAGACTGGGGCTCCCTGAGGATGGGGCTGTGTCTCACCTCAGACTAGGGCTCCCTGAAATCGAGGCTGTGTCTCCCCTCAGACCAGAGCTCCCTGAGAACAGGGCTGCGTCTCCCTCAGACTGGAGCCGTCTCCCTTCATCCCCAGTCTGGGGTGCCCTGGGCCTAGACACCCCCCTGAAGCAATCCTCCATTTCTGGCAGCAGGCCAGGTCCTCACCCTCAGGGGTGCCACTTATGTCGGTGGGGGGACCAGTGTTGGGGGAGCGTTTGGGGTTCTGGGTGAGGGCATTCTGCCGCGTCCAGTCAAAGTTGTCTGTCAGGTCCTGGGTATAGCCACAGATCTTCTCATCCTCAAAGTGGCAGGTGTTGTCTGCATTTTATGGGGCGAATGAGACAAAGAGTCAGCCTCTTCAGTCCCTGAGGCCCAGCCTCGCCCCTCTCACCCCCCAGAGGCAGCTCCCATGCATCCAAGCAAGGCACCCAGGATTCCGGGCTTCAAAAGACCAGGCATGGGGCCCATAACAAATTTCTTGCCATAACAAGACTTCTTAACCCTTTTTGTGCCCTAGGCCCTTCTGGCAACTAGTGAAGCCTAAGGATAATCTCAGAATAATGATTTTAGACACATAAAATGAAATGTATAGGATTATAAAGAAAATCAATTATATCGAAATACAGTTGTCAAAATATTTTTCAATTTGTTATAAAATCATAAGTAGGCTTCTTTATTATCTAATTAAATCACAAGATCTAGTGTTAGGTCTAGTAACTACTATAGTTTTGAAATACAAATGGATATAAATGATATTTAGAGATATCTGGAACAACTGTAAGGTAAGGTGAGAACACAGGATTTCTACTGCTGACAAAATCACAGGTCCTGATTTTACTACTGTGGTTTGGGTCCTCCATTCATCATTGAAGGGGATGTTAAATTTCTGCTAGAAGACATGGAAAATAAAGAAATAATTGAGGCCGGCATGGTGGCTCACACCTGTAATCCCAGCACTTTGGGAGGCCGAGGCGGGTGGATCACCTGAGGTCAGGAGTTCAAGACCAGCCTGGGCAACATGGTGAAACCCCATCTCTATTAAAAACACAAAAATCAGCCAGGTGCGGTGGCACATGCCTGTAATCCCAGCTACTTGGGAGGCTGAGGCAGGAGAATCACTTGAACCCGGGAGGCGCAGAGGTTGCAGTGAGCCGAGACTGTGCTACTACCCTCCAGCCTGGACAACAGAGTGAGACTCCATCTCAAAAGAAAAAAAAAGAAATTAATTGTATGCCTTTCCATGTTCATAGACTGCCTGAATTCTATACATAGATTCTTTGGAGGTCCATGGGTCACAGACTAAGAACCCCTGACTCAGGCAACAAGGGGTGTAGATGAGCCCAGCCTCTCCTTTTTGCTTTTGGGACAGTAAGCCTCTCCCCACCTACCTGGCCTTTAAACCCCAGAATAAATCCCAGATATAAACATCTCCAGCCCAACCCTGCTTCTCCTTCTAGCCTCTGGCCCTACCCCATGGAAACACAGGGGGAATTCATTTTCTCTCTGACTATCTCAAGGATAGCCTATCTCCTTTCTCTCACCAGGAGAGCCTTTGTGTCCCTAAAGGGAAGGGGAAGTCATGGGTGACTGGGGAGTCTCACCTGAAAGGTTCGGAGAGTTGATGGCTGAGAAAGCAAGCGGGGAAACCAAGTCAGAACTGAGGTGTGGGGCTCTGCAGAGGATACCCTGCTTGGGACCAGAGGACAGGGTCCTCAGAGCCAGGACTGGGGGCCAGCGGATCTGGCCTGCAGTGACAAGGTAGTACACGGTGGGGAACCCCAAGCTTAGGAACCACATGAGGATGGTGAAAGGGGTCCCTGGCCATGAGATGGGCCCATCCTTCCTACCGCCACCACTGTCACCTACGCTCTGTGTAGTGGATGATGCGGGAGGCCATGTCACCAGCCCCGAAGGTGGTATAGGGTGTGAGGCGGACCTCATAGCTGTGGGGCACACGGAGATCGGTCAGGATGTACTCCAGCAGCTGCCCCTTCTCCACACGCCGGACCGGGATGGCCTTGACCACCGCATTGTGCTGGTTCAACTGTTAAGTACAGAGAGTTCCCAGATGCCTAGGAAGTCAGGCCCTCAGTTTCCTCATCTGTGAGACAGGACAATCACCCCTTCCGTGCCCACCTCCCAGGGCTGTCTTCATAATAAAAATGATGACAGCAACACACTGAAACATTAATAAGTGTGGGGCACTGTTCTAAGTATATTGCCATTAGTAAGTCATTTAATCCTCAAAATTACAATCCTATGAGGCAAAAATCATAATTACCCCCATTTTACAGATAAGGAAACTGAGGCCAAAGAGAGTAGCTTGCTGTAGCTCACACAAAGCTGGGTTCTGGTCTAGGCAGTCTGCCCCTGAGCCACACTCTTACCCTCCCACCAATCACCTCTTGGGCTGAGCAGAAGCACATGGAATCAGACTGGGCACGAGAACAACAGAGAGACCCTGGCTTTGCATGGTGGAGACCCCCTGGATGAGACTTACCCTCCCCTCTCCCATACCCTTCTTAAGCTCTTGACCCAAGAGTTGATTCTATGTTCTGTGAGCAGTGCTGGCTCCCTCCCCCACGAACCCAGCAGACCCTTGCCTGCCCAATTCTCAGAGCTGTGCCTAGAGTCTGGGTCCAGAAGGGACAGATCCCTAGAACCTCCAATCTCTTGCTGCTATGTCCAAAACTTTTCTCCCTGCCCCTGAAGAATTGCCTCTAAAAGGGTCAACGTGTCTAAGCCCCATCTCCGACCCTTCCTCTGGCCTTGATGAGCATTTCCAGGGTCAGCCACACCACACTCCACCTGCCCCCAGGCCCCCGCTCCCCCTTGGCCCACCTGGCGGATGCTGAGTCTGTAGTTGAGCACAGGGTCGACAGCGTCGGGCTCCCTCTGAGTCCACTGCAGCACGTAGGAGTAGTTCTTGGACAGCTTGTGGCTGCGGGTGGGGTTGGGGGTGTCGAAGTAAAACTCCGGGCTGTAGGCTTTGGCTAAGAGGGCGGGGAGGGGGGCATTGGGCCGTGGAGGGTGCAGGGGAGACACAAAGAGAGGAGGTGTGGGAAAGGGAAACAAGAGGATGAGGTGGAAAACAGAGAGGGGACGGAGAAACAAAGAGAAAGGGAATATTGTGAGGTGGGGAACGTTGGGAGAAGAGGGGATTGGGGAAAACGAGGATGGGATAGGAGGGAAAGTGGGAGATGGAGACAGGGAGATTGGAAATTCCAAGAGGTGATATTGGTGAGAAGAGAAAGGCAGGCCGAGAAAAAAACAGAGTAAAGAGAAATTTAGGAAGACACAGAAAAGGGATATGAGGGAAGATGGGGAAAGAGATTGGGGGAAAGACACAAGAGTCAGGGATATTGGGAGGAAAGAAAGAGAAGGGAGAGGAGGGGAATAGAGAGAGGAGTGGGGAGACAGGGAAAGTGTGGGAGAACAGGGGAGAAGGGAAGGAGGTGGGAAATGTCACAGGGGCCTCTGGCTGGCAGGGCTGGGTGGAGGGGAGTGGGGAAAGGGCCAGTGACCTGCCGTCCTATCCCCCTGCTGTTGAGTGAGGGATTCAAACAGAAGCTGAAGGGCCACTTAGTCAGTTGGGTGCTGCTGGGAAAGCTGTGTATGCCACTGAATGGGGGACAGACATCCCCAGGCTCTGCTCCAGGGGCGCTGCCACCAGCTTTTGCAGGGAGGCGGCTCTCCTCACATGGAGGAAGACCATCAGCAACCCAGGCAGCCCCTCTTGTTCCCCTAGGCCTCCCTCACCACCACCTCCACCCCTTTCTGACCCACCCATTGCCACCTGCAGCCCCTGACAGCCCACCTGAGAATGCCTCGAAGAGCTGGGGCTGAGAGGGGTTTCTGGGCACCGAAGGGCCTGCACCTCTAGGGTGCCAGCTCACGAAACGTGTGCTGTCTGGCCCAGTGCCCCGCAACAACGTTCCAGAGAAGCTGCTGAGGGGCGTCTTCTCTCCCCTAAACTACACCTCAGGCTCCCGAAGGGTTCCCCATCTGTAGCCTCAGGGGTCAAGGACGAGCGGGGAGGGGCTGAGATGGGGCTGTGGCCTGGGCTTGAGGGGCTCTAACGCTGGTGGAAGCGGGGCTGGAAGGGATGCTGCCTGCTGCTGGAACGGCTGGAAGCTGGGATTGGACCGAGCTGAAAGGGGTGGAGCCTACGCCTTACGCAGGCGGAGCCCAGACGTGGCTTGGATGGGTTTCGAAGGGGTCTAGGCCTGGTTTGGGTGCTGGTAGAGAGGCGAAGCCTAGGCCTGTGGGAAGGCTATGTTTGAAAGCGGCGCGGTTGTCACACGCCCAGGAAGCGGGCTGAGCTGTAATGGGCGGGGCTTAGGACTGGTATAGGCATAGGCGGGCCTTGGAAGGCGAAGGCCTCAACCTCAAGGGAAGGTGTGAGTGGAGGGGCGTGGCCCGCACCTGGAGGGCGGGGCTGGGAGGCCCAGGTTGGGATCCGAGTGGCACGGGGCGGGGCCTGGCCTTGGCGTGGGCGGGTCTTGGAAAGGCCGGGGCTAAGCCTGGAGTAGGTGGGCTTCAAGGGGGCCAGCAGGCCCACCCAGGCAAAGAATCACCCGGGCTGGGATTGGGGCAGAGCCTGGCCCCTGGTGGGCGTGGTAGGTGGGGCGGGACCCACTGGACGCTCACCGGAGACCTGGAAGAGGCAGGCAGCCGAGCCCACATCGTTGGAGACGCTGCACTCGTAGCTGCCGCTGCTGTCGCGAGTTACGGCGTCGAGGCGCAGCTCCGCGTGATCCGGCGCCTCGGCGGCGGCGGGAACAACAGGCGGCGGCGGCAGCAGCTGCCCTTTGAAACGCCACACAGCCGAGGCGATGCGCTGGGGGCTGCCTCGCAGCAGCGAGCAGCGCAGGAGCACGGGCCGGCCCAGCGCCTGGCGCACGTCCTGGGAACTGGGCTCCACCTCCGGCGGGACTGGGGGCGGGAGCGGCGGTCAGCGGGGCCTCTCCCCAGCGAGTGGGGCCTGAGGAGTGGCCCGTGGGGAGGCAACGCGCTCGCCTCTAATGCCGTGAGCCCCCGCCAGGAAAAATCCCAGGGCGGATGCACACTCGCAACACATCCCTCCAATGGCCACGATCTTACCTCCCAACCTGCAGATACCCACTCCCTCCTGGCCATTCTCTCCAGCCATGCTTCCCAGACCCGGCCTCCAGTCACGCCCTAAGTGGGCCCCTCACCCCACGCCCACCCCAAGCAATGAAATGCAGGATAACGCAGGGGTTTCGCGCATAATCTCTAAAGCTAGATGGGCTGGGTTCAAATCCCAGCCCTGACTCTGTGAGACTTTAGGCAAGTTACTCAACCTCTCCGTGTCTCGGGTTCCCTGTTTGTAAAAATGGGGGAATAATAGAATCTATTATAGGGCTGTGGGGGGTTCAATGAGTTAGTGCATTAAAACTCTTAGAACAGTGTTTGGCACATGGTGGTAATTTTCATCATCCTGTTATCAGACAGTGTTTCCCTTGAGTGTCCTTCCTCCTCCTTCAAAATCCCATTTCCACCTGGCAAAATCAAGTAATTTTTTTTTTGTTCACCGGGTCCCTGAAAATGAAGATGGGAGATACTTGATGAAATGGAGCAAAGAACACAGACCTCCGTGTCCTACAGCATGGGGCTGTCAAGGAGCATTAGGGGTATCAGGAGTAGCTGGTGGGGTTTGGTTGGACTGGGGTGGGTGAGAGGATGAAGAGGGGACAGGCCGGCTGGGAGCCAGAAGGAAAGCTGGGAAGGTAGTCCGGGTGGCGTGGTGGACTCACACTGCACGTTCAGCTGCACCTGGGCCTCACGGGGGCGCACGTTGAAGCCATTATAGCGGGCCGTCTGGCAGCGGTAGGTCCCGCTCATGTCTCGGCTCACTCGCTCCAGCCGCAGCTTCCCGTCCGGAGTCTCCTCCAGGGGCAGCCCCGAGGGCAGCAGTGCAGCCTCCTTGTCCACGCGGGACCAGAGCACTGGCGGCCGCGGCTTGCCCCGCACCTCGCATTGCAGCTCGGCAGGCGATCCCTCGCGCACGGTCACCACGGCCCTACCCTTGGGCACACTGATGGTGGGCGGCACTGTGGGGGTGATGGTGATCAGCGGAGAGGTAGGAGCGGAGTTAGAGCTCCCCACTGGGCTCTGCCTTCTGGCTCCTGCTTACCTCCCGCTAGGGGCAAGCCTCTCTCTCCCATCCCAGACTTCCGACTGGTCCCCCAGTATTTCCAAAGCAGAACTCACTTTTCCAAATCCTCTCCATCTCCTGGGTCTCCACCTCAGTGTCTCCCAACTCAAAAAGAGACCTGAAGTCAGCCTGGCCTATATTCCTTCTTCCCCAGCACTAGTAAGTACTAGGGATTCCACCTCTTAAACATTTCTAAATATATCCATTCTTGGTCCTTCTGTCCTACTCCGGGCCCTGGCCTATTTAAAGACTTCATCTTCTCTTGCCCTAGTGTGTTATCACAGGCTGCTAGTCTGTCCTACATCCTTGCCCTTTCGTCCTAAGTAATAGGATACCTAGTTTTCAGCAGGGCTTATAGCCACCCAGAAAAAAGAGTACATCTCCCAGCCTGCATTATCGTTAGCTACAGCCACGTGACTAAATTCTCGCCAATGGGATACTAAGGAAAATGAGGGCGTTTAAAAGAAGCTGTACCCCTCTTCTCCTTCCTGCAGAAAAGAATGCAGAATAATGGCTGCAGCTGGAACTGCCATCATGGGCAACGTGGCACATGCTAAGGATGATGGAAGAGCAAGCCAGGTGGAGCCTGGGGCCCTGAGGACTTGGTGGAGCAGAGCCCCTATACTAGCCCTGACTGCTCACCAGCACAGTTTTACATGAAGAAGAAATACACATCTAGCTAGTTTAAGCCACTGTTAATTAGGGTTATTTCTGTTAATAACACTGTTAATTTCTTTTATTCACGGCAGAACTTAATTCAACCCAACACATTGCCCAATCAGAGGGTCTTTTGAAGACTTCCATGAGTCCCATTGCACATTACATCAAACAAATTAAAATGTACCCATGTTCCACATTAAATATAATTTAAATACAAAGTTCTTATTTGTAAATAGCTCTACAAGGCAAGCTGAGGTCCAGTGATCTTGTTAGTATAATATATACTCTATAAACATTTATGCATTTATTGGCTTGAATTATGCAGTTGTTTCTTTGTATTTTGGAACCAATTAATTTATTTTTCCGGGCCCTTAAGACACTTCCATGCCCTAGACATCAGGCCTATGAGCCAAATGGAGGAAACAGCCCTGGGCCCCTGCTCTAGTTCTACTAAGACATTCCAACTCCCAAGCCCTCTACACACCGTACAGGCTAAAGAGTAGTCTCTCCCTTTGAGGCTGCACTGCCCTCAGGGAACTCTTTCCAGGCTCTCATGTATCACAGTTTGCAATGATATATTTATTTGTGAGACTATCTGAAACGTGTTTGCCTTTCCTCCTAAGCTCTATGAGGGCAGAGCCTGTTTTGCCCACCGCTCTACCCCAGGACCTAGCACAGTGCCTGGCATATTAACAGGGACTCAATAAAAGCACGTGGCATGAACAAGTGGTGGCCTCCTCACTCTGGCTTCCCTTTCCCAAGCCGTTGCCTCCCCACTACCTCCTGTCTGTGGGCCTCTCCACCCCCCTCACATTTCCGCAGTGCCCCTCCAGCTGCCCACCTGTCTCAGAGGAGATGTTGACCTCGACGCTGAGGTCGGGCACGGGTGCCCCTGGGAAAGAAGCCATGCACAGGTAGGTGCCATAGTCACTGAAGTGCAGGTCAATGAGCTCTAGGCTGCTGGTGACTGCGGGCAGCTCAGGATCATTGCGGGTCACCAGCAGCCGCTTGGACATGCGTGCCGGCTTGCCATTCTTGAACCACTGGTAGGTCACCTTCTCCTGGGGCACTGCATCCACGTGGCACGATAGCTTCAGGTCCTGGCCCAGCTGGATGTTCTCACTCTCTTTGATCACGTCAGGAGTGATCTGGAATGTAGCGTTCTTCATGGCTGTGAGTGGATGGGGAGGGAAGGGTAGTTGGGGTTGGCCTGACTCCAGGGGTCCATGTCCCACCCCAACCCAGACCCAGCTTCTCCCCTCTAGCTGGCCCTTCTGGGGATAGGGGGCTACAACTCCCCCAGGTGAAACTATCACTTTTCTCTGCCTGGGAATTGTTTCATTTGTTCAGATGTGCTTTAAAAGTTCAAAAAAGGTCACTGCAGAAAAGCAGTTTTGGTAATAACAGAATATACACTATGTGAGAGGCACTGTTCCAAGCACTTAACATGGATTTACTAGTTTAACCCATCCCAGAATCTCTGAAGGAGATGCTTTATTACCCCCATTTTACAAAGAAGGGAACTGAGGCTCAGACAGCTTAAGTAACTTGCCCAAAAAAGTAGCCAATCTTGAATTCAAACTCAGAGTCTGAGCTCTTGACCCCTACAATGCTTTGTTTTTATCATTGTTTTAAACTTTAAATATGCAAAATACACATTTGGAAGCATGCACTAGAATATAACAGTGGTTCTATCTAGAGAGTGGAACTGAGGAGAATTGACAATTGAATTCTTACATTTCACTCTTTTGTGCTGTTTGACTCTTTGTAATAAGTGAGTGTAATTTTTGTAATAAGAGACCAATACGATCACTTTACATGCAATTACATGAAAACACAGCATTTGGAAAGAAAAAGGTCTGGCCTCTTAAAAAAATGTGGATCATGTTTGAAATAAGCCAAGAGTTAAATCGAGTTTTTAATCAGGTACCCAACCTTCTGGACAGGACACTGGCACAACAGGCACAAGTCAGGTCTGTGCTGGGAAAGGCGGGCTCTACAGCCACCCTAAGAGGTGACCATAAGTATTTGATGTAAATTGAGATCTTACCAACCCAGGCTTAAAAGGCCAAATGGAATCAGGTGGAGAAAAATAATCTTCTGATGGGAAAAGTACCATCGAAGGAAAAAGTAGTCATTAGTCACAGTTTTAAACCTTCTTTCTTGCTCTGATTAAGTAAAAAGTCACAGAGAGCTAGTTTCTTTCTGTGAGGAGAGTCAGAAAGAAACTGACTGGTCAGTGAGAGATGAAGAGAGTCCATGTAATCAGTGACTCTCAGTGGAGTTCGGCAGAAGCTGTACTTTATGTTCAAGTGCTAAAGAGCTGGAAACAAGCCTGGATCTTTAAAAAGAACAACCAAAACCAAACAGGGAGTGTATATTCAGGGCAACTTGAATCGATGCTCTCAGGTAGCCAAAATATATTTTAAAAAAAAGAAAAGAAAACAAACAAAATCCCTAAAGCTGCACAAGCAGAAAAATTTAGTTTTCTCCTTAATTCAGAGTGTCAAAATCAAGATCATAGTGAGCAGTTAATTACTGAGGCTGAGGTTTAATAAGAAAAATGTTTATACTTCTTTAGACTGTGCTCAAAGTTTTGTATCATTTTTCATTTAGTAATTATCTTCAGATTCACTTAAATACTTCCCTAATAAATATTTCCATATAGGGCATATGGAAATGTGTGTTATTTTCACTTAAATTCAGTTAATCACATAGAAACCACTGTACAGGGAGAAAGCCAGGAAATTACTCTTGAAGCCTAGAATGTCCCCATTTAGCTTTTGCAGCCTCAGTTTCCCAATCTTAAAAAAAAAATGTAGGTAATCAATCCTAGCCCTTCCTACTTCTTGGATTGTTGAGGTTACATTTGGAAATGTAGATTGTCAACTGTCAATAAAGCTTTATACAAATTTTATTCCTTCTGCCATCTGCTGGCAGTTAGCTGAATTGCAGGGAAATCGAAGGGCGTGGAACATCCTCTGCATGACTCATCTACCAAGGAGAAGCAGACAGGCCCCTTTCCTAGTTCATTGGTAGCTCCCAAAGACCAGGGACCTTGTCTGCCTCACAACTTCCCTCCCACCCCTTCTGAGGCCACGTACATCGCACCAGCAGGTTGACAGTCTTCTTGGCAGGGTTGCCCACATTGTTGGTGGCTGTGCAGTTGTAGTAGCCAGAGTCCCGGGCCTGCACTGAAGGGATGCTGAGGGTGCCACCCTGGGCCAGAGCACCCAGGGGCAGTGGGCCAGGCCCATGGGACCACTGCAGCTGGGGGAGGGGATCACCGCCTGTCAGCAGACACTGCACCGTCACATTCTCCCCAGGGTTCACCACCAGAGTTTCGTTCACAGACAGCTTCAGGGCTGGTGGTGCTAAGAGGACAAGGAGGGGGGTCTTAGGGGACTGTGAGGCAGGGCTGGATGTTGGGGAGAGTAAGGGGCTAGGAAAACCATAGAGGCTGGAGAAGCCCTCAGGGGAGATGAGAGGGGAGAAGACGGAGCAGGAAGAGGAGGGGAGGGGCCAGACATTAGTGGCAGTGTGCCTGGAGTCCCTGTGGGGTGGGGCACTATCTCCTGGTTGGGAGTTAGCTCAGGTAGGGAAGGAGTATGGGGAGGAAAATGCCTGTACCCGTGGTGTTGGTGAGCCGGAAGGTGATGGCCTTGTCTGGGATGCCGCACACGTTACGCACAGACACCTGGCAGGTGTAGCTGGCATAGTCCTGGGGCCGCAGGTTCTTCAGCTTCAGGACCTTGGTCTCCCCCTGGGCAGCAGTGGACCACTGGGGTGAGGTGCCTGCTTGAGTCTCCAGGGATCCCGCATACTCATTCACCCAGCACCAGAGCCTACCACAAATGCCTGTCTAATTCCTCTCTTTCCATCCCCAACCCCACCCTCACCATTTAGCCCCAGGGGTCCTGAGCCTGGGGTGGATGCTACACTCTCCATAGCCTTGGCAGTGCCTCATCATGGGATTCTCTGGGTCTGAGGTTGCCCTTGTGCACACTGGCAAGTACCAGGCCTTGGTTTCTCCAGTCTGGGAAACGGAGGGGTAAGAAGGGAACTTACTCGTACAACCCACACAAACATGGGGCTGGCCTGCAGCCACCGCTGAAAGCCCTCCTTGGCAGAATGGCATCACCACCATCTCCTGGGACTATCAGGGCCCATGGGAAGAGGAGTCATCTCCTCGCCCCCAGATCCTGCTGTGCCTGGCCACAGGTTCCCAATACTCTGCCACCCAGCAGCAGACTGGGATGACCTGTCTGCCCCTAGGGGTGCCTTTTCCTAACTAGCAATGTTCCTGGAGGACATGTTGCCTCGGGGACACTCCTGCCCTCATTGCTGCTCCCTGACCTTTCCATCTGATTTTTCTGCCCCAGGCTGTCTGAACTCCAATCAGAATGTGTGTTTCCAAAGTAAGAATAGAATTGTTGAAGTCAAGGCAGTCCCAAAAACTCAGCCCCATGCCCCCCTCCCCTGTTGGATGCAGGAGAAGTGGTATGGGGCGAGCCAGCTGCCCATCCTGACCTGAGTGTAGAGGGGCTCATAGATGTCAACCCCATTGTCCTGGCTGTGGGATAGGGTATCGGAACCCCGCTTCCAGATGAAGCGGGCAGGCGGGTTGGAGTTGACAGTACAGCGCAGGAACACCGTCTTCTCCTGGTAGAAGTTGCCTCGCACATCGCTCACCGTCTGGTGCACCGTCAGCATTGGCTCATCCAGGTCTGCAAGGGCACAGCCCCCATGGAGTCAGGACTGGGTGACCCCAAGGTTGGGGGGCTCAGGCTCCTGGCAGCCCTTAGGAAGAGCTGAGCCACCCTCAACAGACATTTCCAGATTGCCAGATGCCCTCTCAGCCCTGCAAGCTTAACTAACCTGTTAGAGGCAGGGGATAGGACTTTTTCCTTTTTTTTTTTTTTCTTTTGAGACAGAGTCTTGCTCTGTCACCAGGCTGGAGTACAGTGGCACAATCTTGGCTCACTGCAACCTCTGATTCCCTGGTTCAAGCAATTCTCCTGCCTCAGCCTCCCAAGTAGCTGGGATTACAGGCATATGCCACCATGCCCAGCTAATTTTTGTATTTTTAGTAGAGGCGGGGTTTCACCATGTTGGCCAGGATGGTCTCGATCTCCTGACCTTGTGATCTGCCCACCTCGGCCTCCCAAAGTGCTGGGATTATAGGCATCAGCCACTGCGCCCGGACTCTTTTTTTTTTTTTGAGACAGAGTCTCACTCTGTCACCCAGGCTGAAGGGGAATGGCGCAATCATCGCTCACTGCAGCCTCAACCTCCTGGGCTCAATTGATCCTCCCACCTCAGCCTCCTGAATAACTGGGACTACAGGCATGCACCACCACACCTGGCTAATTTTTGTATTTTTTGTACAGACAGGGTTTCACCATATTGCCCAGACTGTTCTTGAGCTCCTGGGCTCAAGCAATCCTCCCGCCTCAGCCTCCTGAAATGCTGGGATGACAGGTGTGAACCACTGCATCCGGCCAAGACAACAGGACTTGATGCCTTCCCAGACTTCCTCTGAGCTGTGCCTCCCAGGGACCTGCATGAGGGTGTCTAGCTTTGCAATCTCCCATCATGGGATGGAGGAAGCAGCTGCTTCTTCAAATCCTAGTTTAGCTGTTAATTTGTAGTGTGACCCACCTAAGTCCCTTCTCTCTCTGGGCCTGTTTCCTCATTGGTAAACTAAGGTAGCTTAGTAGTTCTTGGCCCTGTTTGCCCAAGAGCATTACGTGGAGATTTTCTTTTTAATACTGATACCTGGCAGAGCTCATTGATAGTGTCAAAAGTCAGAACAATGATTGCCTCCCAGGGGGGAATTATTGACTGGGAGGGGGCATGAAGGAACTTTCTAGAGTCCTGGAAATGTTCTATCTCTTGAACTGGAAGTTGTTTACACACACACACATATGTAAAAAATCATTAACCTTTGCACTTAAGATTAGTACACTCTATTGATTAATCCTCACTTTAAAAAAATAATTAAAAAGCTTAAGAAAGAATCGATATTTGGCCCCACCCCTGATCAATTACATCAGAATCTCTGGAAGGAAGCCCCAGGCATCCGTTTTTTTAAAGGGTCCCCTAGAGAGCTTAATGTATGGCTGTGAGTCACAGGCATTGACAGTACACATTCCAACATCTTGCAACGAATGTTCCAGCAGCCCATCATTCTGCCCCTTCCACAGCCTACTGGGATAGAAGTCACCACCATGGCCATGAGAGGAGGTGGGCATTGGTGGGGTCCAGGCTATGCCTGCCAGCCTCTTCCAGGGCCAATAACCTAAGAAATGGCCCTCAGCTCCAGGGTTTGGCAGGACCCTGGCTAGCTGATGAGGGACAGAAGAGAGGTCTGGGGTGTCAGTGTTCATCACTCTACTGAGTCCCACTTAGGGAGTGTGAGGATGTATAGCTAATAGGTAGGTTCATTATAAGCCTTAAAATGGTGCCAGACAGGCTCCTGGGCCTGGGCCAACAGTTTCTGGGTACCTGACTCAGCCTGACGGATGACTCAGGAAAACAGGCTCCTCGGGCTAAAGGATTACCCGTGGAGAGCAGGTAGGGACTGGCAGCTTCTCATGCAGCTAGCAGCTAGGACCTGGGGAGTGGGGCTTGGTCCTATATGTAATGTAGTAAGGAGGGAAATCTCAGAGCTGCAGCAGGACAAAAGCAGAGACATGAGGTACTGTGGGAAGGGCAGCGGACAATGGGGAAGAGATCTGTGTCTTCCTCTCAGCTCTGAGGCTACCCCGCTCCATGCCTGTGGGCAAATCACATGGGACCTCAGTTTTCTCATCTGCAGAAGGAGTGTAAATCAACCCATCCTGCCCTCCCTGCTCACCTCAAGGGAAGTTGCAAGGTTCATATGAGATTACAGGTGCGAAGGTGTAGATGGTAGAGGGTGGTACACACCGCCTGGTACCTCTTAGGCTCCTCCACCAAGGTCAGCTTCTCCGTTCCACCCCATGCCCACTTCCCCACCTCACCTCATCCCTGGGGCGCCCTCTGGCCCGGGCTGGGCTGTCAGGGCCCGGGGAGAGAGGGGGCCTCAACTCACACTGCACGTCCACGCGGATGGACTTGATGGCCGGCACCCCCACGCCGTTCTCAGCCTTGCAGTAGTAGCGGCCGCCCTGCGTGCGTGCAATACGCTCGATGCGCAGCGTCTCGTTGAACACCGATGTCTCCTGGAACTTGTCCGAGGCGCTACCTGCCGTCTTGGTCCACCGTACCTGGGCCGCCAGGCGGGGCAGAGTCAGACTGTCAGACTCACACGGGGTGGGGGCCTCAGCGCTGAGTGCCCTGCAACGGCACCCCCTTTCTCCCATACTTTTTCACAAGCGCACGTGGGGCACACGCAGGCCTAGGAAACGAACCCAGACAGACTCGTGGGAATGCACAGACGGGGTAGAATGCCACGGAGTCAAGAGCTGGGGAATCCGGGATCAGAGGGAAGAGGCTTTAAATGGGGCGCGCAGTGCCGTGGTTAAGAGCATGGATTCGGCCGGGCACGGTGGCTCACGCCACTAATCCCAGCACTTCGGGAGGCCAAGCGGGCGGATCACCTGAGCTCATGAGTTCGAGACCAGCCTGGCCAACATGGTGAAACCACGGCTCTACTAAAAATACAAAAATTAGCCGGGCGTTATGGCGCGCACCTGTGGTCCCAGCTACTCAGGAAGCTGAGACAGGAGAATAGCTTGAACCCGGGAGGCGGGGGTTGCAGTGAGCCGAGATCAGGTCACTGCACTCCAGCCTGGGCAACGGAGCAAGACTGTTTCAAAAAAAAAAAAAAAAAAAAAGACTGATTTCCATCTTGGTCAGTCATTCCAGGGAAAGCCAGCTGTCAGGTCCTGAGCCGCCCAATGGAGGGGCTCACTTGGGGAGGAATTGAAGCCTCAGGCCAACAGCCGCGTGAGTTAGCTTGGAAGTAGATCCTCCAGTCTCAGTCATCCTCCAATGACTGCACCCCTGCCTGACAGCTGGATTGCAGCCTTGTGAGAAACCCTGAGCCACAGCCAGCCAGCTAAGCTGCTCCCGGGTTCCTGTCCACAGGAACTGTGAGACAGTACATGTTGTTTGAAGCCCCTAAGTTTTGGAGTATTTGTTATGCAGTAATACATGATTAATACACCATGATACCCATTCTGCAAGATTATTATGAGGTTTACAAAGAAAGTATATAAATCCCCTATGTGCGGTGTCTGGTATACATTAGTCACTCAACAAATTTCTATTATTATTAATATTGTCTTAGATTATAGAAAAATATCAAGGATTGCATGAGAAACCTAAGCCTACTACTCAAGGTGCCAGAGTTTTAAGAAAAACAGATCAGTTCTAGATAACTAAGTCTAAGGAGTGGGGTAGAGATAGGGGCAGTGGGTAGGGACTTCAGTCTTTAAGTAGGGAGGCTTGTTTATTACAGAGACAGGGCAGGCAGCCTGATCCTCATGAACAGGTCAGGCCAGAGGCCAGAAAAGCAAGGCTGGGGAGAAGGGGTGAAAGGGCAACCTTTCTCATGCAGGGAGGGACCACCCAGGACCACAGTGTTGCTGCTCTCATCCCCTGCCCGCATTTGACTCTACCCTCATGGAGCTAGAGGTTACAAAACCTGGGAAAAGTTAGAGGCAGTTTCAGGCAAGACATACCAGATCAGAGAGTTCTTTGGAGAGATAACAGGGACATGAAAACATTTGATCCTTTTGTACTTGATGTTTTATGTTTACATAAAACATTTTGTCTAGATGGAGTTTGTTTACATACTGCTCAAGCCTTGGTATGCTTTATGCATCTGAGAGTTCCTACCTTTTTTCAATTCTACAAAATTCTCAGTCTTTATCTCTCTCTTTTTTTTTTTTTAATCACTAGAGATGAGGTCTTGCTCTGTCACCCAGGCTGGAGTGCAGTGGTACTCTTGGGCTCAAGGATCCTCCTGCCACAGACTCCCAAGTAGCTAGGACTACAGGTGTGTGCCACCACACCTGGCTAATTTTTTTTTTTTTTTTGGTAGAGCTAGGGTCTCACTATGTTGCCCAGGCTGTTCTTGAACACCTGGCCTGAAGCAGTCCTCCCACCTTGGTCTCCCAAAGTGCTAGGATTACAGGTGTGAGCCACTGCACCTGGTCCTTCATCTCTTTAAATATTGCCTCCTCTCTTTTTCTATTCATTCCTTCTGGAATGCCTAAATTTATGTTGTAGCTTCTCATTCTATCCTCCATGTCTCTCAACTTCTTTTTCACATCTCCTGTCTCTTTGTCTTCCCTGGACTCCATTGGAAATGCATGGCTGATTTCCTCAGATCTATTATCCAATTCACTAATTTTTTCTTTAGCTATCTCTAGGGTACTGAGGCCAACATTTTTAAAGACTGTATTATTTTTATTTCTAGGATTTCTGTTTGCTAATTTCTGTACCTAACTGATCAGGTTTTATAATCTCCTGTATTATGGATTCTATTCCTTCCATTATCTCTTCCAATATTTAATTTTTTTAAATTTTGAAGATCCTTTCAAATTGCTCTGTTTTCTCTAGTTCCTCAGTTGTGAATTATTCACCTTGTTGGGTCTATGGACTGACTCTTCTGGCACTGTATTTTTTAATATTTTAAAATTTTACTCCACAGGTTTGTACTCAGTGGGATTATCTTCCATAGAAGTCCTACTTGGACTTTTATGGTCCTGTTTCTCATTCACTACTTGGGTATAGGTGGTTGCCTATACCGAAGATCATGGATTCATATGTCCAAAACATTTTTATGTTGGTTTCTCAGGTTAGGGTTTCCTCACTATTTGGATATTGCAAAATACAGACAGATTTAGGGTTATGCTATCTCATAGGTGGCTACATTTTTATCCACACCCTGAAGGACAGTCTGTTCCCTGCAGTGAGTCTGGGCTGTGGGACAGAGATCTTCTGGTCCTCATTCATAGATGATGCCACTCTTGTTGAGTTTCCAGCTTTAGGTAGAGTTCAATTCCAGCTCCCAGCCATGGATGGACCTGTAGCCTCAATGCATACCCCTTATGTGTGTGTTAATACAACTATCAGTAGTGTGTATGCAGTGCCAGTCTCTTCATGGGCTAGGCTCCTCAACTTCTGCTACCTGCCATCACTGTAGATTCTGTCTGCATTTCTGGCCCCCAGATATCCCTCCTTCTCACAGCTTGTTTGGAGTGAGGCACTCCATGTTCCCTCAGTCCCTTAGTCCCCCATCTTGACCACTAAGTGGGCCATGAGATGATATTTCCCTTGTTTCTCTAGTAGTCTGGATGCTCCATGAGAACAGAAACTATAGGGGCATCTTTAGGACCCATAACTTTGCTTGGCATGTAGCAGATGCTCAATAAATATTTCTTATAATGAAACAAGCAAAAAAACTAGAAGGCATTTTAGGAGAGGCAAGCAACTTTGGCTAAAGCAGGAACGAACAGATATGTACTTGGGGATGATGGGGAGGCAAGTCTGACTAGAGCACAGGGTGTGAGGAGGGTGGCAGTGGGAGATCAGACAAGAGAGGCAGGTGGAGGCCAGATTGTAGAAGGTCTTCGATTCCATCCCTAGGAGCTTGAATGAATCTGGTAAATGAAGGGGAGCCATTGAACATCTCTGAGCAGGGGAGTGATATGATGTAGCACAACAGGGGTTATCATTCTGGTAGCAAAGTGCAGGAACAGATTGAAGGGGGCTGGGTGCAATGGCTCATGCCCGTAATCCCCGCACTTTGAGAGGCTGAGGCAGGAGGATCACTTGAGCCCAGGAGGTCAAGACCAGCATAGGCAACATGGTGAAAACCTGTCTCTGAAAAAAAAAAAAGAAAAGAAAAATTAGCTGGGCATGGAGGCGCATGCCTGTAGTCCCAGGTACTTGGGAGGCTGAGGGGGAAGGATTGCTTGAGCCCAGAAGGTCAAGGCTGCAGTGAGCCTTATTGCACAACTACACTCCAGCCTGGGCGACACAGCAAGACCCTGTCTCGAAAAAAAAAAAAAAATAGATGGGAGGAGGGGTGAGGTGAGAGATTGGGAGGTCAGTTTAGAGTCTACTGCAACGGTCCAAGCGACAGGACTGATAGGCTGACCCAGAGGGGTAATGAAGAAAAGAGAAGAGAAGACCCATGCAAGAAACATAAAAAGAAAGGCGTGCCAGTACAGTGCTTCACATCTGTAATCTCAGCACTTAGGGAGGCTGAAGCAGGAGTTCAAGACCAGAGTTCAAGCAAGAGTTCTAGGCTTGAAGCCAGGAGTTCAAGACCAGCCTGGGTAACATAGGGACACCCTGTATCTACAAAAACAATTAAAAATGATCCAGGCATGGTGACACACACCTGTGGTCTCAGCTACTTGGTCAGATGAGGTGGGAGGATCACTTGAGCACAGGAGGTCAAGGCTACAGTAAGCTGTGATCACACCACTGCACTCAGCCTGGGCAACAAAGTGAGACCCCATCTCAAAAAAAAAAAAACAAGGAAGGCCTCAGAGTCTGGCTAGATGTGAGGAATGAGAAGATGCAAGGTCAAATATGAGCCCAAGGGTTTGCGCCTGGGTGGTAGAACGAATGAAACCACTGATGGAAATAGAAAACCACGTACACATACACACAGCCACAATCACACATGACCCATACAGGGACACCCAAGGGGACACACACAGATGGCCAGTGCAGCCTTAGGGAGAATGACCCAGAGGCCTCACTGGCTTTTAGGGAGGACCCTCCATCCTTTAATGATCACACCTGACACAGACATCGACCTACTCCAGCAGCATTGTTTTCCCTTCTAAAACACTCCTTTAAGAAGGAGCAGCAGTGATCATAGCTTTTTGTCCATCTGCCTGTCTCAAGGCCGAACCTACTAAAGCCATCTATGTTCCCAAAATGATCTAGAAAAAAGAATTTTGTATTTCATTGTCTTTTCTAGGATCCAACTGTCACCCTTTCTGTTGCTATTAAAGGTCACAGTAGCTCACCAGCAAATTCCTCCCATCCCTTCAGCCCACCTCCTCCCTACTTCCTCCCCTCAGCTCTCAGTGATCACAGGCCAGTGCTTCCTGCCTGAGCCATACACTTCGACGGTGACAAAATTCATCTGGCATTCCCAGATTCTTATTTTCTGTTTCTTTCTAATTGCTTTGGATCTTTGAACCTCAAGGGTGTGAAGCTTGCCTGCCAGAAACCTGAAGTAGATAGAGATCACGTTTTCTATGCTGATTTTCACTCCTGAAGTTCCCAACTCAAAGATGGACATGCTGGGAGGAAGCAGAGTAAGCTAAGAGGACACTGGTTCTGGATTCAATGTCTGCTTCCATCCTCACAAGAGCTGCGTGCGCTTGGGAGTTTACCCAACCTCACTGAGTCGCAAATTCCTCAGCTGCAAAAGGGGGTCACTAATGCCTTCCTCACTGCACAGCTGTGAGGCTCCACAGGGAAAACACTGGAGAAAGTGTCTGGCACCGTGCCTGGCACATGGTCTGCCCACAGACACATTAGAAAGTGCATCTAAGGATGTGTCTGCTCAACAGATCCGTGGAATGGAGTGGAATTGAACAACCGGCATTCCATTTTTCCCCTCAGCCGTCCATGTTTTCAGGTGAATGAGCCCATAGCCTCCAGCCCTTCCCCACAGAGTTAATTTTCCTGCTATTTCCCCAGCCCCCATCTCCTGTTCTCTGCCTCCATGCTGCGGTGCATCGTGAGTCCTCATCTCCTGCTGCCTCTTCTTAAGTGCTGAGCCTAGGCAAGGTGAGGGTAGGAGGGGCCTGAGCAAGGCTGGGCTGGGGGCTTACCTGGGGTCGAGGGTGCCCTGTTACAAGGCACTGCAGCATGAGGGTGTCCCCCTCCCGGATGGTGTAGACACGCTCGCTGATATTGTCCTCTTTCACCACACATGCCTGGCCCGCATGCACGATCTGCGCCTGGGCTGGAGCTGGCAGGAGAGGATGGAGGAGGAGGTTTAGAGAAGAGGTGCCAAGGCCAGAAGAAGTCTGGGGCTCCCTCCTGAGTGTATCTGGGAGGGGTCAGCCCAGATCTCCCCAGGCCATTCCTCAGAGGCCTGACCCCACTGAGCCCAGGAAAGAATCCTCCCAGGACCTCTAGGACAGAACCAGGCGGGCCAGGAACTCAGGAAAGGGACAGTTCCCCAACCCCTTGCAAGAGAGCTGTGCTTTTCAGTGGGCTGATTGTGTGAAGGGGCTTTGTCATCTGTACAGACTGGTCGTCACTCAGTTAGCATCACCATCTTAGCAGTCCTGGCGGTGGATGCCATCGGTGCCCCTCCTGGCTCCCCAAGGTGACAGGTGCATCCATCCCCAGCTGCTGACAGCTCAGGGTGCTCACCTTCCCCAGGGAATTGCCTTTAGCCAAGAGAGCTGCCTTGGCCAGAAATGCCAAATGCCTAGATTACCCCCTCTCCCCCACAATACACACACACACACACACACACACACACACACACAGAGGTGGGGTGACTATGGCACTGTCATACTCCAGAGCTCCCCTGGAAACAGGCTGAGACTAAGCTTCCTGAGCCACATCTTTGCTTGGCTGCCTCACTCATTCCCTCAGTTTCTCTTGAGAGCATTTTCCCAGCAAATCACTTGGCTAAACCATAACTCCCCAGCCCCAACCATCTCAGGCTTTGCTTTTAGAGAGCCTAACCTAAGACACACACACACACACACACACACACACACACACACACACACACACACACACACACACACACACGGCTGCACATTGCCCTCCCTGAAGGCCTTCATTGTTTTTTCATTGCTCTCTGAGCCTGTGTCCAGCTTCTTCTCCAAGGACAGAAATGCTCACAGAAGTTGGGGCCTGGGAGCTGGCAAAAGGCTGCGGCTCCTCCCTGACCTCTCTCACAGTGCCCAGGGCTGAGCTGTGGCCCAGGCTAGGGGACCAAAGCTAGGCCCTGGCTGGATGGGCCCAGTGGGAAATGACTGAACTTGCCAAGGTCACAGCCCCTACCTCATTGTCTAGCCCCATCGTCCTAAAGGCAAACCAGGTCCCAGCCCCCCAGTGCTTAAACTCTAGGAAGAGGAAAAGACCCTAACTTCACAGGTTCTGCTCACAGGTGAGACGGGAGAGAGTGAAGGTAGAAGGCCTGATACTGGGCACGAGGAACACAAGGAGGTAAAAATGACATCCCTGCTCTAAAGAGGGGCACAGGGGTGTTAAAATAGAAATCATAAGAGTGATGGAACCGACTCTGTGGCTAAGAGATATCAAATTACAAACAGGACCTAAGGCCATGCGAGGCCCGGGGTAAGTCACACCCCCTGCACTTAAAGAATAAGCTATGTTCTAGCTGCCACAAGGCTTTCTGTTTTCTCTAGCAGCTAAACAAGCCCTGGCCTGGAGATAAGCAATGCTGAAACAATTGCCGACCATCTACTGCCAGACACCGACTAACTGGCCTCCTGTTCCACCAGCCATAACTACACCTTTGATCAGACAAGAGACTGATTTCAGTAGCTTTCTCTTGATAAAAGACCAGCAACCATGGACTGGTTCTGGCCAGTTGACAGAGGCTGCCCACTAAGTGCCTTTGTGTCTTCTGTGTCACCTTTTGACACATAGGCAAGATTTGTGGTGCATTTAAACGTTGTCTGCACCCCAAAGTGAACATGAGACGCATGTAACATGCACGTTTGCTTACTATGCATGTGTGCATTCCCCCTTTGTGAATATTCATAGCTCCTCCCATAACCTCTTGAAAATGTATACCTGGCCCACCTGTTCAGCAGAAATTCCTGTCTCACCTTTCCTCCTTCAAAGTGACTGCTTTCAGTCTCTGCCAGAGGCTACACTTCCCAGCCTATTAGGATGGCTACCCCATAGAACGCAATCCTCTATAAGAAATAAAGCTCTCGGCTGGGCATGGTGGCTCACGCCTGTAATCCCAGCCCTTTGGGAGGCCGAGGCGGGTGGATCACGAGGTCAGGAGTTCAAGACCAGCCTGATCAACATGCTGAAACCCCGTCTCTACTAAAAATACAAAAAAAAAAAAAAAAAATTTAGCCAGGCATGGTGGTGCGTACCTGTAATCCCAGCTACTCAGGAAGCTGAGGCAGGAGAATTGCTTGAACCTGGGAGGTGGAAGTTGCAGTGAGCAGAGATCGAGCCACTGCACTCCAGCCTGGGCCACAGAGGGACACTCCGTCTCAAAAAAAAAAAAAAAGAAAAGAAAAAAAAAGAAATAAAGTTGTCTTCTCTGAATTTATAATTCTCATGATTCTTCAGTTAACAGAGGTAAGAAGATAAATAAGATAAAGCCTGTACAGAATGTACAACTTCCTCCAGGAAACGTCCCATCAGTGACAGGCGCCTTCCTTCTTTATGTGTCTAGAGTATGCATCACTCCATTAGTGCAATAATAAAGCAGCAGGCCTGTGTTTCTGTCAAATTCAGGATTCTTGTCTTTCTGCCTACCAGACCTTGAGCTTTATCTTGGGATCCCCAGCACAAGGCCTTGAACATAGCAGGTGCTCAGTGAATGTTGAACGAATGGATTTATAAAGATGTCCCAAGGTGAAGTTGCTGGGGGACATAAGAGAGATATAGAAGGCCCTGGGATGTCAGAAAACAGGCATCACCATCTTCTGGAGGAAGAACCACAGAGGGGTCCATGGAAAAGGTAGCTTTTGAACCAGGCCTCAGGGAACAGGGAGGCTCTATGCTAGTTGACAGGGCAGAGTCCCAAATTATATTACACAGGGTAAACCTCTAGTGATCTTTGGACATTAGTTTTCTCATCTCTAAAATGAAGAGAACACTACCAACCCTAAGAACTCACAACGGTAGATGTGATGATAACACAGGATAAATGAAAAATGCTTAGTAGAGTCGTAATGTGTTTTACAGATGCTGCAAGTAGGGCCTTCCCCCAACACTGATGGGACAGACATGAACTAATCACAGAGGTAGAGTCCACAGAGGTGGCCCGGCAGCAGGTCGATAAACTTGGTCAGCAACTGGGAGTGACACAGGCTATGTTTAACCACAAGGGTCTCTGCAGACAGCAGCGGGTTCGGTGGACAGTGGTAGCTGCTACCAACCCAGAGTCTGAGTGTCCAGGTGACCATCCTGCCTGCCTGGCTGCCACAGAGGAATGAACCTGGCTGGCTGTCAGGAGACAAGCAATGTATGCCTTGGGCAAGCCAATTCACCACCTTGGGCCTCAGTTTCCCTACCCATAGGAAGGATAGATTAGATGACTTCTGAGGTCTTTTTCAACTCACACTTTCTATGAATTTTGTAATCAGCACATAGTCCCTATATAAGATGCACTCTAGAATCTGGGAACTGGGCCCAAAACTGTCACCTCATGCAATAAAAATGCATGAACATCTTTCACGATACGTGAAAGAGATAGCCATCTGTGGCCAAAGTCCTCGGGAAATCTCATCAAGAAACAACCCACCAAAAGATGATGTGCATGCTGGTTGCTGATAAGACCAAGAGGCCTGGGGTGCCTCTCAACAAGGAAGACATCGATTTAACAGGCTCCAGTGGAAGATAAGCTGTAATCTTGGACACTGTGGCTTGCCTGTAGCAAGGCAGTATTGTAATGACAGAAGCTTTGGTGACAGATAAGGAATACTGAAAAAGAGCTGGAGAGCTGGACTTTCTTAGAGCACAGCTAGCACAGGCCAGGGAAGATGAAGCCTGACCAGCAGACACAGGGCCTCTGGTCACCTGACAGGTGTATTTCCCCACTGGAGATGGGGCCATGAGTGGATATCAGAGATGACACTGTTAAGATTATCCAGCTCCTGGCCAGGTGTGGTGACTCACTTACAATCCCAGCACTTTGGGAGGCTGAGGCGGGAGGATCACTTGAGCCCAGGACTTCTAGACCAGCCTGGGCAACATAGTGAGGCTCTGTCTCTACAAAAACTGCAAAAATTAGCCAGGCATGGGGGTGTGTGCCTGCAGTCCCAGCTATTCAGGAGGCTGAGGCAGGAGGATCATTTGAGCCCAAGAATTCAAGGCTGCAATGAGCTATGATCATGCCACTGCATTCCAGCCTGGGCAACAGAGTGAGATTCTGTCTAAAAAAAAAAAAAAAGGTGATCCAGCTCCCTTTGATGACCTTAAGTATTAAGACACCCAACTCTAAAATGCTAGAATCACTTTGAAGAAATTCAGGCAGTACCTACTAAAGGTAAACAGGTGTATACTCCATGATGTAGCAATTTCACTCCTGGGTATGTACCCAGTAGAAATGAGTACTTATGGCAACCAAACAATAAGTACAAAGATATTCACAGTGGCTTTATTTGCAATTGCTAAAAACAAGAACAACCTATGTGTCATCCATCAAGAATTCTATGAGTAAATAAGTTCTGGTATCTTCATACAAAGGAATATTCCCCGTTAAGTGAAAAAGGTGAACTATAGATAGACATGACACTGTTGAATCTCACAGGCGCAATTTGAGTGAAAGAACCCAGACACAAACATACAGTGAACTGTAATGCTAAAGACAGAAAATAAAAAGAATAGTGTGTGATTTCATTTATTCAAAACTTAAAACTGGAAGAACTAATCTTAGGGTAACAGAGGCCTAACACCGATTGCCCTTGGGTGGGGTGGGAGATTATTTGCTGGGAAGGGCACAAGAGAACTAACTTTTTCTCTCTTTCTCTCTCTCTCTCTCTTTCTTTTTTGAGACGGAGTCTAGCTCTGTCGCCCAGGCTGGAGTACAGTGGCACGATCTCAGTTCACTGCAACCTCTGCCTCCTGGGTTCAAGCAATTCTCCTGCCTCAGCCTCCCGAGTAGCTGGGATTACAGGTGTCTGCCACCACGCCCAGGTAATTTTTGTATTTTTAGTAGAGACGGGTTTTCACCGTGTTGGCCAGGCTGGTCTCGAACTCCTGACCTCGTGATCCACCCTCCTCGGCCTCCCAAAGTGCTGGGATTACAGGCATGAGCCACTACACCTGGCCAAGAGAACTTTCTTGGGGAGAAGAAGAGATCCCATCTGGTGAGATGGAAATGTTGGACATTTTGATCTGAGTGGTGTTTGCACAGTGTCTGGATACACAAAAACACATCAAGGTATCTGCTTTGGACTTCACCATATTATACCTTCTAAATTACACCTCAGTTTTTAGAAAACAGCATCCACTGTCCTGGGATGATATTAACCATTGAGATTATCCAGGATAACCCATTTACTATTATAGTTACCCAACTCCCTTTATTCTCACTGTTACTTGATGAGGCACTTCCCATTGCTGATTTGGTTCCAGGTACAGTTTTCCTTCTGAAATGAGTCCTCACTAGTAGTACATTACCTAGTGCCCCTTGGCCTTGGCTTTTCAATTTGCTCATCACCCCCCACTGAGTTTCTTTAACATGAGTCAGCCTCCCATTGGCTCAGGTCACCCTTGGAATGGCCAGAACCATGTTTCTGACCCTGAACCCCAAAGGGTCCCTGCCCCACTGAACCTCAGCCTCCATCCAGCTCCACATACCCTAGGAAGGCACTGCCTGCAGCAGCATCTCCTGATTCGGAAGGCAACCCAGGCAGGGCTGTTTCAAGATACACCATGACACGATCCTTTCACTCAATCTGTCGAACAATAAATGCTTCTGGGCCAGGCACTGTGCTGGGCACTGGAGATACTGTCATGAAAAGCAAACAAGAGATGGCTCTCAAAGAGCATTGCTGGGGAGATGGATAGCAAAAAAGGAAACAGAAATGGACAGGGTGATTTCAGAGTGTTAAATGCTATGATGACTCGAAAACAGGGAGATGTGATAAGGAACCATGGGGAGAGGAAAGGTCTGCTTTAGAGAGATGGAAACAGCACAGCTGTGGAGTCACACAATCTGGGGCCCATTCCTGGCTCTGCTACCCACTAGCTGGGTGATGCTGTGTGATGCTGAGCAAATTACTTAACCTCTCTGAGCCTCAGCCTCTTCATTTATAAAATAAGAACAATGATGCCTTCTCCCAGGGCTGCTAATGAGGGGCTAATGCAATATATGTAAAACACCTGACCAAATAGTATGTGCTGTCTCCATAAATGACAGCTCCCAAGATGATGAAATAGGAGCAAGAGATAGAGAAAGGGGACCACCTGCTATGCACCCGTACACATGCAACCCAGGGGTGGAAATGCTCAAAGCAGACATTAAACGGGTAGGGATGTTTCATGAACATGTTCAAAATTCATGCTGAGGGCTGTGCAGGGCTTCAGAGGGGATGGAAAGTGGGAAGGGCTGGAGCCCTTCCCCGAGCATCCCCCTTCTCATGGTACTAGTGCACTTGGCTGTGTGGCTTTCAGCAAGTTACTTAAGCCTTAGTTTTCTCATTTGCAAAATGGGGTTGTTGTGAGGAATAAATAAAGAAACTCATGTAAAGTGTTTAAAACAGTGCCTGGTACGCAGTATGCAATCTAAAAATGTCAGCCAGCATTATTATTCTATAAATGATCCTGCACTCCTCTCAAGAATTCACATCCCCTGCAGCCTGCAAGCCGTTTGCATGAAAGGACCCTGCCTTCTCTGTCACAGATGATGAGGGTTGGTACCTTCCTGGGGTCCACTGTATATTTCCAAGCTCCTTGCCTCAGTTCTGCGAAGCAGAAAGGGAAAGTCATATTTAGCTCCATTGGCAGAGAAGGAGACCAATGCCTGGAAGAGGAACCGTCTTGTCCAAGTCACTCACTGAGACAGCAGCACAGCCGAGACTCAAACCCAGGCCTTCCACCTGCTAACTTGGGACTCTGTTCATTGTCCCCAGGAATTTCAGAGGCATGGCTGGATTTGATCATCTTTGCTTGACACCATATTAGTGGATAGAAAACTGAACAGCATTTCAGAACCAAGTGTGCTTCCTTGCCTCTGGTCTATGACACTTTCCTATTTTACTCTCCTGATTTCTATCAACAAAACCCCATGGAAAAGGAAAACAGCCTCTGCCAACCTGTGTGCCACAGAGTGTTCACTGATAGTCCATCACAGACGATTTTCACTGTCAATTAAGGATGCTGCATGTTCTTTCTCTCGCCCTCTCTGAGAAAGACTTAGCACACAAAGTATATTATTGAAGGCTCTGAAAAGTCCTGCAGTAAACACATCTGTGTAACTTGGTTTAACTCAGTGCTTTCTAAACGTATTGGCCATAAACCCCCTTCTTCGCAGAGCACAACATCCTGAGAGACAGCAATGTTCTGTAAAATTAGTGGAGAAAAGCTTAATACAAAACTGACAGCTGAGGGGTTAACATGCCCCTCCCCAGTCCCTTAGTTAAGAACAGCCAAGTGGCCTGAGACATGTCACCCTTGGGGCAGCATCCTAATGAGCACAGCCGAGGCAGAATGCTGCTGGCCTATCAGCTTACTCTTTTCCTCCCCAAAAATTATACACCCAAAATGTATAGTTATGGGTAGGGGCTTCCAGCACCCAGTAGGCCCAGTGAGGAAGCCACAAACTCTCAGGGAGTCAGACTAAGACAAACTCCAACCTGCCAACTAAGGGTCCAAAGAGAATTCTCACTGTAATGGGGGAATTTCATCAAAGACCCCCATCCCCCATAAGAGAATCCATGCCCAGCTGCTATAGCCACAGGTAGGGGTGCTATAAAATGCATGTGGATACAACACTAGGGTGAGGGCCAAACAAGACAGACAGCAAGACAAATGGAAAACCTTGATTAAAAGCACCTTCAGGCCTATAATCCCAGCACTTTGGGAGGCCAACGTAGGAGGATCACTTGAGCTCAGGAGTTCGAGACCAGCCTGGGCAACATGGTGAAACCCCATCTCTACCAAAAATATAAAAACTTAGCCAGCATGGTGGTGCACACCTGTGTTCCCAGTTACTCGGGAGGCTGAGGTGGGAGAATGGCTTGAGCTCAGGAGGTGGAGACTGCAGTGAGCTGAGATCATATCACTGCACTCCAACCTGGGTGACAGAGTGAGACTCCATCTAAAAAAAAGAAAAAAAAAAAGTTCCTTCAGGCCGGGCACAGTGCCTCATGCTTGTAATCCCAACATTTTGGGAAGCTGAGGCAGGAGAATTGCCTGAGGCTAGGGGTTCAAGACCAGCCTGGGCATCATAGCAAGACCCCATCTCTAAAAAAAAAAAATTTTAATGAGCTGGGCATGGTGCCACATGCCTGTAATCCTAGCTAAGAGGGAGGATTGCTTGAGCTCAGGAGATCGAGGCTGCAGTGAGCCATGATTGCACACTGCACTCCAGCCTGGGCGACAGAGCAAGACCCCTATCAAAAAAACAAAAGCTCAGCCAATAATCAATGAAGAGGACTGTTGCCCTCTTCCTGCTTCTGGCTCCTTCAGGGAAAGAGTCTGCAGGCTGGGAAATGACCAAAGAACAGGGTGAGGAAGGGGCAAGGAGACAAAAGGAGAAGGAGTGGCTGCAAAATTCCCCGCCCAGAGTTGGTTCTATCTGCCCACAGATGACAGAGCAGGTGCCACCACCCCAGCCACCTCCCAGAAGCATCACTGAGTGTTCTGGATGGAGTGGTACAGAATTGGGATCTGTGTTCTGGTCCTGGCTTCCATCAGACAGTCATTCAACAAGCCCTTATCAGTATGAGGTGCTAAGCTTGGTTCTGAGGTAACAGAGAGCTGTGGCACTCAGGCTCTGCACTAGGGAAGCAGTAGCTAGAAAAGCTGAATAAGAACGATGCTTATAAAGGCCCACTGAGAGGCAGAGAGGGAGCAGGGAGGGATTGCTGTGAACTAGAGACTAGTGCTGTCTCAGGTCTCCCCCCACCCCCCATCCCCATAATATAACATTAACTGCAATAGCTACCCTTTATTGACATTTACTCTGCCAGCAATATATTCAGTGCTTTATATCTTTTATCATATTTATTGCTCCTAACAAGCCTACTATGGTTCGGACTTTTCAGATGAGGAAGCTGAGGTTCAGCGAGGTTATATAAGTTACCCAAGGACACCCCATTGGTCTGGAGTCTGTCTGACTCTCCGTCTTTCATGCTAACCGCCATGCATTTCCACTTCGCAAGTGCCTAGCCCAGTGCAGGGCTCACAGCTCAGCACGGAGCCTCCACATTCCTGGTGGGACCGATGCTGTGCAGCATCCTCAGAAACCGTCCCTCCCTCGCCGTGACACCTCTCGCCCTCCCAGATCCTGGTATGCAAGTGTTTATTGATCCTTTTATGCATGTAATGCAAATGAACACTTAATAATTTAGTGGAGTTAATAGTGCTGAAATATTAACAGGCTTTTCTCTTTTAATTAGCTGCTCAGAGAATGGCGGTCGGGGGCCTGGGAGGAGGCTTTCCTGGGCAGGCACCTGGCCTGCTCCGCCTGGGCCTCCTTCTGCCAGGGATGATGTTCCAAGCCTCTCTACAGACTGTGAGCCATCAAGCGTGGGCCTCTTGGGAAAATTAGCCCTGCCCTTCTGTGCTCACTGCATCGGGAGTTGCTCTGCCCTTACCACAGCCCCGCTCTCTGCAGAGCTGGCTGGAGCCTGTCCTCTGTTCACCACCAGCCGGGGGTGGACCAGGTGACTTCTCGGAGGTGCTCTGAGGCTGGGGGAGGCTCCAGTTCTGTGCTAGGAAAGCCGACTTGAAACAGCCCAAACCCACTCACACCATCTCCTCCAGCCTTGCCTGAACGCAGAGCATCTTGAGGGAAAGCAGCAACAGACTTTTGGCCCATCCAGTTCTGGTCATTCTCTCTCCGATCATTAGACTCATGTTCGAGTCCATTTCCTTCCCATCCTCCCTCTCGCTCCCTGTCCTCCCAGTCCCTCAAAGGGCACACACAATCACCTTTTAATTTGCCATTGATTCATTAATTGGCTCTGTAACATTTTCTGAGCACCTATTATGTGAAATCTCCTGCCCTCAGTGCTGGGACACAGAGCCAAATGAGGCATAGCCCTTCTGGGCAAAGAACCTCTGCCCTCTCCCTGCTGCAAACCATATTAAAGCCTGTTCCCCGACACAGGGCCTTTTCTGCTCATCAAAACCAAACCCATATTCAGCCAACCTTCCCTTTGGCTGCAAAAATCTCTCCCTAACCAGAGTGCATGTGTCTCTGACCTCCGGGTACAAGGGCGCTGTCACTGAATACAGCAACCAGCCACAGCTGAAAGGATCAGTGTGCAGGCCGCCACCCCGCCACCACAATTGAATGCAAAAACAAGGTCTGCTTTCATAGTCAGATGCAAGCCTGCTACAGTTTGCAGGGCCTTGTTCCATTTGCAGAGCCTGCCACTGTGGCGCCTGGAGCTTCTGGGAGAGGCTGGCACCCTTACAACTCTCCTCTGCTGCAAGTGGCGGCTGGTCCATTATGTCCCATTCCCTGGGGATGTTCAGCACCACTGCGCCCACATCCTGGTCTCATTGGAAGGCACACAGGTATTGAAAGTGGCAGGTGATGCTCATAGAATCTTCACTGTCTATCAATGGAAGTCTAATCTGCACACCCACTTATAGAACTAGAGGGTGTCTGGACAGGCCACCAGGAAAGCCCTTTAATGAGGACTTTTAGGTCTCCTGATGAAAACTATAAAGGGACTTTCTCCTGGTGGGTCCCAGGATGCCAGGATTAAAACTGCTAATGATTGCTGGGCACGGCGGCTCACACCTGTAATCCTAGCACTTTGGGAGGCTGAGGCAGGCGGATCATTAGAGATCAGGAGTTCGAAACCAGCCTGGCCAACATGGTGAAACCTCGTCTCTACTAAAAATACAAAAAATTAGCTGAGTGTGGTGGCAGGCGCCTGTAATCCCAGCTACTTGGGAGGCTGAGGCGGGAGAATCACTTGAACCTGGGAGGTGGAGGTTGCAGTGGGCCGAGATCGTGCCATTGCACTCCAGCCTGGGCGACAGAGAGAGACTACATCTCAAAAAAGCAAAAACAGCAACAACAAAAAACTGTTAATGATGAGGGGACACAGGTCATCTCCAATCAGTAAAGGCAGGACAAGTTGGGCACTGCTTGATCAGAGGCTTTAAATGCAAATCTGAGAGGGCTGCTCAACGGCATAGGGTGAGGGGTAGGGAGGAGTGCGCTACCTTTTACTCAGTGACCAAGTGACCTTGGGAAAGTTGTTTAACCTCCTTTAGCCTCAGTTTCTTCATCTGCAAAATGGGGATAGTACTACATCTCAGGCTTCAATGGAGATAACTTTTGGGTTGTTGTGAGGATTCGATGAGACAATGCACATCGGGTACATCACACAGTGACTTGTACTCAGCAGGTACTTAATAAATTTCAGTTCCATTTCCACTTAATAATATAGCCCAGGATGCTTTGGGAACCTATTCCAAAGTCTTGCAAGAAAAAAATGTGAAACCGAATGAGGTCTACTTTGAAGGATTTCCAGGAGTTTGTAATCCTGAGAGATCAGAACATTAAGGTGGGCTGAAAGTAGTAATAATCACTGGGAGGAAAAGCTCTCCCTGTGAGAATATGTAAGATGATGGAAAAGAGAAGCTTCCACCCATCAGGGCAGAGAATGACTCCTAGGATCCCAAGGTCTGAGCCTTCCTGGCCCAGTGATGTGGGACCCATGGACACAGGGTTACTCATTGTTACTCATGTAAAATTTCCTTGCCTGGATCCCAGAAAGGAAAGTTCTAGCCCCACCAAGCTCTGCTGGTCTTGGAGACCCCATCACTGTGGTTCACTTGGCACTGGTCCCTGGCAGCAGCCCAGGGTCTAGATCTGACAAGCCTGCACCTGTCAAAGCATACCTATTGAACCAAGCCCACGGAAACAGTAATTTCTGGGTGACTTGAGGCAAATCATTTACCCATCTAGTCTACAGCCTCAGCTTCCTAACTAGAGAATGGACATAACAGGGCTCCCTATTGTGAATGTGAGACCCACTGAGAATGGAATGCCCTGCGCATAGTGCATGCTGCCTAGTAGATACGCTAGAAGTACAGTTAGAAGGGGCTGACATAAAACCAGACTCATGAGTGTGTCTGCTCTGAGAAGGTCCTCCTGTTCCAGGGTGAATCCTGATAGGCCCCAGTCTCTAGGAGTCTGTGGCACAGTCGCTAGGGATAGGGCACCACCAGGGTAGGACCGGAGACACACTGCCAGATCCAGGCCTCCAAACCAGAAGGCAGAGCCTGGGCCAGGAAGTGGGGATGGCAGTGGCTTTGCTAAAGCAAGGAGCCCCCAAAGCACCACCTGATCAAAAAGCCCAGTGAGGCAAAGGGATGGAACATGGCTCTCTCCAAGGCCCACAGAGCTAAACCCCAACTCTCAAGTAGGCTCAGCTTGGGGTTCTGGCACAGGCCTGAATGTAGGGGCCAAAGGGAGAAAATGAGGCTAAGGCACTGGATTTGGGCTGCAGTGGGCATCTGGGGACCCTGAGCCCTCACATAAGCATGGATGGAGGTAGGTGGCAGGGGAGTCCTTTCCACAGAGTGCAGTAGAAAAGCAACCAAACCTGGCCCAGCATGATGGCTCATGCTTGTAATCCCAGCACTTTGGGAGGCAAGGCTGGTAGATTACTGGAGGTCAGGAGTTCAAGACCAGCCTGGCCAACATGGTGAAACCCCAACTCTACTAAAAATACAAAATTAGCTGGGGGTGGTGGCTTGTGCCTGTAATCCCAGCTACTCGGGAGGCTGAGGCAGGAGAATTGCTTGAAGCCGGGAGGCAGAGGTTGCAGTGAGCTGAGATTGTGCCATTGCACTCCAGCCTGGGCAAAAAGAGCAAAACTCCATCTCAACAGAAAAAAAAAAAAAAAAAGGAAAAGCAACCAAACCTGCAAGAACTAGTTAGAGGCTCCACTCCAGCACTTAACTTGCCTAAGCCCCCACTTCCCCATATAAAACAGAGGCCAATAACATTAGGCTTACAGTGTCTTATTAAGTGAGATGACATTTAAGAAAGTATCATGTAAACTGTAAAGTTCTGCATAGAGCAGGACTTATTATTATTAGGTGCCGAACGACCCAAGTATGGCTTCAGGAGGTTCAAATTGGAAGTTAAAAAGCAGGCCATAATGCACCTATTAAACCAGTGAAAATAAATTAAAATGATAAAATCCATTGTGGCCGGGCTGTGCACAACACCAGCTCAAACTTTCCGTCACACAACCCGGCAGTGCGAAATGAGAACCATAAAACTGTTCCTATCCTATGACCTGTTAGGCAGTCTCACTTTGGGGAATAGGCCCCAAGGAAATAATTTAAAAGGAAAAAGTAATTCACATAAGGATATTCATGGCAGAGCTATTTAAAAGAAAGGGAAATTGGCTCCTACCCAAATGCTCGGCAGCAGAGAAATGGTGACCCGAACTCCAGCACATCGATGCAGGGGGTGTCCTGCGGCCATTAAAGTGACAGGTCTGAGGGCTCAGTCAATAGCAGGAGACGTGTGTAGGAGATAAAGGCAGCCGAGAAAGCAGAACAGACCACTGTTTACTGCTATGTAAAAATATATTGACAGGTATGGGCAGGGAGTTTAGAATGAATGGTTAATGTTTGATGGTCATTGGGCTTCTTTTTTTTCTATGAAGTTGTTTAAGTGGATAATAATAACAATAACAACAATGAAAGCAAATCAATGTTGCAGCTTGAGAGCTGGTGGGGCCTTGGCCCATAGCAGCACAGAAAGGGAGGGAAGGAAGGACAGCATTTCTGGGGGTCTCCCACAGCCTGGCAGACTCTGACCCCCTCCGACCTCGGGTCACTGTGGGTCCCTGGGTAGAGCTCCAGCTCCTGGAAAGCACCCCACCCAGCTGCAGGGGGAGATAGGGGTGCTGCACCCCAACTTCTAGCAACCCCTAAAGCCATCTCTGCATATGCAGTTACCTGGTTCCTCCAGGCCAGGCCTTGGCTTCTACCCAGGAGACCACAGGAAAATTAGCTCTGAGGTTAAAGAACCAGGGAGCAGAAATGTAAGGAGGACCTCATTCGCTTTATGGCCCCTCCATCCACTGACCTCCAGCAGCCAACTTTCACTGCCCCCCAGTACCCCCAAGGGTTGGGAGCCACTCCTCACCCCCTACACTTGTATTAGTGGGAACACGTTGTCTCCCGTTAACCAAGTATCAGCCAGAAATCTGGGAGTCATCCATGACTTTTCTCCTCCTCCCACACCCCACACCCAATTCACCAGCAAGCTCTGTCGGCTTGACCTTCAGAACCAATCAGGAATCTGCCCCCTGCGATGCCACCCTAGTCTTAGCCCCCACTCCCGAGGCCTGCCTGGCTTGTGACAGCAGCCTCCTGATAGGTCTTCCCTGCTTCCTCCCTTGCCTGCTGTAGTCTGTTCTCCACCAGCAGGCAGAGGATCTCATCTCTCCTCTGCTCTCCCTGTCATGACTCCCATCCTACTTGGGGTCAAAGCCAATGCGTTTTCAACAGCCTGCCATGCCCTCTGCCATCGGCTCCCAGCCCCACTTCCCATTCTACTGCCCTCCCCACTCCAGCCACATTGCCCTCTTTGTCAGTCTTCAAGCAGGCCTGGCCCCTTCCCACCTCAGGGCCTTTGCACTTACAGCCCCACCCCCTCCCCACTGCTTGGATTGCTCTTCTCCAGCTCTCCAGAGCCTGCTCCATCCCTTCCTTCAGCTGTCTTCTGAGAGGCCTTCCCTGAACACCCTGTTTAAGACAGCCCGCCCGCCCCCACCTCCATCACGCTCAATCCCTTTCCCTGCTATGCATGTTCGTAACACTCATCAAATCAACACCCTGCATATTAAATAGTCACTTGTTTATTCTCTTTCTGTATCCTTTTCAAAAGGCGAGCACCCCTGGGAGCAAAAGCACATTAAATCCCTTAAAGGGATGAACAATCTTTTTTTTCAAGCATCAATTCAGGAAACATAAAGTTTAGGAGCATATTTTCTTTAGCATCAGGTATATTTATAAATTGAGAAATGCAATACCTGCCCTCCTGCTTAAGTAGTCTCTTATTTTTTCTCCATCACTGAAGGGTTTCCTCTCCTTTTTTGGCTAAAATTTTAGAAACCACATAAGTGGCAGGCTCCATAGGATCTGATTATAATGCTGAGCCTCTGAAACAACTTTTAAATGACTTGAAATCGAGTAGGTGGGGGGAGAAAAAAGAAGGACTCAGGGATGGAGAAGGACAACTGGACCAGAGTTCAATCACGGCCAGGGACAGAAAAGCCCCTATCAGGAGATAGCTGGGGGCTGTGGATGCGGGAGGAGGGAGGCTGCCCCTTGGGAGGAAAATGGGGTCTGGAATGGACAGTGGGTGGGTGGCAGTAAAGGGCTTGTGCAAAACACCTGTCTCCAAGCCCTGTACAGTAGCTAGAAGGGAAGATTCTTGCTATAAACTTCCCCAAAAGGAAAATGGGAGGAGGACTGGAATTCTTCTACCCTTCCTCCTGGGCCAGGGTCTCAGTCTTGTTCCCTCTCTCTCCCGATATTGTGACACGTGCCTGTACACAGAGCCTCCCATGCCGCCTCCCTGGTGGCAGCCTCTGTGCCTCAGCCAGTGACAGCGGCAGCTTCCTGAGCCAGGCCTCGGTGATGGAATCACTCACTTAGCAAACCCTCCTCCGAACAGTGGTGGTCATTGCCTCCCACATGCCAGGCACATGGCTTCCCACACATTCCTCATTTCCCCTTTACCACAGCCCTCTGAGGAAGGTACCAGTATTAGCCCTGTCTTGTGCATGGGGTAACTGAGGCACAGTGCGACACCTGCCCATCATCACATGGTTAGTGAGCGGCCGAGCAGACCTCCACCCCAGGTCTGTTTCAGAAGCCTCTGCTCCTATCCTTCAGGCCACACTGCCTCCCTACGCTCCCACCTGAGCGAGAGATGGTTATTCATCGACTTCATTATATTTAGTTACTTGATTCTGAAATTAGATCTCGATGGTGTCATGGAGCCTGGCAAGTCATGTGTGACAGCTGACCTCAGAGCTGCTAGTTACTGACACCTCAGTGTGAAGAACTTCTCTGGTTACTCCCCTCCCGGGGGCGGGGGTGGGGCGCTGACACACCAGGGAAGGCAAAGGTGGGGATGGAAGGTGAGCTGTGCGGGATCACTTGCCTGACCCTTCCCAGAATCCTCCTCTCCAGCTGCCATGGCACCACCTCTGTGGAGGCCTGTGCCCTGATGGGGAGGGCAAGGTGGGGCCAAAAGAAGCAATCGGGGAGAAAGGAAGCCAGCCTGCTCAGAGGCATCAGCCCTGTGACCCTCAGCCACTAGGGCTACCCTTAGAAGGGAGAAGCACCTCCCAAGAGGAAGTGAGAAGGGCTGAGCAGAGATGCATGAAGGAGGTGACAGAGGTATGCAAAGGATGGGAGGAGCACCAGTGAGGAAACTGAGGCACATGAAGACGACCGGACCCTGCAAGGACTAGACACCTGGCAGCACTAGTCCAGTGCCCGGCAAACAGCAGGTACTTAATACGACCAGAGTTGTAGTTAGTGCAGGTGCTCAAAAGATTGCCTGGTTAGGACACCACAGAGCCCCAGTTTGCTCAGGCTGGGAAGTAAGCATGAGCACTGGATCGGAAGGCCGTGCTGGGGCTCTCCACACTGCACCAGCGCTTTTCAAAGGTGCCAACTCCCCTCTGGGCCTCAGCAGCCCCCCTGCCACTTGGCCCAGCTGGGGCCACTGTCTCCATGCACCCAGCCCAGCCCAGATCTGGCACGGGCGCAGCGGGTGAGCGCACGCCTGGCGCAGGCCCCAGTGCCTGGGAGAGAGGCTCCGAGCAGGCGGCTTTGTGTTTTGTGAAAACCAAATCCACAACTGAGCTCTCCAGCTGAGCAGGGCCTGCTGGGAAGGCTGGCAGACCTCCCTCCCTGTCCCCTACTGGGGCCCACCCTTCCTCCTCAGCCCCCCCCCCCCAGGAAACCTGGGCAGGACCAGCTGCCAACCCGGCTGGCATGGGGGGTTAAGGGGGATGGGTCTGGGCCCAGCTCTGGCAGTGCCTGGGTCCTACCCTGACCCCCTTCCTGCCTGAGTAAATTGGAATACAAATCAGAGGGAAACACTTTCCTCTGTTTGAACAAATTGCTACGGATTCCTCCCTGTCTCAGGTCAGGGCTCACGATGGGGGATATTTTCACTCGCGGACTGCTAATAGACTCAGGAGAAGCTGCTAGATCAATCGAGGCCAGGAAAATTAGCCAGGAGCTCCAGGCCAGCCTCGGCCTGCCCCTGCCCCCCCTCTTCAGGTCTCCTAGGAAGGGTGGTGGGGGCCATACCCAGGCTGGACATAAGTCCCTGACTGATGACCCAGGGTGCTGGATGCCCGTGCCCACCCCCTGCCTTGGAACCAAGAAAAAGGTGACCAGAGGCCATCTGGAGGGGCAGCGAGATAAAGGTGGACCCAGAGAAGCCCCTAAAGAGGTCTGTAGGACCCCCTACCACACATATACATAGTTCCCTGCACATACATATTATCGTGTGCAACATCATCACCCATATACACACCTACAGCACACACATGCCAGTGTATATTACATGCACAAAAAATACAAATAATGTGCACTTGCACGAGGCAGAGAGAACTGGAGGAACATGTTACAGCTTCTGTTGAGGTACCAAGTGAGAGCAGTTTATCTCATACCAGTGGTCCCTATACACAGATACACACACACACACTGATCTCCAACAGAAGAGGAGGAGGGGACAATGAGGGCATGAAGCCCACCCTCACCCCAGCCAGGCTTTGCAGCCCCTGCTCCCTCAAGTCTCCAGAAAGGAGGGAGTGAACCAGACAAGGGTGTCAGTGCTTTGGGCACATTGGGGCATCCCTCAGTAGCAAGCTCCTCCTAGTATCCCTTGAGGCCACTTTGCCAGCAGGCACAGTAAAGGAGGTGCATGGCTTGATCAAAAAGAAAGCTACTCATGTCCCCTGCTTACTACCCTTGCCCACATCACACACACACACACCCCTCTGCAAATGAGAATCTAGATCTGGCTTGGAAGATGGATGTGGAAGAGAGAGTAATCACTGGCAGATACAGCAGGGCCACCAGCTTGGTGAGACCCTTCACCTCTGGCCGTTGGTTTCTGCCTCTAAAAACTGAGCAGGTAGGCTGGGCGCAGTGGCTTATGCCTGTAATCCCAGCACTTTGGGAGGCCGAGGTGGGCAGATCACCTGAGGTCAGGAGTGCAAGACCAGCCTGGCCAACATAGCGAAACCCGGTCTCTACTAGAAATACAAAATTAGCTGGGCGTGGTGGCGGGTGCCTGTAATCCCAGCTACTCGGGAGGTTGAGGAGGGAGAATCCCTTGAACCCAAGAGGTAGAGATTGCAGTGAGCCAAGATTGTACCATTGCACTCCAGCCTGGGTGACAGAGAGAGACTCTGCCTCAAAAAACAAGCAAACAAACAAACAAAAAACTGAACAGGTAGAAACAGGCAACCTCTAAGCCCTTTACCTTTGACCTTCCATGATTCCAGGCTGATCCCCCTCTCTGCTGTGTGGCCTGAGAACTTCTCTTGTTTTCTCTGGGCTACAGATTTCTCTCCTGACAAATGATTAGATTTGCCCTAAGATTCCCGCTGGCTCTGTCACTTTATAAGTCTGTGATTCTAGATCATCTCTGTCTTGTTCTCTGCTGTATCCTCAGCACCTAGAACAGAGTCTGGCACACTGCGGGGGGTTCAATAAATACTGAATTAGTTAATTAATCTCAGGTCCCAGTTATTAGTGAAGAGAGAGAGAGAAATATACAACAGGGTAGAAGTGCTGCTCTGAGCCGGACTCATGAGGCTCAGGTATATTCAGGGGTGCAGGCCACTCTGGTCATAGCCCATGGCTTGGCTCCTGGGCAGGGAAGTAGACAGAATGCAGTCGACCTTATTACCCTCTAACCCCTAACAATTGTTTCACCCAGAATCCTGCCTACAGGGAGAAGGAGCAGTCTTCTAGTCTAGACTGTCCCCACCTCTATGTTGGTTTTAAATTCAGTGGGATGGAGAACATGGTGCCTCTCCTGGCAATGCCCAAAGGACCCTGTAGATTCTGGGTGTGTCCTTAGTGATGCTCAACCCTGTCCTCCGCAGGTATAAGGCATCCTTCAGGGAGAGCCTGAATTCTATCAGGAGAGTCTTGGAGAAATCGACACACTTGGATTCTGGCCACAAAATCCAAGGAAGTAAATGAGCAGTGAGCAGGTCTGGTGGCTGCAGGCAAGAGTTTACAGCCTGGAATGGAGGCTTGTACATGCAGCCCTGAACATGAGATCTAAAAACAAAGAGCTCCACACAGCAAGCTGGCTCTGAAAAAGCAAGACCATGGCTTAGGCAAGATGTAATACAGACTGTTGCTGCCCCACCTGCACCCCCTCTCCTAAACACTTCAGTGCACCACCAGCCAGCTCCCAATTGCCAATGCCTGCGGGCACCTCTCTGCCTGAGGGCCATCTCTGGCCACTAGAGCTTGCGCTGCCTGTGTGTGCAGTGGTTTAGGAGTACCGGGAATTAACACCCCCAGGAGCAACCTCACCCAGTGACAGAGGCGGGGTGGGTGTATACATGCCCTAGTTCCCTCACCCCATGGTGGGATAACTCTGAAGTGTGTTTCACAAAGCATGCCAGAGTTCCCCCAAGGGACACCGATGTAACTGACTTGATAAGGCATCTTTCACTGGCTTCCTTTGCTTCCCTGTCTCGCTTCCCCATTCCTCTACCAGAGTTTCCTGGACTTACCTCCCAAATAATTACAGCATTCAGCTCCTTATCTCAGAGTCTACTTCTGGGGCAACCCAAACTAAGACTATGAGTCCAAGTGTGTTTTGACTGTCCATGGTGTCCACTACGAAATTTCTCACATGGCCACAACACAGAGTCCACATATTGCCTAATGACCCCTCTACACACATATCAAATACCCCACCATCATCCTCTTCCTCCACCCACCACTCCCCTGGAAACTTCCTTGCCTGAATCTCATGGCTCAAGATCCAGCTCATCTGATCAACCAACCTGTGCCATCGGGAGAAGGCTTAGGGCTGCCAGGTATTCCCAGAGTAACCTTCTGGAAACAGTGGCAGTGCTTCTGCCAGCTAGCTTGTTAATAACTCTAAAGTGGAACTTGTAGGCAGTGTGACAAGATGTTGGACCCGGTGGAGACTGGCAGCAACCTCCAGTTCACACTACCAAGCAGGCTCACCTTCCTACCCACAAGGGCGGGGGAAGCCCTGACATTTCCAATAAGGGCCTCTAACATCTAACCAGAGTTCTAGACCCAGAATGAGCCCCAGATTCTGTAGTCTGGATGCAATGAGGTCTGAGAATAAGAAATGAGGTTCACAGGGGTAGGGGAAGGATTATAGAGATGTGGGCACACAATGAGCTTATAAACGCCATGCAGACATGTCCTGGATTCCCCTAAGCCTGGGAGGTGACACAGGAGAATGAGAAAGAAAGCTGTAGAAAGTCCTTTGACATGGCTTTTAACTTCAGCCTCGGCACCTAATTGCTGTGTGACCTTGATAAGCCACTTGCCTTCTGCGGTCTCAGTTTCTTCCTGCAATGAATCTGGAAGATTTGTTTTTGGGTCATTGAAGGCCACTGGCTGGCAGCTGAGCTCACTCCTTGCCATACCCTCGTGCCCCTCCTCATGGCCTTCTCTGTGTCTACCCTGTAGTCTTATTCCAGAAAGAAAAGTGAATTCAGGTCTTGCCGTGGCACAGAACTTCAGCTTGCCTTATGGGCTTTATGTATCTTGCCAGAAGGTAACCTGGCCTCCTCAAGGTCCCCTGCATTTTACTGGAACACCGGAATCAAACCCAAGTAGATGAGGCCACTGAAATTCAATTCATTTCCCCATCTCTATCTGCCCAGTATCCCTCTCAGAGATGGGGGAAATGCCTTCATCAAGAGTTTCTAAAGAATCACTTGGCAGCTGGGGACAGTGGCTCATACTTGTAATCTGAGCACTTTGGGAGGCCGAGGCGGGCAGATTGCTTGAGCCCAGGAATTTGAGGCCAGCCTGGGCAACATGGCAAAATCTCGTCTCTACAAAAATACAAAAAATTAACCGGGTGTGGTGGCACATGCCTGTAATCCCAGCTACTCAAAAGCTGAGGCACTTGAACCCAGGAGACGGAGAATGCAGTAAGCTGAGATGGTGCCACTGCACTCCAGCCTAGGAGAAAGAGTGAGACATTGTCTCAAAAAATTAAAAAAAAAAAAATCACTTCAGGAGCGTCTCAGGGCCGAGGAGTTACTCAAGTTCAACTCAGAGGTCTCCGTTCCTGAATCTTTCTTTCTGATAAGTTGTTACAGAAAGTTGAAACAAGGTCAATAGGAAGAACTTCCCAAAATGAAGGACCAGAGGCACTGAGCAAACAGCAGTGGGGCTGCTTGGTCTCATGTGGGTGTGGGCCTGCTGAGAGGCAGAAAGATGAGTTAGATCACCTCCGGACCAGAGCCTCTCACACAGCCCATCCGTCTCTGTTCCCAGAAATCAGGAGGCTGCTTTTTCTGGAACCACAGAGCTCTTCTGCCTTCGGGGCTGAAAGGAGACACCTGCTAGCAGAGAGAGGTACCAACCGGTAGACATCAACAATCCCAGGGACATGTGAACCGACAGTGTCGGGGGGCGCTGGCAGACGGGAAGCTGGTGGGACTGTCACTTGAATGTCTGGGTGACCCAAGCAAGTCATCCCCCTCCTCTAGGTCGCTGTCTTTCCTCAGGTCTCTTCTGGGCATCTTCAGAGCAGCCAGGACCCCCACCCCCACCCCACCTGAGCTAGGCTGGCAGAGTGGGGCGAGGTGAGGATAGGCTGGCAGAGTGGGGTGAGTGAGGAGGAGAGCAGTCATTCACATTCATCTAAATCCCCTTTCATTCAAGAAACACCAACTGCCCCTAAAACGGGTATTTGTGGCAAAGACTGCTCATCACCCACCCAATACCCACTCTCCCTTTCTTTCTAACAGAATACAGATATTTTCTCAGATGGGAATGTGCCCATCTAAAAAACCCTATTTCTCAGCCTGCCTTGAAGCTAAGAATGGCCAGTAAGATGTAAGCAGAAGTCACTGCAGGGTGTTTCTGGGAAAGCTCCTTAAAGACAGCAGACTCAGCCGACAGGCCTGCCTTTTAAAGGTTCCTGCTGTCTTCCTTCCTGGAATGTCTCATGATGGCTGAGCCCCATCAGCCTTTTGGTGACCTTGAGGCAAAATGTCAAAAGGCAGGGTTCCCAACCTTTGCTGCACACTGGAATCACGTAGGGACTTTTTTTTTTAATGCAGATGACTGGTTTCCACCCCCTAGACATTCTGATTTAATGGGTATGTTGTGCAACCTGGGCTTTTTTTTTTTGAGATGGAGTTTCACTCTCGTTGCTCAGGCTGGAGTGCAGTGGCGTGATCTCGGCTCACTACAACCTCGGCCTCCCTGATTCAAGCGATTCTCCTGCCTCAGCCTCCCGAGTAGCTGGGATTACAGGTGTCCGCCACCACACCTGGCTAATTTTTTTATTTTTAGTAGAGACGGGGTTTCACCATGTTGCCCAGGCTGGTCTCAAACTCCTGACCTCAGGAGATCCACCCGCCTTGGCCTCCCAAAGTGTTGGGATTACAGGTGTGAGTCACTGAGCCTAGCCAGCATCAGGACTTTTTAAACCTTCCAGGTTATTCTAACATGCAGCCAAGTTTGAGAACCACCACCATGAGAAGAGCAGAGCACGAAGATGAAAGGAGCCTTGAGAACCTACCTTGAGACTTGAGAAAGTCATCATTTGTTTAAGCCTTTCTGGTCAGGTCTTTCTTTCTAGCAAACAGGCCTGGGGGGTCCTTATGCTGCTCCCTTGGGCCAACCCATCTGCCACAGCACAGGCTGGGGAACAAAAATCTGCCAGGGAATGCCTTCAGAAACCTCACATTTGGGGAAGTAGACAGGCACTGGACTTTGCATTGGGCAGTCTTGAGTTCGAACCCTGACTCCACCACCGCCTAACTGTAGGGCCCTGGGCAAGTCACTCAATGTGAACCTCAGCTCCTCCATCTGGAAAATGAGGGCATTAGAAAAGGCTGTGTGTTCACCAGCTCAGCTGTGAGCTCCTTGGGGACAGATGTCATTTCACCTCTGCAGCCAAGACCCACCACCCTTCCAGACACGTAGTGGGTACTCATTAAATATTTGCTGGTTTTGATCAGGCATGGTGGCTCACAACTGTAATCCCAGCACTTTGAGAGGCCAAGGTGGAAGGATCACTTGAGCCCAGAGTTTGAGACCAGCCTGGGCAACATAGTGAGACCTCCATCTCTACTAAAAATTAAAAAAAAAAAAAAAAAAGTTAGCCGGGCATGGTGGTGTATGCCTGTAGTCCCAGCTACTCACGAGGCTGAGGTGGGAGGATTGCCTGAGCCCAGGAGATCGAGGCTGCAGTGAGCTATGATCACACCACTGTTCTCCAGCCTGCAAGACAGTGAGACCCTGTCTCAAATGAAATCAATTTTGCTGGTTTTACATTGAATTGCTACTTTGTTCTCCAGCTCTGAAATTTTCACTTTCTTTGGTTTTTTTGTAATAGAGACAGAGTCTCACTATGTTGCCCAGGCTGGTCTGGAACTCCTGGGCTCAAGTGATCCTCCCATCTCAGCCTCCCAATGTGCTGGGATTACAAGTGTGAGCCACAGCACCTGGCCTCACTTTATTCTTAACCAAACAGGAAAGAGAATAAACAAAAGGGCCACATTTCAAAAAGGTACCATAATTTACCTATTAAAAATCAAAGAAAACTGTGTTTCTGAAGGAGACTCCTTCAATCTCTCTAGGTTTGGGAAGCCAAACCTAGAGAACCAAGGGAGGTCCCTTGGTTAGAAGCCAGAAAAGGGGCCAGTCTCCTGGGCTCTTGGCCTGGACCCTCCAGTTAGCACCATTGAAGTAGAAAGCCTCCTTGCTCACAGTTTAGAAAATAATCAGTGGATTTTGTTTTTTTCCCAAGACTCCAGGGTTCAGATGAACTTTGTTGAAACTAAGCTTGGGCAGTAACCTGGAAAACCAGGAAATGCCCTCAGAAAGTCCAAGGGAAGAAGACATCTGTTTTGGTCTGGCTTTTTCAGACACACTGTCTACACCAGCTGTGCCCAAGAATCATCTAAACAGCTCTTACAACCACAGATGCCTTGATGCCACCTGCAGGGTTTCTGATTCAGGAGGCCCGGGGTGGGGCTGGGCATCTGTTGTTGAAAAAGCTCTCCAGGTGGTTCTGACATGCGCCAGGGCTGAGAACCACTTTTCTACACAGCTTCCAATCCTCCAGATAATTAATGTATCTCGGCTGAGTTTCTGGGCCTGGAAAGGAACCAAGAAGAGCCTGGGGTGGAATCTTCAAAGCCAGCCAAGCAGTGCCCTCGAGTCTGCTCAAGCCACCACCCAGCCACCAAGGTCACCCACCCCTGCAGCTCCAGCCTTTCACAGGCAAAAGGCTGGGCTTGGGGAAGGGGAGCTGCTATTCCAGCCTCCCTGGCCTGCCACATTTCTCAAAAGCACAGCCTATACCTCCTGTTGCCACATGCCACCCACACCCGGAGCTCCCTGCCATCTGCCTGCCACCCTCTCTGCTCTCGTGAAACGGAGTCCCCATAGTTCACCTTCGAGTTTACAAAGTGCTATCACTCCTGGGCTTCTCTGTAATCCCAAAAGGTAAGCGTGCCTAAACCAGGCTTCACATGGGGAAACTGAGGCTCAGAGAGGCGAGGCCATTGGGCAAGGACCCTCAGAGGCAACAGGCTGCCCACCTGGCCCTCCAACCCGAGTCCAGACTTCTTACTTGAAGCCCTCATTTTGCACAGCGCAATCCCTGGTCTAGCAGCATCGGCACCACCAGATTCACGCAGAATCTCAGCCCAGCCCCAGCCCCGCTGAATCAAGAATCCGCATTTCCACAAGATCCCAGGGGAGACTTGTGCACGGGAAAGTTTGAGGAGCCCCACTCTGTGCTGCAGCTGCCCCGAGCTCCCCAGTCCCCCGGTGGCCCTTTCTCATTCCTCCTCCTCCTCTCACAGACTCTGTCACAGACCCTCGGGTCATGTCCCCTCTCAGGCCTCCTCCCGCCCCCTAAACATTGGTGCTCCCCAGGGCTCTGGCCTCAGCCCAATCCCTTCTCTCTACTTTCTAATCCCTGGCAATTTTATTCCACCTCATGGTTTCAACCCACATCCTTCTGCAGACATAAATCCAGATGTGCAAATCTACCTCTCCTGAGTTGATCTCTCTCCTGAGCTCAGTGCTCATTGTCCACCCGATTTGTCGATATCCCCCCCAGACATGCCAGTGCCAGAATCCCATGAAGTTCAAAACTTCACTCACATTGTCACTAAAACTATTTACTGAGGCCTTGCTACGTGCCAGGCACTGTGCTCAGAGCTTCCTAAGCACCGTCTCATCACAAGCCCACGCAGTGAGTACGATGATCTCCATCTGACAAGCGGAGAAGCCACGGCTTAGAAAGCAGATGTAACTTCCTGGGCTTTTACAGCTGGTGTGGGGCAGAGCTGGGATTCAGACCCAGGTTTCTTATGCAGAGGTCGAGGCTCTTAACTACTTCACTTCCCCAAACCTGTCTGACTTCCAGTGGCTTTTGTTCAACCTGTTATCACTGTGTGCCAAGTCTCCCAGCTCCAAACCTCAGAGCCGTTTGCAGCTCCTATTCCTTGCCTGAACTCTTTCCGATACACTTTTAGTGCTTAATGATGGTACAATCTTGTGTCTTGCCTTTTGCAACAGCCTCTAACTGGTTTCCTTCCTCCACCCTCAAACCCCTACCATCTATTCTCTACATGACAGCCAGAGAGGTTCTATTAAAAAGGTGTCAGTTCATGTCCCTTCTCTGCTCAAAACCCTGCCATGGTCCCCTATCTCATGCAGAACAAAATCCAGAATCCTTTCATAGCCTTCAAGGCTCCAAATGATTGGACCTACTAACTCTCTGGCCCCACCTTCTACTGCACTCCCCCTGGCTCATTCTGCTCCAGCCACATTGGACTCCTCACTGTTGCTCCAACAGGCCAGGGCCTTTGCAGCGGCTATTCCTCTGCCTGGAACACACCTCCTGCAGATGCCCACAAAGCTCCCTAGGACTCCCCTGGACAACTGCAAAGCCTCCTGACAGTCTCTCCAGCACGGCCTCCTCCCACACACAGCGGCATGGCTACCTGGCCCATAATATGGCTTGCATCAACCCAGCTCCCTGTTTGACATCCTCCTTACAGCTTTGCAATGAGCAGTTCTGGGTTCAAGTCCAGGTCTGCCACTTGGACAAGGGACTGATAAATGACTTTCTCAAGGAGTTGTGATGAGACTGAAGATAATGCATACTTATGATCACAGGCTGGACAGTCAATGTTAGCAATGTTTAATATTATTCCTGGCCAGGCACAGTGGCTCACGCCTGTAATCCCAGCACTTTGGGAGGCTGAGGCAGGCAGATCACAAGGTCAGGAGATTGAGACCATCCTGGCTAACATGGTGAAACCCCGTCTCTACTAAAAATATAAAAATTAGCTGGGTGTGGTGGAGTGTGCCTGTAGTCCTAGTTACTCGGGAGGCTGAGGCAGGAGAATTGCTTGAACCTAGGAGGCAAAGGTTGCGGTGAGCCAAGATTGTGCCACTGCACTCCAGCCTGGGTAACCGAGACTCCACCTCAAAAAAAAAAAAAAAAATCCTTTACTGTTCCAGCCCTAACGGCCCCAGTTCCCTTTCAGCTTATGCTCCAGCCCAACTGAACAGCTCACGAACTCCTCACACACTCGGGTTCCTTAGCTTCCAGGCCTTTGCCACAATGTGCCCTCCACCTGGAATGCCCCTCTCAATCCTTACTTCTATTTGTCAAGGCCAGTTCAAATGCTCTCTTTTCCACAAGGCCTTGGAAGCAATTACTTCAACCTTCAAATTCTCACAACCTTTTATCCGCCCTTGCTACATGACATTTATCAAAATCTCCCCCTACCTTACATGTGATTCCCCTTCTCCTTCCATCTTATTCATCTCAGTAGCCCTGCCAATGTCCAGAACTGAGTCTTACTCAAGGTAGAGGCTCAGTGAACATTTAATGAATGATGAGTGAAAGGAACACCACACTGCTTTCCTTCCCTGCAAATCAGAAGATCCGGTGGGACTGAGTCTTAGGGCTACTTCTTACCAGCTGTGCAATGTTGATCAGGTCACTAAAACTCTTGGAACCTCAGTTTTCTCATCTGTTCAATGGAGACAATAGTACCCCTTGTGCTGACCTCTCAGAACGTCATGGAAGCAAAGGCTGCAGAGGCATGAAAATGCCTGGTAAGTCATGTGGCACTTACACACTTATAAGGGATTGTTGTTCTGACCAACAATCCTCCCTAAAAGGTTCATTCCCCCTCACACAAAAGGATCCCTGAAAAAACCATGACCAAACGAATGGTGGGTTATCAAGTGAGGTTTACTTTCTTTCTTTATACTTTTATGTATTCCTTGATTGTTTTGCAAAGAGCACATGTTACTCATAGTAGTTACTCATAGTGTTATTCATAGACTTGAGGAAAAATGAGATTTCATTGTTGAAAAACAAAAATATTCATTCCTTTGAGCTAAGCCTTGCTCTTGCCTCCTGTATCAGCATTTAAATACCAGAGAAGCCCCTTGGTACATAGTACCTTCTAGCAGCAGATGTATGCTTGCAAAGCAGGGTCTTCTGACCACAGGGAGAAGATGCAGAAGAGGGGCCATGCGCCAGGTTTATACAGAGGCGTTTCTGCAAGGGCACAAGCACCCCCATTCCCCTTGCCACAGCCTTACCAGAGCAAGAGCCCACTAGGCTAAGCTGAGCCCCAGCATCCAGCTGGCGCCTAGGGAAAACCTGATTCATCTGAGATTACAGCAAGTGCGGCTTTGGCTACGGGCAGGTGCCTAGGGACACCGGGGTGGGTACGTGGGAGCTGGAGGGAGGCTTGGAGTTCCAGAAGGCCCTAAGGAACCCTTTTCAGCCCCAGGTTGAGGAATGAGCATAACTCATCCCTCAGATAGGGTGAGGCCCACAGGAGCCCAGGAAAGGCAAGATGCAATGTGGCGGCCAAGCCCTCCCCCTGCTGGCCACATCTGGAACGGCAGCAGCTGCCGCACAGGGCAGGGCCCGTAGGCAGTTACACACACACCCGATACCTGGGACCGTGTCAGGCTCAGATGTCCGGAGGTGGGAGGTGAGGCAGGGCTCTTCCAGGACTGAGAGGCCCAAGACTTCATCTCCTAGGTCCTCTGTCTTCACCGGGTGGGTCATCTCCTAGCCCACCTTTCATGAGCCCAGCCATGAGATGAAAGTGGGGAGGGGGGCAGGGGGGAGTGGCAGGGACGTGGGGGCAGTGGTGTTTGGGGTGGGGGTGTCTTCCACATTCCTGCCTCTGTCTCACTCCTCCCAGGCCCTCCCCCATGCCTCCTGGGCAGCTGGGAGAAGCTGGGGCTGCTACCACTGCCCGGATTTCCACTCCCGCCCCCAGGTATTGATTTCCTGCATCATTCATTTGCCGGGCCTTGGCGGCTGTGATTAGCTCCCTCCATTCTCCCTACAGATTCCACCCCCCTTCCCCCCCAGCCTGTCCCTCCATGTTCCAGCAAAGCAGAGCTAATATACCAGGCTCTAAATGAGGCTTTGCCACCTTGGTCCCAGCAGCTCACAGCCAGGCCTAGCCAAGTAGCTCTCAGCTCTCCCCTGCCCACCCCCTCAAGGATGCTTTCCTGCTAACAAAATCCTCTCTAACCGACCTCCTCCCCTGACCTAGAGCCCCCGCCCACCCATGAAGCAGATTCCCATCCTGTAATGTCGGATGGGACATCATGAGGATCTTGACCCTAAGGCGGGGGCTCTCCAGCCTGACACCAAGGGTCTGGGGACCCCTCACACTGGCTAAAGGGCCAAAATCAACTTGGGATGGGGAGGTAACACCAGCAAAGCAAACAAAGCAGCTTGGATTTGTGGACACAAAGTGCTCCCCCTCGCTTGTGCAATTTCTGTAAGTGAAAAGAAAGAAGGAACAGAAGCACGGAGCTTCTCGAGGACAAAAGAGAACCCCAAGCCTCTGTTAGCCCCAGGAAACCAAAGTTTCAAGGCATGGGGTAGGAACTCCAGTGAAAAACCTCAAGTGCCCACACCCAGATCAACACCCGGGAGATGACACTGGGACACTCACTTCCTGAAATTCCTTCTCCGTGCTCCCCAGAGGAGGGAAAAAAACCTGACTTAGTGATAATTCTGTAAGCTGTGTTGCTCTTGTCAAATTATTCAACATCTGTCTTCATGTTCCTACAAAAATTAACATAGGATAGTAGTTTCTGATGACACCTTTGGTGAAATATTTTGACTTCCACCAGTAAGTTGCAAACAACCTGTCTTAAGGATAATGTCAATTCCCACTTCTGCATATTAAATAATTCAGGGGTTTGTTGTGTTTTTGTAAGGGAGAGGAATCCCACTGACCTGCGGTCCGACTGCTATGAGAGGAGCAGAAGCCGGGACAGAAGGCGGGGTGTTCCCTGACGCTATCCGCATGCAAGATATTCCTCTTCCATCACTTGGCTACTGCCTTTGCCCCAGAACTAGGCCACTGGGGCCAGCCCAGCCCCCTGGCTTGCCAGAAAGCAGATTACAGGATCCACCCCAGAGGACAACAAACTGGGCCAGGAGATTGGGAGGCGAGGAGGGAGGGAGAACTGGCTCCAAATGGACCATCTGGTCCAGCACTTGGCCGTTGTAGCATCTGTGCCCCAAAGAACAAAGCCACCTGGCCAAACTGAGAGTGCTGCCTCCCCAGCCCTATTGCAGACCATGGATCCTAGGGCAGGTGGTGGACCTCAGTGGGAAGCAGGACATAGGGTTCTAGGCACCTACCTCCTACCAGCCTCAGCAGAGACACACAGCCTAGGCCGAATGCCGTCAGGTTCGCTCTCCACCGCCTGCTCGTCTTCCTCCCCTCTGTTCAGCCCCTCCCTTATCCACACAGGTCTGGGGGCAGAGGGGCAGGGGCAGGGGATTCCTCCCCAGGATATACATTTTTCTCCTATGTCTTGAATTAGACCTGCTGCCTCCCTCCCCAGTGCCAGGGCAATACTAGGCTTCCAGCCTCTTCTCTCTTCTAGGGCTGCAGGATAGGACTCTGTGACTCGCCCTAAGCAGAGACCCTTAAACAATGCCCCCACTGCCCTGCTGGAAACCAAGTCCTAGAGAGACTTCTCATGGAGAAAGAATTTCCAACCTGCCCCCAACTATAGCCCTTTCTTCATTCAACAAATACCTGCCTAGCTCCTGCTGTTGTGCCGGGGACCATGCTGGATGCTGGATGCAATGCCAGGCTGGAGTGGCCATCCCTGGTCCCTATGTGCCGCCTTCACTCTCATGCTGTTTCTTCTGCTTCGCGGGTACAGAAAGACTGCTGGGGAGGGGGGCAGAAGAACTAGTCCCAGATCTTCGACCTACTTCTTAAGCCAGTCCTGGTCCTACAGAGATCCTCCCTTCTGCTGTATCTGGCCAAAGATTCTAGCATCACAAGGAACTCAGCGACCTCCTGTCATCCTCCTCCTCCTCCTCCTAAATCTTCTGCCTTCATCCACCTCAATAAAGACTTTTTACCCAGCAATTTCCCTGAAGCCCCAACACTGCCTGAAGCCAAGCTCTCAAAGGAAAAGTGGCATGTCACCCAAGGGCCCAGGGTCGGCCCCAGCACACCCAGCCCACTTTGATTGGCTCTGAGTGAGAGCAAATGGGACCTAGGCACAGGCGGGAGGGGAGAAAACACAGAGAGAAAAGGGTATAGATAAGCCTATGGCTGAATCCTGGCCCTAGAGTACTCTGAAATGAGGGTCCACAGAGACCACTGCCCCTGACTCCAAACCCCACTCTCATTGCTGGGTTTACTAGACTAGGAACAGAGGAACCTCCCAAAGATGAGCCCCAAGCAGCCTAGAGAAGGCTGGAGAAGCTGGAGGGGATGGAGGACAGGGATGACCAGGAGTGGGTCTTGCCAAATGCACCCAATGACACAGGGAAGGAGGGTAGAGTGGAGGACAGCAGCATGCAGGAAGGGCTCTCCATCACCCTCCCCAGCCCCGGGGCTGTGGTGAGAAGGCAAAGACCTCAGCAGCACCTCTCTTAGGCACCTTGACCTGGGGAGAAAGAAGAAAGTGAAACCCCAGTCCACTGGCATCTTCATCTGCCCTGGAGAGGCCAAGGCCTCCAGTACCTGCCCCGTGGCCTCCTCGCCCCAAACCCAGCCTCTCCCAGTCCCTGCTGCATTCTTTCCTGCCTTTCCTGGCCTCTGTGAGGGGCCAGGCAGTAAGAGACACACAAACTAATTAAGAAGCAGAGTTTGGCCAGATGCCTGGGCTAGTCTTACCAGAGAATTAAGGCCAAGCCAGCTAGCTGGGCAGGGCCAGGAGCATGTCACCTCTCAGACACCCTTCAGGACACCCCTTCTTCTTGCCAGGCACAGGCAGATGGGTCAGCACCCTCCAGGGTGCTTTAGCCTCAGCACCTGAGGCTGGCAACCAGTAGTCAGTGCCTATACTACCCCACAAAGAACAGGTCAACCTCCCCTGGATCTAAAAGAGGAATCATTAGTCCCTCCACCCAACAGAAAAGGAAAGAGAGAATCCTGCCCGCCCCAGCCACACATCACTAAAAAGGGACCTGGACAAACCATCCTGCAGTAAAGAGAAAGCAAAGTAAGGGCCACTGGGCCCCTGAGAATGATTTTTTGTGCTGTGGGGTTAAGGCACTGCGGGAGGCTGAGCCCAGGTGACTGAATGGATGATGCCTGCCCCGGGCCTTCCCTGGGAAAACCCACAGGATGGAAGGGGGAAGGGGTAACCAGAGTCTCCCTTGGTAACCACAGCGAGGCGTGCGGACGCAGGAGCAAGGCTGCGTGGCAGGAGGCAGAGTTTGGACACGTATCCCGGTGGGTGCGTGCCGTGTTTGCGTTTTCTGGGGATGGTGGCTGAATGTATCTGTGTGTGCGCGCAGGAAGGAAGGTGGGGTTGGGGTTTGTAGCCAAGAACCGGGGACAGGAAGAACTGGTTCAGGGAAGGTCCGAAAAGGGATGCCGGGGTCGAAGGCGCCAGGGCCAGGGGATGCCGGCATCCTGATCAGGGTGTCAAGCCCTGAGTAGAAGAAGCGAAGCCGCAGCAACAGCGGGGAAGGCGAGCCCGCCGCCCGGCCTTGGTGCTGACAGCCGGCTCGCCCGCAAGCCGCGCGGCAACTCCGGCTCATGCATCGCTTGGCTTCCACTCCGGAGGCCGAGCCAGGACGAGGTTTCGGTGCAAGTCGCTGCACCAGTCCTAGACTGGGTCTGTCCGGGTCTCCCGAGCCGACCGGGTGCTCTCAAGGGTTCCTAATCATTCCCACCTCTAGCAGGGTGTGGGAAAGTGGGTGCCTCCTCCTGACATCCCGGCTTCCCACCAGACCCTACGACCGGCCCCTGTGTTCCGAAGCAGCTAGCTCGGTCTCCACGCGCCCTGGAGAGGGCGGGGACGCGGGCATCCACTCCAGAGTCCGAGTCGAGGTCTCCACCAAACCCCGGCAGCGCGCACTTTGCGCCTCTTGCAAAGTTTCCGCGCGAGGTTAAGCCAAGGTGGAGCGGGACGCGGGCTCTTACCGTAGACTCCTTGTCCCCGGCAGTGGAAGGGGATCAGCGCCAGAAGTAGAAGGCAGGTCACCTCCATCTTCACGGCCGGTGCTTCATCCCCGCGAGGCGGCGCAGCCCGAGAGGCGGCGGGGGGCGCATTCGCCGGGGCCCCGCGACGCCCCTATGTCCCCCCCTTTCCCTGAGAGGTGAGAGAGAGAGCGGCGACGAAGACCAGGAGACTGAAGAGGCGGAGGTGGCGGCGACCCGTGTTTCTCCTCCGGCGGGGCCGCTGCCCGCGTGGGGACGCAGGGGGCGCTGGCCCAGCCCCGGGTGCCTCGGCGCGCCCGGCACAGCAGCCAGCGCCCCGACCCGAGGAGCCCGGCCGCCGAGCCGCCCCGGGTACCCAGGGCCGTCCGCGCGGGATGCTAGGCGCCGGGGACCTCTCGGCGGCGGAGGCGGCGCTTCGATCCAACAGGCCACGGACGACTGACAAACTTGTCGTTTCCCCGCACTGGGGCCGCCCCTCAGCGGAGCGGAGTCGGGGAGGCCGGGGCTCCGCTCGAGTTAATCAATCTGCTGTTTCCAGTCCTGCGGCCGCTGCCGTGGGCTCAGCGGCCCGACTCCAGGGGGCCGGGCTGAAAGCACTCGCGGCGGCGAAGCAGCCCCGGGCCCGGCCCTCCTGATCCGGGGAGCAGCGCGGGCTGGGTTCGGCCGAGGGACGAGCGCCGCGGGTCCCCGGGTCCGTGAAGTTAGCCGAGCCGCCGATAAACCCGGGGGAAGAATAGCAGCCCGGCGCCCCGCGGGAATCTGGAGAGCAATTCCAGGCAAGAAGGGCCCCAGAAAACGGGGAAAGGAGGAAAGTTTGAGTCTTTTGAAAAATATTCGCGCTCTCGCCCAGGCCGGGGCTGCGGCGCGGGCGCCGCTCGCCGCCTCCGCTCGCCGCGCTCCTCTCCCGCCGTCTGGCCGCGGCCGTAGCCCTCCCGGGCTCCGAGCTCTCGGGAGAGCGGGGCTACGCCGCGCCCCAAGTTGGTCGTCCCCGCCCCCGCCCGGCGGCCTTGGCCTGCGGGGGCCCAGAGCGGGCGGGGCCGGGCCGGGCTCCGGGGCGCGGCGGCCGCTCGGCTCCGGGCCGCGGGAGCGCTCCGCTCGCTCAGCAACTTGGGCTTTGCTGTGCTGCTTTTTCGCCCCTCCGAGCTTTTCATTCCGCGCTCCTCCCGCCTCCCTCCCTCTCTTCCTCCTCCCTCCTCCTCGCGTCTCCTCGTTCGGTCTCTCGCTCTCCCACCCGTTGTCGCTCGCTCTCCTGTTTGATTCCCCTCCAGTTAAAAAAAGGAGCCAATTAAAGGCAGCCCAGCTCGCCTGGCCCAGCCTCTGTCCAATTTCCTCGCCTCCCCCAGGACCAATTAGAGAAAACAAAACAGGGCTGGGGGAAGCTGACTGCCTGCCTTTCTCTTTCTCTTTCTCTTTCTCTTTCTCTCTCTCTCTCTCTCTCTCTCTCTCTCTCTCTCTCTCTCTCTCTCTCTTTCTCTCTCTCTCCTCTCTCTCTCTTCTCTCTCTCCTCTCTCTCTCCCTCTCGCTCTCTCTCCCTTCCTCTCCTCTCCTCTCTTTCCCTTTCTCCTCTCCCTCTCTCTCTCTTCCTCTCTCCGCCCCCTAACATTCCCCCCCAACCCCGCCCAGCAGGAAAATGTCAGAAAGCAGAAATGGATCCATCTATCCCGAGGACAGTGGCGGAGGGACCTGGGTTTCGGCGGGGGCTCTGCAGCCGCGCGCTCGCACACTCGCTGTTCTCCAGCCTTGCACACCCAGACTAGCTGGCCGAGCCGGGTGCACCGTTGCCAGCAGCCCGCGGGGCAAACACGGCCGCTCGCTTCGGAGACCCATGCCCGCAGGGCACTGCACACTTCGTAAATGTTTTGCACTTTGGGGAGGCGGGACTGAAGCGGGGGTCCTAGGGAAAGGCCGGGCGCCTGCGGTTCCTGGGGTCCTGCAGCCGCGCGAGACGGGCCGCGGCTGTGGGTCTGCAAGGCTGTCTGCCCGGCTCGAGAGGCCCCCGCCCCTTTCCAGGCGTCTGGTGCTGGGGCCGGGCCGGAGCAGCTGGCGGAGAGGTCGCGCTGAGAGCTCCTGCCCTTGCCGCGGCCCACAGGTTGCCAACAGGTTTGCTCGCACGACCCCTCCGCCAGAGCTTCCCTAAGTCACCCCACATTTTCCTCGGCTAGCCACTCTTCCCATCTTGCCTCCCCTCGGGACCTCAGGCGCCCCCAAGCGCCCCGGGGGCACACCTCCTTCCGGCTGCCGAACCCGAGCCCCGCTCCAGCGGCGGGAGTCCGGCACTCGGGTCTCAGCCGCCTCGAAGGGGCCCTCGCGGAGCAGGAGTGCGGAGAACGCTCCTCCCAAACGCCCGCGGGGAGGGGCGTAGGCTGGCAAGCGAGGCTGGTGGCCTCCCCCGCGCCTCCGATCCCGCCCCGCGCCCAACCCGGGTCCTGCTAATCTCACCTGCTCCACCTGTCGCCGTTATTTATCTCAGCGTGTGCGCAAGAATTGTTTTAGGTCGGCCCGTGGGAGCGCAGACAATCGCAGCAGCTAACAAGCGGGGAGACTACGAACCCCCCCTCCCTTCGCCCCCTGGAACTGCTCAATATCTTGATGGTGGTTCCACGGCTCTATGCATTTGTCAAAACTCAAAGATCTCCACACTCCAAAAAGGTTAGTCTGCATATAAATTGAAACATAAATTTTTTTAAAATAATAATAATGAACCGTCCCTTCCCCAGGCCCATTTCCTGCTGGGTCTCTCCTCCCTTGACTCTCCAGGGCTTAAGCCCCACCGGAGCGCGCGCTCCTGACTGCTGGAAGAGGAGCGGGAGGTGTCGGGAAGTGCCTGGTGGCATGGGGGGGTTCCACCTTCCTTTCTCAGCCCCCTTTCTGTCCATCTCAGGAAGCCCGAGAACATCCGAAGATTCCTATTCTCTAGCCCACCTCCACTCGTTTGCGCCTCCCTTGTGCCCTCTTCCGTCTTTTCTCTCCTTTCTACCCCGTGGGTCCAAGGCTGATAGGAAGTCCAGACTCAGTGCGGTGCTCCCAGCAGATGCCAGCTGCAGACATGTTCAGTGAATTCACGAATGATGCCCATCATGGCCAGATATCACAGACCTGGGATACCCTCAGGGTAGCCATCCTTTCACTCCCCAGCCCCGGACTGTTACCTCAAAGGCAAAAAATTCATTTTCTGTCCCACAGAGATACACAGCCACCATGCCTCTTCCCGCCTCCCCCATCCAGTCAGAAAAGGAAGTGGTGCCAATTGAGGGAGTGATGAGGGATAGCTTCTTCTATTGTCATCCTCTTCCCATTATTAGAGGGTTCCTGGAAGTCTCTACCCCTTCCAGGAAGCTCTCAGGGAGTGATCACAGCGACTGTGGCTCTTCCTGGCTTTGCCCATTCTGAGCTGAATGTGTACTTCTCCATGTCGTGCGAAACTGCGCTCTGATTTTCCAATTAGCTGTTCCAACACCAAACAGCAGTCAATTGCTCCTCTTTGGCTTTGGGGTGAGTTACTGGGGACAGAGAACTGCACTGACTCAGCTGACATTCTCTTGACTTTGCCCTCTCTAAACTCACACACTAGCCTGGAGGAGAAAGAAGGTTCATGATGGCGGGGTGGGGGGAACAGAGGACCAAGTTAGCCAGGCTGGGATTGAACATTTGCTGTAGCTAATCCACTTGTGAATACTCTGCAGCTAATTGTATGCAGTGTAAATACCTTGACAGCCTGTTTGTGTGTGTCTGTAAATTCAGCTGTCTCCTCCCCCAAGTGTGCCCTGCCTGCTGCCTCAACACAGCCCAGTGTCTGACAATGGGAGGCAACCTCAGAGAAGGGAAAGAGCCCTAGACATCAGTCCTGCGTCCCAGTCCTAACCTCTCTAGGCCTCAGTTTCCCCAGATGTAAACTAGGTAAGATCCCTGTCTTCCTAGAGAGAAGTGGAGTAATAAGAATAACAGCTGACACCACATGCCAGGCACTGTATTAACTATTTAATCTTCATAACCATTATGTAAGACAGGGCTGTTATTCTCATGGAATGACATAGGAAGATGTAGTGACTCACTCAGCTGCTAAGGGGCCAAACTGAGCTTTGACCTCAGTAGCTTGGCTCGGCGACCTTGCCCTCTCCCACTGTTCTATACTGAAGAGGGGCAAGGGCCTAGGTATCAAATAATGTTTCCACAAGAACTGTTTCCTGTTCCCTTTACAGACACAGAGAACAATACTCTGGCCCCCAAATTGCACCAAGGGCAGGGGGGACATGAGAGCTAGACTGCTAGACCTGACATGGGCCATAGGGCACAGGATGAGCCTGAGGTCAGGCTATCTGGAGGCTTGGTGGTCAGCACCCAGCTGCCAAGTCTTCGGTTCCACTCAAGATCATTCTAGGTCACTTCCCACTAGAAAAAAAAATATATATATATATATGTGTGTGTGTATATATATATATATATATATATATATATATATATATATTTGCCTCAAAGAAAACCTAGCACTTGGGCCCCAGGAGGTTTCAGGAACTCGTTGCTGACCACAAGCCAGGGGCCAGGGAACCAGGGGCTCCAGGCATTGAGCAAGCAGGGCAACTGCGGTTTGTTGTGAGAGCATGTTACTAGAAAGCTCTCCCATCTCCTCCTGCCACTAGCTCGCCTCCGGCGAGTGACAGCCTGGAAGAGGAGAGAAAGAAAGAGAGAGAGAGGAAGAGTCTTTGCTAGATGGTGTTGTCGCCTTGTGAGAGAAATTGTCTCTGAAAATCATACAGTGGCAGGTATTGATTCAATCTCATTGCAAGACGCTTTCTGGTCATGTGGGGGAAGGATGACTGGGAGGGGTGAGGAACGGGAGAGTTATGACCCCGCTGAAAGACCAGTTTATTAATTCGGGCTCTAACAAATAGCCAATTAATGGCTTCAGCTGCTAATTAGCAGGCAGTTAACTCCTATTATAAACTGTGGTGGCTCAAGACTGGTGAGAATGCAATCCCACCATGATACCCGTGGAGAAAAGGGGCCCTGAAGATGCATGTCACTCACGGTTTGTAGCCCACACCACCCCCCTCCTCATCCCACACCCCCAGCAGACCTTCTGTTGGTAGAATGCAGGCTGCATGGGAGCAGGGACCTTGTCTATATGTTCACCATTCATTCATTTAACAAATATTTAATGAGTGCTTACTATGTGCCAGGCACTGCCCTAGGCACAGCAGACTCAATGTAAATAAATCAGACAAGAATCCCTGCCTTCATGGAGGCTATAGTCTAGCGAAGAGACAGACAATAGACTACACAAATGGGGAAAATACGGTATTTGGATAGTACAGGGTATGAAGGAGAACACTAAAGCTAGGGAAAGGAGTAGGAAATGTAAGAGCTGAACTGTCAGAGAAGGTACCCAGAAGGACCCCACTAACATTTCAGTCATGACCTTTAAGATTAGAGGGACCGAACCATGCCAGTATCTAGGGGGAGGACATTGCAGAGAGAGGGGATGGCGAGGACAAAAGGCCTTGCGGTGGTGAGGAGGACGTGGCTGCAGCTGAGAAGGTGAGGGGAGAGTAGGAGGAGCTGAGATCAGAGAGATTTAGGGGGCAGGTCATTCGAGTCTTGGGATTATTGCAGGATGTTGGGTTTTACTCTGAGCGCAATGAGAAGAGCTATGACAGGGTCTTGTGCAGAGCAGGGAAGGGATCTAACTTTACTTAGCAGGCTCACTCTGGCTGCTGTGTAGGGAATAAACTGAAGGGGGCACCACAGTATCCTCAGCAGCTGGCCCTGTGCCTGGCCAGTAGTAGGTGCTCAGTAAATCCTTATCATATGAGTTGATTAATGAATATTAATGGGGCTAGATTGCAAGACTAGGAACCATGCCCACATTTGAAAGGCCGATTTATTTAGATTGTCTTGTAAATTACAACCATCTCCATGGGTGCCCTCAAATTTGAACTTTCCAAAGAATTCCACATCCATTATCCTACCTGGTCCTTAAAATGTTCCTGTGAGGTAAGTTAAGACATGTGGCCCCCTCCATTTTATAGATGTGAAGACTGAGGCAAGGGGACATTCGCAGACTGGTTTAACAGAGTGTGACAGAAGTGACCAGTTCTAGAATCTTAGGTGTGGGGAAGAACGCAAAGGAGACAGGAGTCCCTCTCCCACTTCTGGCCACTATGTCACGACTACACCCTGACTCATTATGTGACCTTCCCCTTTTGGCCTCTGGATTCTCATTTCCACAATAAGCACATGTGCCTGGACCACCTCTGAGACTGCTCCCAGCACTAGACTCCAAAGCCTTGTGAGCTCTCTCCAAGGCCTGATATCTGGAGCCATCATTTCCCAAGTGAGGGTCACCTGGGCTTCCTTTGTCTACACTAATGTTGGAAAAGGGGAGGTTTTGTTTAATTTTTTTGAGTTGATGGTTCAGTAGATCACAAGTAATTTTGTTTTATACTGATTTGAGAAATTTATGGTCTTCCCACTCTGAGCAGGTGTAAGGGACACTGGTTTACCAGGCTCTGCTTCCCCACTGGGGTGGGTCTGGGAAGAAGCAAATGGGCTGGAAAAGTGGAGTTCTTTTGACTCTTCATTAACTTAACAAATATTCATGGACCCAAGCATTGTGTCTATATAATCCTGGGCACCCCATTGTGCTGGAGGCATCCAACAGCTAAAGACACAGCCCTGCGCTCAGGTAGCCCAAGTCTGATAGAGGAGACAGCCCTGGCCCTAAGGGCCCGTAGTCTGATGGGGGAAGACTGCTATTACAGGGTTACAGATCCTGGAATACAAATGGAGCCAGGCTATAGATCTAGGGACAGATAGATATACTATAACAGCAACCAAGTGTTCACTACATGGGTAAAAGTGAAGAGGATGGAGAACTAGGAAGGCACTGGCTGGTTACTCTGATTTCTAGGCTCTTACTGAACATTTTGTTTTTTTTGTTTTTTTTGTTTTTGAGACAAGATCTCACTCTGTTGTCCAGGCTGGAGTGCAGTGGTGCAGTCAGAGATCACTGCAGCCTCAAATCCCCAGGCTCAAGTGGTCCTCCCACCTCAGGCAACCAGGCTTGAAAAAAAAAAAAATTTAGCCTCCTGAGTAGCTGGGATTACAGGCACCCACCACCATGCCTGGCTAATATATATATGTATATATATTGCATTTTTAATAGAGACAGAGTTTCACCATGTTGGCCAAGCTGGTCTCGAACTCCTGACTTCAGGTGATCCCCCCGTCTTGGCCCCTAACCTTTCTTCAAGCCTGGTTGCCTGCAGCTTTCCAAATTTCAGCCAAACCCAAGGGAAGTAGTCTGTGTTTTACTTGGGTATTTTCTCCTAATGCAAATGTCTTTCTGGGCTCCTGGGAAAGAGGCCTGTTTGAAGGAAATACTGTTAAGCTGGCATGCAGCCGTTGGCACCCACAGGGAAGAGCACCCTCTCTCTGGAAGCCAGGCTCCACCCCAGCAAGAAGTCCCAGCCCCATCTGACTCCACTGACCTCCCCTAGGGAGGTATCTCTGACTAAGCAGACTACAGGGCACCTAGAGATCAGCTCCTCTCCAAAGGCCCCACCTGCTACTCTGGCCTCATGAATGACACCCCTCCACCCCAGGCTTAGAGTGGGCATTCGTTCTCTGTGCTTTGTTTCCATGTGTGCTGTGAGCTCAAGGGTAGAGTGAGTGTCCTGCTCATGTCTGGACTGCTCACAGTACCCAGTGCCAAGCTGAGCACACAGTAGTTATTTGATTTATGCTCATTAAAATGAACTGTGGCAGGGTGTGGTGGCTCACGCCTGAGTTCCCAACACTTTGGGAGGCCAAGGTGGAAGGACTGCTTGAGTTCAGGAGTTTGAGACCAGCTTGGGCAACACAGTAAAACCTTATCTCTAAAAAAAAAAAAAAAAAAAAAAAAAAAAGTCAGAAAATTAGCCAGGCATGGCGTCATGCGCCTGTGGTCCCAGCTACTTGGGAGGCTGAGATGGGAGGTTCCCTTGAGCCCAGGAGGTCAAGGCTGCAGTGAGCCATGATCACACCACTGCACTCAGCCTGGGTGACAGAGTGAGATCCTGTCTCAAAAAAATAAATAAAAATAAAATAAAATGAGCTGAGTTGGTTACACTGACTAACTCAAACAAAAGTAGGCTTTGGGCAAGACCTAAATTACCAGGATAACGGAGGCCCAAATTATCCAGACAATATGTAGATTACGGACAAATACAAATAATGAAGATCGAAGACATGTTTGAGTTATGTACAGGCTGAAGGAAAACTGATTCTCGGGGAAGGGAAGCAGGCAGGTGAGGCCCAGGGTTTCTGGGAAACCCCTGTGTAAACAGTGGCAGGGGGTTAGCAACCCCCACTGCTGCTTCCTTCTGAGATGCTGTCTGGGAGGAGAGGTCTGAATCAGGTGCGTTCCTAGAGGCATGGGGGCTCTGCCAGGCTGAGGGTGGCTCTGTCCTCAGGCATCTGCTCCCAGGCCTCAGCAGCCCCAGTGGAACGCATCAAGTTTCGCTGAGCTGGTCTTTCTAACTTTCTCCCCGGCAGCTCCGCGGGAAGCAGGATCAAATGTTCTCCAGCCTGAAAAGCCCGGCTGGGGTGTGAGGAGAAAGGAGAAGGGGAGGAGGGGCGGCCAATCTGCGGTATTGGAAGGGGAGGGGCCGGGGCCGGGCCCCAGGGACAGGCCTCGTGACTCTCCTTGCTCCCTTTCTGTTTAACCCTCCCAGCCAATTCTTTTTCCTTTAGCCATTAGCTCTTTTTGATCCACGTAAAAGGGGGTGGGGGGCGGGAAATCTGGCGTGGACTTGGAGGCGTTCAGCACACCCGCGACCGCTGCGTGGCATAAACTACAGGGGGCGCCATTCACATAGGATACGACAGACATGGCGCCCGCCCCCTCCGCCCCCCCAGTACAACGTGGGGGCCCTGCTGCCACGCCCTCGGGTCTGACCTGACCCCAGGACAAGCTGGCGGGTCATCCTACCCTGTACCTCACTTCCCTCGCTCCTTCTCTTCCCAACCCACCCCCAAGCCCCCGCCGCCAACTCCTGTCTTGGCCCCTCACCCTCCAGGTCGCTCTTGTTCTGGCCCCCACTCCTGCAGGCCACGCTGCGGATGGTTCAGAGAGAGACGGGGGCGGGGGAAGGAGCCATCGGGCCTTCTCCTGCGCATGCTCGCTGTGAGACGAGCGCTGTGAGCCCTGGGGACTCGCTGCCCTTTTGATTAACTCGTCTTATTACGTGGCTCTCCCGGCTCTCCTTGGGGACCCTCCATGCCCACCATCCCAGGGGGCCTTTGGGATCCATGCCTGGCACGGGCTTGGAAGGAATCCCCAGGCACCGGCCCACTCAGTCACTAAAGGATGATCCGGCCTGCCCATCTGTCCCCCTTTTCATCCTCTAACCCAAGGTTTATCTGAAGGAGCGTGCTACAATTCATAAGCATCAAATGCCCATAATAAAGGCCATTTGCTTTCATGACCACCTTTGTCATCTTCATTTTAGAGGGGCAACTGAGGAACAGAGAGGTTCAGTCACAGATAGCTAGTAAGTTGTGTTCAATCGAACTAGAGAATCTGGCTCCAGAGTCAGAGTCTATACTCTTCACCACTACTTGGTGCTGCGTCTCACGAAGAAGTGGGGCCAAAAACTGGCACACTAGAGCTGCGCTGGCCAAGGCATAGCTACTGGTAGATATTTATGTCAGTTTCTCAGTCACGCTGGCCACATTTCAAGTGCTCACAGTCACACTAGTGGTTACCGTGTTGGACAACAAAGATATACAACATTACCCTCATCACAGGAGTTTTATTGGACAGCAGTGCTCAGAAGTCCTTAATTTTTATCCCAGCACTACTGCTTACTAGCTGAGCGACCATGGCCGGTTACCTAACCTCTCTGTATCTCAGGTTCCATAAGAATGGTGCAAGGCCAGGCATGGTGCCTCATGCCTGTAATCCCAGCACCTTGGAAGCCTGAGGTGGGAGGATTGCTTGAGCCCAGGAGTTCAAGACCAGCCTGGGCAACATAAGGACACCTCATCTCTGTGAATCAAAAATTTAAGAAAACTAGCCAGGCATGGTGGCACGCACCTGTAGTGCCAGCTACGTGGGAGGCTGAGGCAGGAGAATCCCTTGAGCAGGTCAAGGCTGCAGTGAACCATGATCAAGTCACTGCATTCCAGCCTGGGCAACAGAGTGAGACCCTGTCTCAAAACAAGAAAGTGCCAACCTCATAGGGCTGTTAGAAGGATTAAATGAGAAAATGTATATGAAATGTGCTAGGCATAGTGCCTGGCATATAGTAAGCATACTAAACATTATTATTTTGTTAGGAATCATAAGCCAGTCCTTTATTTAACAAAGTGGGTAGCTAAAGACCAGAGAAACTAAGGAACTGCCTCAAAGCCACACAGCAAATTAAATGCCAGAAGCTGAGGCTCCTCATTCTTTTTTCTCCACCACATGACCTAATGATATCACTACAGCCAATAAATGACTTCCGAATTTGGCCCTCTCGAAAATGTTGTAAGGTGGTTAAATGAGGTTTCATCAACCTTACTGTACAGATTAAGAAACTGATGGGCCCGGTGCAGTGGCTCATGCCTGTAATCTCAGCACTTGGGAGGCTGCGGTGGGGAGGCAATTAGAAGTCAGCTGAGGGCAATGAAGTTAGGATGAGGGGACAGAGGCTGGGTACCAACCCATCCTACTAGAGCGGATATGACATGACCCGTTTATTGTGTCTTACCCACAAAATGGAGCTTCTGTCAGGGAGGATCTTTGTCATGTTCACTGCTATATCCCGCATAGCTTAAAGGGTGCCTGGTAATCAAGAAATGGTTGTTGACTGAGTAGATGCCCATTTTTCAGATAAAGATGGTAAGGCTCAGAGATGTGAAGGACTGTGCCCAAGATTGGATTTATTCATACGAGAGGAATTTACTGAGCATCTACTTTGGGTCCACATGTCGAGTCTCTCTGACTCCAATTCCTGGGCTTCCCTTCAATACCTCCCATCTCCAACCCGCATTCTACAAAGGGGAAGGTAGGGCTGCCCTGACTCCATCCTATTCCCCCGGCACGTAAGTGCTTCTCTGTCTTTGGTTGACCTGGCAAGGAGAGGCCTGAGAAGCCTTAAATTAAGGTTCAGGCATGAGTTGTGTAGCCAGGATCTATGCTGAAATTTTATTTTGTGTTTTCCCATTGCGCTTGGAATAACGACCTTCCATCTTCCATCCCAAGAAAAGAACTGAAGCCAGAGTCTGAGTCGGGTTTTTTGTTTGGTTGGTTTTTTTGGTGGTTGCAGGGGCGGGGTGGGTTGCCTCAAGTAGCTTTGGGGTTTGTCGTCAAAGCAGAGGGATGTCCCGACTCAGTTAGGTTTAGGAGGTGGAGGTCTCCTGATGGAGAGTAAAATGGAAGGAGAAGGGAGATGGGGCCTCCCCAAGCTGGAAGCGACAGAGATGAGGCCTTTGTCTGTGTTCCTCTGGCCTGCAGTGCCAGATGGGGTTGTTTGTGTGCTGAGGCCCTGAGGGTCTTCGGGGTCCTCCTGTGGTCATCGAGAGAGCTACTGTGAAGACCTCTCAGAGTGTGTCCAGGGCAGCAGGGCCTGCCTGAGGCCTGACCCAGGGTTCAGGAGCCACAGCAACAGGAGTCAACTACCATGGCAACCACAAGGCACAGGGCCTCTTTTCCTGGGTCCCAGATTCTTCTGTGACCCTAGAGAATCCCCCTGAACATAACTAAGGCTGATTTCTCAGCACTGTGGCAATTGGAGATTTGGAATCAGAATTTATGTGACTTCAAAAAAAAAAACACAGCATGACATTTATTGCATGCAGATGTTGCAGAGTAAATTCAAACCCACTCCAGTGCAGAGGGATCTAAGGGCCTCTGGATGAAGGGGTCTGAGCTGAGCAGCACACACAGGAGGCCTCCTGGAGGTCTGGCCAGGCAAGGCCAAACCCCAGGTGAGGCCTGACTGCCTGGCACAGCGAGGAAGCTGCAGGGGAAACACAAAAGGAACTTAATTTTAAAAAAACCATATTTGAAAATAACATTTATTTCTGATTGTAAAAATAATACATGCTGCTTGTAGAAAACTGGAGAGAAACAGAAACATATAACGACAGAAATGTAAATCACCTATAATCCCATCACCCACGGTAATCATTAAAATGGTATTATCTGTCCTTTCCATCTTTATTCTATATGCAGGTTTTTACATAATCGAGATGATATTTACATTATTTATACAGTTTATATTCTATCTATAGAGGACAACAGGTCCCTGAGCTCTGCATGATGAACAAATGAGCAAATGAAGAACACACATACAGATTCTCTCCCACACGCTCACATGTTCATTTGCACAGACCGTGGGGAATGAAACACGGGAAAGAACATTAAACAGTAATAAGTACCAACCTGCTACTAAACAGCATCATGACCCTGAGGACCCTCTCTGTGCCTCAGTTTCTTTTCTTTTTTCTTTTTCTTTGAGACAAGTTTGCTCTGTCACCCAGGCTGGAGTGCAGCAGCAAGATCCCAGCTCACTGCAGCCTCAAATTCCTGGACTCAAGTGATCCTCCCACCTCAGCCTTTCAAATAGCTGGGACCACAGGTGCATGCCACCACACCTGGCTACTTTTTAAAATTTTCTGTAGAGATGGGGTCTCCCTGTGTTGCCCAGGCTGGAGTTGATTTTGGGAGGACCCCTTGAGCCTGGGGGTTTGAGGCTGCAGTGAGCTGTGATTGCACTGCTGCATTCCAGCCTGGGCAACAGAGTGAGACCCTGTCTCAAAAAAAAAAAAAAAAATAGTGCCCACCTCATAGGGCTGTTAGAGGGATTAAATGGGAAAATGGGAGGATCACTATATGTCTCTGCCCAAGACCTTCTTTGCCTGCCCACATAGCAGCCAAAAGGGCCAGGGCCCCTGAGGTCCCCAGGAGCAGCCCTCAGAGAGTGACTCACAGGAGCCGCATAAATACCAGCTCCCTCACCCCTCAGGCAGGATGTCCCAGAGGGCATGCCCTACACTGTCCCCCAGAGTTCCCCAGTGAGACCGAGCTCCAGCTCCCCACAGTGGTAACTGGATAAATATTGCACCCCTTATGGGCTGCGTTCCCTCCCCTGTTTCACTTCCCCCATTCTCCTATGGGTGTTTCTTGGAGTCACCAAATACCACCTGCCCTGCAATCCTTGTCTTAGGGCCTGCTTCTGGGAAAATCTAACCCAAGACATCAGGTGATGATGGATGCCAGGAAAACAAAATGATACTAGGGCAAGGGGGTGGAGAATGAGGGATGATATCACTTTAGGCAGGGTAGACAGGGAAGGTCTCTCTGGGAAGCCAAGTGAAGTGAGTAGGGAGACAGATGAATAGCTGGAGGCAAGGGCGTTTTAGACAGAGGGAGCAGAAGGTACAAAGGCCCTGAGGTGGAAACCCCTGGAGGAGCGGGATGTTAATGACACCCACCCAGCCAGGCTGTGGAGGATTCCTGGAGAGAGTCTGTGCCAACTGTAAAGCCCTGGGCACTTGTAAGCTATTGGGGTGCTTTAAATCCCCTCTTGCGTGACAGCTCTCTTCAGAGACTCACTAAACCTCCTGCCCAGCCTTGGCTGCCATGCTCAGCACCTCCCTCTCTGTGCTCACCCAGCCTATTTGGCCTGGAGCAGGGCTTGGTTTTTCCAATAACTCATTAGTGTGGCTTTTGTCATGATTGAAGAAACAAAACCCCCAACAAGAAAACTGCATTCAGCAGCATTACAGGTTATTTATGAGAGAATGTGAAGCAGCCTTGGCATTGGGGGAAGCCTAGGGGAGGCAGGAGGACCTTCTGGGTGGTGGGCTGTGACATCTTGGATCTGCCTGGTGCCGGCCACCAATGCCTCTGCCCAACAGATATAACCCCCTCTCTCCTGCCCCCGCCACCCCGAAGCCAGCCATGAATCACCACTGCTCTAGCCACTTAATTGAATTTTACCTACCCACCCAATGCCTCATTCATTCATTTATATAATCATTTATTCATTCAAACATGCATTGAGGGCCTACTATGTGCTAGGCACTAGCTGATGTTAACATTTATGGTTCAGAGAGATGAATCAGCAGCTGTGTACTCTAAGTCGTACCAGCTCACAAGCTGGCAGCATCTCTTCTCAATTCCACGTTCAGGCTACAAAGCAAGACCTTTCCCCCAGACAGGTGGTTGTTGAACACTTACCAACACACCACTGTAGCAGGCCCTGGTGTCTCAGGCCACACAAACTCAAACCATAGTGGCTGACAGTCTAAAACAGAGAAGGACATTGATCCAATTTATGGTGTAACACAATCTGGCCCACCCAGATTTGTTGGCCTCAAAGCCATCCACAGCTACCACACAATCGCCTTTGCAACCTAGGAGCACACCAAGAACAGAGGAATCAGTTCTATCATGCGAGACCTAGGAAGGCTTAATGAAGGAGACGTATTTGAGGCTGAGGCTTTGAGGTGAGATGTCTGCCTCAAGGGAGGGTGTTCCAGGTGGTGGGGACAATTTAAGCAAAGGTCTGGAGGGAGGCCAGGCAGAGCGTGTTCACCCCACCTAGATTAAAATGCTGTAGGAGGGAGTTTTCCCCACTTGTTACCTTCCTGATCATACCAGCAAAAGTGAACTGCTCTCCGGAGGAAAAAAGTGATATTGCAAAAGCTGGGCTGTCAGGGAGGGGCTGCTGTTAGAACACCAGGTACTGAGAGATAAGGATGCCTCTCCTCTTCCTTGCTTCTCCTCCCAGCCTCCCCCTCATCACCATTCCTTCTCAAGGAAAGGCCCGACCTGCAGGAAAAATGGCTGCAGTGTGTGAAAGGGGCAGCCAAGAGGCCACCATTGACCCACCCTCAACACCATCACCATTGGCACCACCAGCATATGCCACGGTATATAACCACGGCAACCTGGCGACGACAGTCATCCTGTCATCACTCCCTGTGGGGCTCACTGGCACTGTTACTCGGCCCCTACAGACCTACATGCACAGGCTTGGCTTACAGATATCAGGACAGACACCCAAACAGACCAAATGCTCTAAAGGACTCCAACTACATTTACTGAATGTCAGAGGAGGTCAGGATAGAATTCATTCAAGAAGCAGGTTTCCCAACGAAAACTTCATACCTGCCACCTCCTGACTCTGGAAGTTAGGGGCTCCCCCTATGTGTGCATGTCCACACATATATACACACACACATGCAGAGGCAAGAGTACATCCAGGATGCAGCAGCATTGAATGCCACACTGTTCAACTTGAGATAGGAGAGGCATGGGGGAGGCCTCAGTCTATCAGCCTCAATCACTCCTCCCAGGCCTGGTGAGCTGGTGCCAGCCCAGGCCTGGCCCGCATCCTCCCAGCCACCCTGCCAACCTCACCCAATTGCCTGATGAGGGCCTGAGCTGTCCACCAGTTCAAGGCAGGCTCCCACTCTCCTTTACCAATCCATTGCTGGAGGACGACTATACACCACCTTTGTAGAACACTCCACAGTCCTCAAAGGGCAGTCACGTATTCGCTCATGTAATCGTGGGAACCCTGGGATGTCATTAGGGTCTCCAGTCTATAGAGGAGGAAACTGAGGTTCCGAGTGACTGGAGATGCAAACACAAGCACCACTAATCCTAATAACTAAGCTTTACGGGTTCCATGTGCAGCATTATCTCCCTCCACCCTCATCACAGCCCTTTAAGAGGTGCTATGTTTATCCCCACTTTCCAGCAAAGGACCCTCAGCACCGTTTCTGTGGTGAACAAGTTCACTGTGAGCTCCAGGGTCTCCCTAGTTGGCCCAGAACCTTGGCCCCTGCTTTTATCCTTGTCACACTGCCCCCTCATGAGCTCATCCATCCCATGGTTCTGATTACCACTCAGTGACCTGCAGACAGTGTGGCGTGGGGCCAGGAGCATTTCTCTGGAGTCTGACTGCCAGCTTCTTAGCTGTGTGACCTTAAGCAGGTTACATCACCTCTCTGTGCCCCAGTTTGCTTGTCTGTAAAACAAGGCTAACAGTAGTAAACATAAGAGCAAATTCTTCCAGAGTGCTTATTTTGTGAGAGGCACTATTCTACACCAATTACAAGTATTAACTCTTGAATCTTCACCACATCCAGTGAGGTAAGCCCTTAGCCCAGGGCCAGGAGTGCTGCCTGCACTTGGTAATTGTTGGCGATGATGAGCTGTATATTCTGGCTGAGCCCCCTGAGGCTGCCCAGCTATCTGCTTAAAACACAACCCTGGCTGGGCACAGTAGCTCACTCCTGTAATCTCAGCACTTTGGGAGGCTGAGGCAGGAGGATCACCTGAGGTCAAGAGTTCGAGACCAGTCTGGCCAACATGGTGAAACCCCGTTTCTACTAAAAGTACAAAAAATTAGCCGGGCGTGGTGGCGGATGCCTGTAATCCCAGCTACTCAAGAGGCTGAGGCAGGAGAATCGCTTGAACCCAGGAGGTAGAGTTTGCAGTAAACTGAGATTGCGCCACTGCACTCCAGCCTGGGCAACAGAGCAAGACTCCATCTCAGAAACAAAACAAGACAACAACAACAACAAAAAAAAACCACAAAACCCCATTCCTTCTCCCATGTTTCTCATCTTGGTGAATGGCTCGTCATTCTCTCATCACCCGGGCAGACGCCTGGAACCTAACCTTGGGCTCTTCCTTTCCTCTCCAAATGCACATTCAAATTCAGCAGCTCTGCCTCCTCCAACTCTCATCTCCTCCATCCTTCCATCCATTTCCTGTTCCCATCACTGAGGCTTCTGAGGCTTCGGTGCAGCCCTACTCATTTCTCCCCTGGATTATGCAGCGGCTTCCTGCTTCCAGCCCACACATGTTACAAGCCAACCCCCTGTGCTGGCAGAGGAGACTTCTGAATCACAAATCCACTGAAAATCCCTCTGTGTCCCTCCACAGCCTACAGGATCAAGTTCAGACTCTCCAGCTTAGCACCAGTGCTTGTAGGATTTGGGCCCTGCCTTCCTCCCCTCTGCTCCCAGCCCACGCACTGCAATATGGCCACTCTGGGCATGCCAGTTCATTCCTCTGGCCCTTTGCACATGCGGTTTGCACAGTCTGGAGTGTCCTGCCCATCCTCCTTCATCTGACCAGCCCCCCACATCCCTCATGACTCAGCTCAGGCAACATCTCTTCCCAGAAGTCTTGCTGGAGTTCCACTAAATGCTTCTCCTTCATGCTCCTAGAATAATACTCTTAACTCATTGAAATTATAATGACATTATCTGTGTGTTGTCCCACCAAACACAGATGTTGCCTGGAGGCAGATGGTTAAAAGCAAGTATTGCAGTCAGATGGTCACAGGTTCTGATTCCAGCTCTACCGTTTACTAATGGTGTGATCTTAGGCAAGTTACTTAACCTCTTTGAGTCTCAGTTTCCTGATCTCTAGTGATAGGAGGCGAATGGTAGTACCTGCCACAGAAAGTGGTTGTGAGACTCTTGATGTAGCAGGAAAAGTGCCAAGCACAGTGTCTAGCTCAATCCAAACACTCAATAAATGTTAGCTATTATTATCTAATATAAGATTCTGTCTTTTTCATCTTCCTGTTACTATTGCCAAAAATATGGCCAGCCATGTGCCAGATAGTTAATGTCTTTTGAACTGAATCAAAGTGAAATAACTTGGAAACAGTTTCTGTCTGAATCAGGGTTTCTAAGTTGCAAGCAACAGAAATCACACTGGCTGTTTTATGCAGAAAAGGAATTTACAAAGGAAATCAGGTAGTTCACACAATCTCTAGGAGGACCAGAGGATGAGGCCTGGAAACCACAGTCAGGAACACAGTGTCCAAATGACACCCTAGACCTGTTGCTGTGGATGCCCATCTACCCCCACAACTGGCACAGACTCTGCAGCCTATACTACTGACACTGGGCACTGAACTCTAGAGATTGTCCCTAACATTTGGGAGGCTCAGGGAAAGAGGACAAATGGAGACTCTCATGCTCTATATCCAAGTATTTCAAAATCTCAGTGCTCACAATCTATTAAATGAAATATATTAGAATCTGTTCCTGTTACTACGGCTGCATAAGAAGTGCCAAAACTTAGTGGTATAAAACTAACATTTATTAAGCTCCTAGATTTTGTGGATCAGGAAGTCAGATCCTGAATGGTTTGTCTCTGCCCTGTAATGCTGAGGCCTCAGCTGGAAGGTTCAGAGACTGGGGACTGGAAGCATCTGTAGGCTTACTCATTCACATGTCTGGTAGTTGACTGGAGGCCTCGGTCCCTCTCCATGTGTCTCTCCACGAGGACTGGTCTGCACTTCCTCACAGCATGATGGATGGATTCCAAGGGCAAGTTTCCTAAGAAAGAGACACCCATAAGAAGCTGGATTGCCTTTCATGACCTAGCATCCGAAGTCATGCAGTACCACTTCTGTCACACTCTATTCATCAAAGCAGTCACAAAGTGCTGCCCAGATGCAAGGGGAGGGGAAGTGGACTCTGCCTCTTGGTGGGGAATGTAAAGATCTGAAAGAGCAAGCAAGATGACACGCTGCCGTTACCATTTTTAGAAAATACAGTCTTCCACAGATTCTACACCTTGACACATAAACTTTTATAACAGCCAGGAAGGTCAGGTTCAGACTCAGAATCCTCAGAACTGTGCTACAAAAGGGTGGTGCAGGGAATCTGCCTCCAGCCCCTGTCCCTTCTCTTTCTTCCCTTTGGCCCTGTCCTGCCCTGCAAGGGGCCCCTGGGCTTGTGTGTAGACATTCCTGCCTACCGGCCCAAGTTCTCTTCACATCCCCCACCAACAAACACCCCTGGGCTGCCTCTCAGGCTTTAGGGTACACCACTGCAGTGTGATCTACCTTCGGAAGACAGACCCAGGAAAGAGGCCTGTACAGGCCCTGGAAGTGGGTATGGGGCCATTTGGACAGGAAATCTGGGATCCTGGTTCTCAAAGCACGATGTAGAAGTAGAGGTGTGGGCTCCGGGTAGGCATGTCCCTTGGTCCTGCAGATTCCTGACCCTGACGGGAGGAGTGTGGCTGGAGGAGGACCACAGTAGGACTCTATAAATGCATGGGCCAAAGCAGGGACTCCTCTTGCCCAGGTCTAAGGGGTGGTACTCCCTAGAACTTCTGCCATCACAGCCTCTGGAAGTTGGGTGCCTCTGCTGCTACACTCACCAAAATAGAGGCCATGCTTCTTCAGAGACTTCTCTGGATACATTTATTTGGGGCAGCCTAAGTTACATACCTGGTATAAGGGAGCCCAGGAAAGCGAGCTTCTGGCTGCTACTTAGGGGAGAGGCAGACACATAAGATATGGAGGTTCCAGATAAAGAAAGAAGGCTTAAAAGCCCCAGGCAGCCAAGAAGAATGACAAATGTCTAGTACAGTCCACCTCTTGGCTGCCCAACATCAATATATACCCTTCTTCCTTCTCAGACTTACCCACCACGATGACCACCATGAAAACCTAACATGATGTAATTACTCTTCACAATGAAAACTTACCCTTTTCCCCAAAGGGGGACAACCCATGTTCATATCAGTAAATACACCAGGATAACCAGGGAGGTCCATTCTCCTTCTAATTCTGTCATGATTCCATTTCAAAATTCTATAATCTATGCCATAAATTGCAAATATAACTATCAAAAATATCCTTATATAAAAATAATGGGGAATGAAGATGGGAGAAATAAGGAAGTTTGGTTAAAAGAGATAAATATATCCGTAAGAAAAGCAAGGAGTACACTATGGGTGGATACTATAATTCTTGTTTCTGCAACTGATCACAGGCTATAGTTGGTATTTGTCATTTCATCCCATGTCCCACTTGTCTTCATGAGTACCTCAGCTGATCAGAGGTCTTTATCTGGTGGGGTCATCTTAACCTTCTTTCTGGAGAAGGCTGAGCCTTTGATGGTGTTGCCTGTTTGGGGTTGGTATGGTCTTCCATTAACTTTTTCTTTTGAGACAGGAGTTTTGCTCTTGTTGCCGAGGCTGGAGTGCAATGGCACAGTCTCAGCTCACTGCAACCTCTGCCTTCCGGGTTCAAGCAATTCTCCTACTTCAGCCTCCCAAGTAGCTGGGATTACAGGCATGTGCCACCATGCCCGGCTAATTTTTTGTATTTTTAGTAGAGATGGGGTTTCTCCATGTTGGTCAGGCTGGTCTTGAGCTCCTGACCTCAGGTCTTGACTAACTTCTTGACTGCCTTGGCCTCCCAAAGTGCTGGGATTACAGGCATGAGCCACTGCACCCAGCCTCCATTAACTTTTACCACCTGACCTAGAACTACTTGTCCTACAAGTCCTATTCTTTCTTGCCCCCATTTTTTCTCATTCATAATTAGGGTTAGTCATCCCAACCGACACTATGATCTCCCTTTTTGCATGACAAACTAAAAGGGCCTGGTGACAATCTCACCTTCCAGTTCAATGGAACCATTATTGTCTTCCTGTGGAAGCATTCCTACCTTGGATATTAGTCTTGTAAACCATGAAAGCTTGGAGTCATGTGGATGGGAAGGAGAAGACTTGCAAATGGGTCTTTAAGTAAAAGAGTGAGAGAGATCTGGGCTGGAGACAAGAATTTGGATTTCATCGGTGCATTGAAACCAAGATCATGGATGCAGTGCCCCAGAGAACATGAAGATGAAGACAAGAAGAGAGCTAGAGACAGTCCCTGGGGAACATTGCCTTGTAAGAGTCCACCTGGGGAGGTGGTACCCTGGGGAACCAGTGAATTGGGGTGGTTTTTCTACCAGAGCCCAACTCTCTCTTTAGTGACCTCTCCAACCCTGGGCAGCAGCATCCCATCCTGTCTAGAACAGGCATGTCAAGAGTTCACACTCTTTGGATGAAGAACACCTCCCTTCAGTCATGCTATAGACCGCGTGTTACAATGCAGCATTTCTGAGGAAAATCCCCAGAAAAGTTAGTCAAGCAATCTGAAAAATGGGAAAAAGTATTATAATTCTTTTGTGAGAATTAGAGCTTCATAATCAACATAGAGATGTTATTTGTTCAAAGGAATCAACTGATGTCAAGTTGAAAGCAAGAGCCAGAAACCCTGATACATGGAGTTGAAGGTTAAGGTCAACATCTCTGGGAGCTAGGACAGGAGTTCATAGGCAAGAATGTCACCATCTAATCAGTCAGTCTTCCTGACTGGGAGCTGTTGCCCTCATATCAGTGCATGTTTGTGGCCCTGTCTGCTGCCAATGGTGAGTCATTCTTACAAATAAAATAAATATTAATAAGTTATAAGCGCAGTATACTTAATACCAATCCTGTGAGCAATGTTTCAAGAAATAAGTTTTGGAAGCAAAATAAGCCCTTAAGTTGGCAATTGTAATACATGTAGTACTTACTGTTAACCTTGCTAGGAGATCTGAATATTACATTCTTCAAATACTGTGCAGTCACGGTCACTGCCCTTTTCCAGCATTTGAATATTTGCTATGGCAGAAATGCAAAGAGAAGAAGATAGGAATGTGGTAGAATTCTCAGACACAAAATCGGAAACTGATCTAAAGTCTGAACGAATAAAAGCAATATCTATTTCAGTGACAAAAAGAAAATCAGGGAAAGCAAAGTACTTTCATTGTTAAAAGATAAATAAATGAGCTTATTTGAAGCATATAACATATAGCATGCTCTAACACCCAAATTGAAGATGCGTTTAGACACATGCTTAATGATTCAACCCATATCAACACACAATATTTTTTTCTATATCTGGGATATTTGTTACAAAACAAAGATCAAGAGTGTCAGGCTAAAATCTTAGCTGGGTATGGTGGCCCACGCCTGCAGTCCCAGCTACTCAGGAGGCTGAGGCAAGAGGATCACTTGAGCCAGGGAATTCGAGACGGCAGTGAGCTATGATTGTGCCACTGCACCCCAGCCTGGGCAACAAAGTGAGACCTTGTCTCTAAAAATAAAATAAAATAAAAACTTTTTAAAAAGGCTGTTAGGTTAATTATTGCTTTGTGTGTTTTAAACTTTTCATTTTTAGGCTGGGTGAGGTGGCTCATGCCCGTAATCCCAGCACTTTGGGAAGCCGAGGGAGGAAGGTTGCTTGAGTTCAGGAGTTTGAGACCAGCCTGGGCAACATGGTGAAACCCCGTCTCTAGAAAACATACAAAAATTAGCTGGGCATGATCGTGCATACCGGTAGTCCCAGCTACTGGGGAGGGTGAGGTGGGAGGATGGCTTGAGCCCAGGATGGGGAGGTTGCAGTAAGCAGAGATCATGCCACCACACTCCCTCTGGGTGACAGAGAGAGATCCTGTCTCAAAAAAAAAAAGTAAAATATAATTTTCATTTAAGATGAAAAAATTTTAATATTAAATATTTGTGTTAGCTTTCAATTTTTTAATGATTTTTATTTGGCATTAATTTTGTGTTAATGTTCCCTTATTTTAATGTTTTCGCTTATGAATTATCTACATCAGGTAGGGAGCAAATTTGCATGTTATTAAAATATATAATCTTGTCAAAATATATTGGTTCATAGAAATAATAATTCATGCATTTAATATATCTTTTTCATAAACAAAAGACCTTTGAAACTTTTAACATAACCCTATCACAGAAAAATGATTTACTATTTATTATTTACAGTCACTCATTATTTACAATCATTTTGTTTATTTATTTATTTATTTTTTCAAGACACAGTTTCATTCTGTCACCCAGGCCGGAAAGCAAGTGGCACAATCATGGCTTACTGTAGCCTCAAACTCCTGGGCTCAAGTGATCCTCCTGCCTCAGCCTCTCAAGTAGGTGGGACCACAGGTATGCACCAACACACCTGGGTAATTTAAAAATTTTTTAGAGACAACATCTTGCTGTTGCTCAGGCTGATCTCAAACTCCCGGGCTCAAGTGATCCTCTCACCTTGACCTCTGAAAGCACTGAGATTACAGGCGTGAGCTGCCATGTTTGGCCCACAGTCATTAATAATGATAATAATCATCATTATTTAAAATGTGTAAAATGGGCCGGGTGAGGTGATTCATATCTGTAATCCCAGCACTTTGGGAGGCCGAGGTGGGTGGATCACTGGAGGTCAGGAGTTTGAGACCAGCCTGGCCAACAGAAACCCCTTCTCTACTAAAAATACAAAATTAGCTGGGTATGGTGGTGTGCACCTGTAGTCCCAGCTACTTGAGAGGCTGAGGCAGGAGAATTGCTTGAACCTGGGAGGTGGAGGCTGCAGTGAGCCAAGATCGCACGACTGCACTCCAGCCTGGGCAACAGAGTGAGACTCCATCTCAAAGATAAAATAAAATAAGAGAAAATAAAATAAAATGTGTAAAATAAAGTGTTATGAGAAATACAGAATAACATATGATTTCAAAAGTTCCCAAGAATTTTTAGTGATTCCAGTTTCTCATTCCCCAAACCCCCAAATTAGTCTCAGAAATTTGGAAACACTGTGCAGACTTGTGGAATCCCCTGTGGTTGGGACCACTGGATTCACCCAGGCACAGGGGCACTGGATAGATAGGGAGGGCAGTTCTGCCAGACACCAGCCCAGGCAACCTCGGTTGGAGGATGCCAAGCCCACCAGCAGCCACCCCGTCAGGGTGCGACCAGGTGCCTAGCACTCCAGTACCCTTGCTAAACTTGAAGCAAACAGAACGCTGGGTGTCTGCCACCTCCTTCCCTGGGAGAAGAGAAGAGTAGCATTTACCTTCCTTCCAATTTTGTCCTTTTCAAATGTCAACAGGGAAGGGAGGGGGGCTCTGTTCCTCTCTCAGCTCCACACCAGTCTCCCCAGAAGAATCTCTCACTCCATGTCTCCCTGTCTGCAAAGATGGGATGGGGGAGGTGTGTGGGCAGGGACACTTCCTGGGATCCCTAGAAGATCAGGGTGGCTCAGGGGCAAGGAAGTCTGCCCCAGTTGAGGTGAAGAGAGCTGGGGAACCTCTCTTTTGGGCTTCCTGGAACCCACATAATGCAGAAAGTGATAGAAGTCACAGAATGAAGAGACCATCACAGGAGACGTGGGGCCACCTGGTTCTACGCCTCAGGGATAGATGGCTCGATTATCTATGCCACATGTAAAGCACCCCAAAACGTAATGGTTTAAAACAGTAAGTGTTTTGTTTGATCAGAATTCTGTGATTCAAGAATTCTGACAGGTTACAGTAGGGACAGATCATCTTGGATCCATGTGACGTCTCCTGGAGCTGGAAGTTCATGATTTCTTCATTCACAGATGGGTGGTTGGAATGGCTCTACTGGGTCATGTATCTGGGTTCCCTGGTTCTCCTCCATGCAGTCTCAGGTCTTCTTCCCCTCCACTGGGATTTTCCATGGGTAGTCTTTCCTAAAAAATAGCAGAGCATCTTAGGTCGTGGTTCAGAGCTCACCAGAGTTCTAAAGTGAAAGTTACCAGGCAATGGGGTGCTGGTATCTGACTTTACAACAAAGAAAATAAAAAGGAAGGAAAGATCCCTGATGTGTAGTATTTGCCAGTCTCTGTGGTGTAAATATTTCTGCCAGTACTAATTTAAAGTTACCAACTTGATGTTAATATGCTCATAAAATTCGAGAAAATTTAACTATCAGCTCTTACAAGCTGGTACAAGCCAGCTTCATCACACCAGGGCTGCCAGGCTTCTTAAGGCTTAGGCCAGGAATTGACACAGCATCACCTCTGCCATGTCCTATTGGTTAAGGCAGCACTCAAGGCCAGCCCAGAATCAACGTGAGAGAGGCGTACACAAGGGCATGAATGCTGGAAGGTGTGCTTCATTGGGGGCCACCAAAGTAACAGATTACCAGGGACAATAACATTAATCATGGGTACAGTTCCAGTGGCCCACCAGGTATACCAGATGTTTTACCGGGCACTTTGCAAATATTACCCTTTTCAGCCTGGTGAAGTAGGTGTTATTAACCCCATTTTAGTGGTGAGTTCGCTGAGCTCAGGAAGGGTGGCAGAGTGGAAGCTTTGGATCCTATTTGCCTCCGGTAGCGAGGCGTCCCCTCTCCAGGAGGGTAGGAGCACTGTAGTTTTCAGGTGGGATTAGGGAACTTGAGTGTATCCAGGAGCACAGGAAATCAGTTCTTACTAAATTAGTGCTCGTCAAATCTGGGAGTGTGTTGGGGAATGACATGAATGAACACGAAGAGGAAGAGCAAGAAGAATAAGAACTGAATCACCAAAATCCTGGAACATTATTATTGTTATTAATACTTAACATTGAGAACTTACTATGTGCTAGAGACTCTGGTAGAAATTTTACATACATTATCTCATTTAATCCTTATAGTCCTATGTGGGAGGCTTTTTATTTATTTATTTATTTATTTATTTATTTATTTTTGAGACAGGGTGGCCTTGCTCTGTTGTGCAGGCTGGAGTGCAGTAGCATGATCACAGCTTACCACAGCCTCAACCTCCCGAGCTTAAGTGATCCTCCCTCCTCCCATGCTGGGACTACACATGCATGCCACCATGCCCGGCTAATTTTTGTATTTTTTGTAGAGACGGGGTTTCACCATTTTTCCCAAGCTGGTCTCAAATGTCTGGCCTCAAACAATCTGCCTGCCTTGGCCTCCCAAGGTGTTGGGATTGCAGATGCGAGCCGCTGTGTCCAGCCAGGCTCTGCTATTATCTATTTCTCCTAGGAGGAGACAGGCTCAGAGAAGTTACCTGGCTCACCCAGGGTCACACAGCCAGAAAGTGGCAGAGTCAGGGTTTGAACCCAAATCTACCCAATGCTGAAGTTTAAGCTTCTTTTGAGTGCTAGAACTAGGGCAAGAAGTTGTTCTGGGGCAGGGTTCCAACCCTGGGCATGAGGCTAGAACTGCGTTTCAACGCATTGTAATCCTGTGTGTTTTATTTTATTTTATGCATTTGAAATATCATACTGAGAAGGGGTTCTGAGACTTCCCTAGGCTTCCAAAAGGTCCATGACTCAAACAAAGTTAAGAATCACGTTCAAAAGCAAGTAAGAGGCATTTGGTGTCCAGAGAAGTGGACTGAGAGAAGACGCAGAGCCAGTTTCCATGAGCTCCTCAGTGACACAGATAGGGGAATGGGGATCTATTTCTCATCCTCGAGGCTGGTGCTGCCACCCTAGTACTCCACATCCATGTCGGAGACCTTGAAGCTGACCTGGGCCAAAGGCTCTGATCTGTGGGTGCTGGTCAGCAAGCAGGAAGTTCCAACTTTAGAGACCAGCTGATCCACCTGTAAGCCCACTGGCTGCAGCCTCGGCCCTCACCCTGGCTCTCCGCCCCCTTCTCTGACACGTGTGGGCAGGCTGGGCATCTCCAGGAACCAGGTGCCTGCTGCACCGAGAGGCAATTTATGAACTGTGGGTATTTTGTCTGTTTACTTGAAAGCACAAAAATTTGTCACTCGTGTGGGTAATTTGCTGCTAATTACGAGCTTACAATCTGCGGATAGGAAAATCAGGGCCAACGTGCGCTTCTTGAGGAAAAGGAAAATTACCCCAAGTACTGTGTAATTATACACTTAGCGGGCACAGCGCTCCCAACCCTCACCCTTCCCACAGAGGGCTGACGGTGCAGGGTGAGTTTGCACACATGCCCACCGAGGCTCCCTCTCTGGGGAGGGGAGGGCTGGCTGGCTGCTGAGACCCAGCACCAGTTCCCCTCATCCCTTCCTTCCTCCACCACACAAAGGAGAAGCGAGAAAGGACTTAGGCACTTTCCTTGGAGCTTCCAGTCTGAGTAGGGGGACACAGCCTCTGCCCTCAGGGCTTCCCAACACCGATGGAGAGGGCATAGGCCAAGACCTGAGGAAGGCCGCAGTCTAACACAGGAGACACCATCCCTGCCGGCAGGGGCCCCGCTCTGATTGGAAGGACAGACACTCGGCCTGCAGGAATCCCTGTACTCCAAAGTGCCTGCACTCAGGTCATGCCCTGCCCTCAGGAAGCCCCAGGTCGGTAAGAGATGGTACAGCCCCTGCCCTGGCTTTGGAAGTCCCCAGTGTAATGGGGAAAAACACAGTTCCTGTCTATAGAGGCTTCAACTCTGACCAAGAAGACACACCTCTTGCCCTCAGGAAGCCCTTGGTCTGGTGGGGTAGACTGGGCCCTATAACAGAGTTCCTTTCTATTTGATAGGGAGATGTAGCCCCTGCTTTCTGGTTGTCTCTGAGCTTCTTTCTGTTCGTGTCCATGTAAAATGAACAATGTGACAGTGAGACTCAGAGCCGGTCTATTAATCACCTTCCCAGCTCTGGAAGATGTGTACCCAGCCCCCAGCACCTCCCTGTAAATATCCGCAGTACCCTTTCCTTGCGACCCTCACACCTTGCAGATTCCCTCCAGCCATTCTCGTGTGATGTGTCAGCTGATCTTAGAAGAATCCCTGTCTCTTTCTGTCTTCCTGATCCCCTTTATTTGCTGGCCTAAATCATTCATGACTTGCAATAAAGGCCTTATGGCCCCGCCCAGCCCCCTGCAGAAAATATTATTTAACGGAAAGGTGACAGTTATGTAATTTAGTCTCCGTCTCCATTATTGATGAATTTGATCATGAAATATTTAGGCTCCTCCATGTTCCGCTGCTCAGGGTCTGACAGTATCAGTGTCGCATTCCAGTTTATCCTCATGGAAGATGTGTCCACCAGGAATGCCTGGCCTTACCCACCCAAGGCTGCACCTCGCCTTTCAGCACAAACCCCAGGTCTCCCGAGCTGTCCCCACTCGGGGCTCCACCCAGCACTGGCAACAAGGGTCCTGTGCACTCTGGAAATCTCCCCAGCCACCAGCAAAGTGGCCAGAGTCCATGAAGAGACCTGTGAATTCAATAGTCAGATAGAACAGAGAGAGGGAGGGAGGAAAGCATTGTGTCTTAAGTATAAGTGCTGGCCCAGTGTTAACTCATTTAATTCTCTACCAACCCCATAAGGTAGATATTAGTAGAACCATTTGCATTTGAGGTCATGGAAGCTCAGAGAGGTTGAGACATTTTCCCAAGGTCACTCAGCTAGGCTGTGGGGGAGCCGAAATGGATCACAGAGCTTGCAAGCCACTGTTGTCTCCACTCCACTCTGGTGAAAACACATTCTGCCAGAAGACATGGCTCAGTCAACATTACACATGTGTTCAGTGACTCCCAGTCCAATGCCCTTCCTGTTCTGGATCATCGTTCTTAGCTGGATTCAGGTGGAGTAGGGAAAAGACGGAAGAAAGAGAAGACAGGATTCGTGTCCTCAAAGGATTCCCAGCCTGCTGGGGGAGACAGCATCCCTGGGGAGCTGAGATTACCAGCAGGAAGCCACAGCAATTCTGCTGGCCCAAGTTGGGATGGAGCTGCAATGGGGAAACAGAAGCCTGAGCCTCATTTTCCTACCCCGGAAGCTGGAGGAAAGCAGGTTAGTACTTTCAACAATGGCACAGCCCTCCATTGTGCTGAGGCCTGAAAAGTTACTGACAAAATCTTCTTCCTCCAGACTCTGCAGGCTGACTATATGTTTGTCTGTCTGTCTGTCTCCGGCTGCGGATAATTGATGAGCAGCTCTGGTGCAATGTTTAAATATGCATTAGGCTAATTGCGTGGTAATTAAATAGACAAGACCATTACGGCTGCTCAGGGGCCCATCTGTGTTCTGGTGTCTCCCCGTGCAGCAGACAGGCCTGGGGGTCTCAAGACACTGAGGACCCAGACTGGCAGGGGGATGGACAAGGTGACCCCTCAGAGGGGCTGAAGAGGGCTGGCAAGTGGAGCCTGTAGGCACTGCAGTACGAGGGAGACTTTCCTAACCACAAGTCTCCAGCTATTAAATGAGGGGAGTGAGCTCCCTGTTGTTGGAGTTAAGCAAGCAGATAAACAAGGATCCCTGCAGCATTTTGAGGAAAGAGGTGTGGATAAATTCTGAGATTGCTTCCATTTCCTAGATTCTGGGTTTCTATGATCTAGGTCAAGCCCCTCTCTTTGTTCCTGTCTCACCGCTCCCCCCACCCATGCCCTGCCAAGCAGAGGCATCTTGCCCATGTGGGAGAGTAAGGGAGTGGAGGCCACACAAGCGGCAGGGAGGAGGCCGGAGATCTGATTGCCCCCCACCAAACAAGGATACCCAGTATGTGCTGCAGAGACCCAAGAGATGGGGACCTGCAAGGATAGCCCCAGCCCCTTCCCAGCCTCATTCCTGTCCCTGCAGGAGAGAGGTTTCTGCCAGGGTCTGGGGACAGGCTCGTTTCATCGTCTGGCGCCTCATGTGTAAATATTTCATATCCCCATTGAATATTTTGGGATGATTATGAATTCTTGATGTGATAAGAACCTTGGTATGTATGAAATGCAGTCGGCTGCCACTGGGAGGGAAGGCACAGGGGAAGGCAAATCAGGTAAATCATTACACACCCTGAGCCCAGGCAAACTGGCTGACACCCACATACCAACCGCATGCCAGCACACAACAGCATGTCAGCCACACTCTACCCACATACCACCAACACAACACGCACACGTCATATTCACATGCCACCCACACCAACGGCATGCCACCCATATACCATCCATTTACTCTCTGATCCTGGTAACTGTCATTGTCATCATCAGTGTCATTATCACCATCTCACCCATCCACCTGGCACAAGACCATAAGATGCTGGTCCATGGCCAGCCTCTTACGTGGGGTCAGAAGGACAGGGATCATGATCTTGCATTAACTACAGCACAGAGAGGAGAAGCCACTATCCCTTGGCCACACAGAGACAAAATTACTCATAGGCAGTAAAAACCCTTTATTCGCTTGCATTTAAAAAATCTGTTTCAGGCCAGGCATGGTGGCTCACGCCTGTAATCCCAGCACTTTGGGAGGCCAAGGCAGGCAGATCACTTGAGGCCAGGAGTTTGAGACCAGCCTGGCCAACATGGTGAAACCCCATCTCTCCTAAAAATGCAAAAGTTAGCTGGGCATAGTGGCACATGCTTGTGATCCCAGCTACTAGCAAGGCTGAGATATGAGAATTGCTTGAACCTTGGAGGCTGGGGTTGCAGTGAGCCAAGATCGTGCCACTGCACTCCAGCCTGGGTGACAGAGCAAGACTCAAAAAAAAAAAAAAAATTCTGTTTCAGGCCAGGCACAGTGGCTTACACCGGTAATCCCAGCACTTTGGGAGGCCAAGGTGGGAGGGTCACTTAAGCTGAGGAGTTCGAGACCACCCTGAGGAACATGGTTAAACCCCGTTACCCCGTCTCTACTAGAAATACAAAAATTAGCTGGGCATGGTGGCACGCATCTGTAGTCCCAGCTACTCAGGAGGCTGAGATGGGAGCATCGCTTAAGCCCGGGAGGTTGAGGCAGCAGTGAGCCAAGACTGTGACACTGCATGCCAGCCTGGGCAGCAGACTGAGACCCTGTCTCAAAATAATAAAAAATAAAAAATCTATTTCATTTGGCAATTAAGACATCCATTAGGCCGGGTGTGGTGGCTCATGCCTGTAATCCCAGCACTATGGGAGGCCAAGGTGGGAGGACTGCTTAAACCCAGGAGTTGGAGACCAGCCTGGGCAACATAGCAAGACCTCATCTTTAAAAAAAAAAAAAAGTAAGAAAAAAAATCCATTAAGGGAAGAGGAAGGAGAAAAAGTAGGGTGCAGATGAAACAAGACCGGCCATGTGCTGGTTACTATTGACACTGAGCCCTGGAATATACCAGTCCGTGATAGGATTCTTTTTACTCAGGGATATGTTTCAAATTTTCCATGGTAGAGCTTGTCTGTTTTTGTTTTTGTTTTTGTTTTTTTGAGACAGAATCTTGCTCTGTTGGCCAGGCTGCAGTGCAATGGCATGATCTCAGCTCACTGCAACCTCTGTCTCCCGGGCTCAAGCAATTCTCCTGCCTCAGCCTCCCGAGTAGCTGGGATTACAGTAGTGTGCCACCAAGCCTGGCTAATTTTTGTATTTTTAGTAGAGAGGGGGTTTCACCATGTTGATCAGGCTGGTCTCGAACTCCTGACCTCAGGTAATCTGCCTGCCTCGGCCTCCCAAAGTGCTGGGATTAGAGGCGTGAGCCACCATGCCCAGCTGCTTGTCTGTTTTTTTAAAAATACAGTCTACCTATTGCCAGGGGGCCCCTTCATATGAATTCAAAGGTCTTCCTGTCGGCCTACCCCAGGTGGGGGCTGACCTCGCCAGCCTCCTGCTGTGGGAGCGGAGGGACATGTTTTCCTTGCTTCTCTTCACTTTCCCCTACATAGCTTCTTTTCCCCTTTCCCACCCACCAGGCCACTTCCGCCCCTCCAGGTTTGGGATGAGGGAAAGATGGAGCAAGAAAGGTTTTACTTGCCTGGTACGGTCACACATTCTAGCGAGGCTTTCTGTGGGCTCGGCATGTGGATAACGCTGCCCCATCCTCTCATGGGGGCCTTCACAAGTTCTTTGGAGACAGCCCCTCCCAATGCTTTGCTGAGTGTTCTCGCCTGTCATCAGTCCCGGACATGGGTGTGGCTCTATCCAGCTGTCATTTCATCTGCCTGCAATCTCAGCACCTGCTGGTCCACCCCTTTGGAAAGAATACAAGCCAACCCCAACCAGCCCCCAGATGCTCCATGAGAAATCCTCGGCCAGCAGATCTCACCTTCCACACAGGGAGAGATGAGGCTCGGCTCACCAATACCTCTCTCTTCAGAACCTCCAGCCCCAGAGCCTCCCAACTTCTCTATGGCCTAGAAGTGAATAGTCCAAAGGAGTCCCAGCTCTTGGCACTTTCCTTGCAAGTGCTGCTGGGGTTGTCTCTAACCTCACTTTGGTTGTGGACTAGTTGGCACCTGCTGACTTTGGGACCTCAACTGAGACAGAAATAATGCAATTGAAATTCCTGCTACTCTTGATGTGCATGGATGAGGGAGGCAGAGGAGGAAGGTCAGACAGAAGGAAGAGCGTAGCAAAGGCTGGAGGTGAGAAGTGGAGGAACAAGTTTCCATCTCAGTATGCAGTTCAATGATCTACTGTGCTCAGCACCTAGACCAAAGGAAGAGGGACGTGAGGACAAGGTGGGGAGACTGGGTGCTCTGGGTCTGACCACAGAGGGCCTTTAGTGCTGGGTGAAGGAGTGCAGGTTTTACTAAGGAACCCCATTGCTCTATTGAGGGTGTTCTTAGGTGGACTCCCCAAAAGCAAAGCCTGAGACAGGTACTCACATGATGTGATCACTGAGGAAGAACTCTCAAGAGAAGGGCAGGAAGGAACTCTCAAGAGAAGCAGGGGAGGGCAGGGGAAGGGGCTAAGCAAGGATGTGGTCTCCCGGGGAGTCTGGCTTCAGCCCCATTCCTCAGGGAGCTCTGGAGCAGGAATTCCATCACAGATTCAGCCCTGCTTGAGGCAAGAGAGATAGTCTTGTGTGCCCCATTGGCTGTAGGCCGCCCCCAAGGGGGTGCATAACTTCCAGGAAGCGATGGGTCCCAGGATCCAGGGCAGTTCTCCAAAGATGGAGCAGTTCTGCGTTATCATCAGTCAATATCCACAGCAGTGGCACAAGCACCCCACCCAGGTAAAAGCGAGCCGGTGGGCCCTCAGCAGGGGCCCCTACAAAGGTGTTTGTTTTGGGTTTCAGCTGGGGGCAGTGGGGCATCACATGACAGTTATATGATGGAAAGTTATTTATTCACTCTTATGTGAGACGGTTTGAAGCAGGGATTATAAGAGTCCAGATTAAGAGTCTAAACGGAGAGAGCGGCAGGGGAGAGGGAGAACAAAGACAGATGATTGGGACAAAAGGACAAGACTTGGTAAGGATTTGCCAAAGAATAAATGAGGATGGAGTTGAGATCTTTCAAACCTGGGTAAAGGCCAGGGGGGATGTCATGAAAAGAATTAGTGCAACTTCAGGAGGCACGGGCTTGAAAAGGAAAGTGATTATCTCTGGAATGTGTTGCATTTGAGGTTCCAGCAGATTATTGTATGGGTTTCCTAGGGCTGCCCTCACAAACAGCACAAACCTGAGTGGCTTAAAACAACAGAAACTTATTATCTCACAATTCTGGAGGCCAAAATCAAGGTGTGTCAGCAGGGCCATGCTCCCTCCAAAGGCTCCAGGGAGGAATCCCTCCTCGCATCTTCCTAGCTACTGATGGTTGCCAGAACCAACCACTTGGTTCTCCTTGGCTTGTAGATGCGTCACTCCAGGCTTTACCTCTGTGGGCACGGGGAGTTCTCCTTATGTCTGTGTCCAAGTTGGTGTCCAACTTTCTCTCTTCTGATAAGGATGCCAGTCATTGGCTTAGGGTTCACCCCAATCCAGTATGGCCACATTTTAACTTGGCCAAATAAGGTCACATTCACGGGTACCCCCAGCATATATTTTTGGGGACACAACTCAACCCACAGCAACCCTGCAGGAGGAAATGCCGAATGGGCATTTGAGAATATGGGCCTGCAGCTTGAAAATAGCATCTTCAGGCTGGGTGCTGTGATTCATGCCTGTAATCCCAGCAGTTTGGGAGGCCAAGGCAGGTGGATCACGAGGTCAGGAAATTGAGATCATCTTGGCCAACATGGTGAAACCCCGTGTCTACTAAAAATACAAAAAAAATTAGCCAGGCATGGTGGCATGTGCCTGTAGTCCCAGCTACTTGGGAGGCTGAGGCAGGGGAATCACTTGAACCCACGAGGCAGAGGTTGCAATGAGCAGAGATTGCGCCACTGCACTCCAGCCTGGGTGACAGAGCAAGACTCTGTTTCAAAAAAAAAAAAAAAAGAAAAAGAAAATAACATCTTCAGAAGAAAAAGCTCCAATGGTGGTGCCAGGCTGTGGCCAAAAGGGAGGGAGGGTCTTTTACTACTCTCCTAATCCTCCGCATTTGTGGGGAGGACGGAGCAAAAGAGACATTTGGCGGGAGGGCAGAGCAAAAGAGAGGAGGGACACTCTTTACATTCTTTGTGATGGAGCAGATCCAGCTGGAAAAATTCTAAGATGAGGATATTGAGATATTGAGAGAGGGGGACTGAGGAAGGACTGAACCATCTTCCCAGGGGTCATTGGCGGGGTGTTCAGCATGAGCATGGAGAGCATAGCCCTCCTGATTTGGGAGGGAAACCTCAAATAACTCTCCCAACCAAAACATGAAACATCTACTGTTGGATGCACTTTGTGTCTAGAACATCATCTTCAACAAGCTTCTGATTTCCAAGAGGGGATCACTGATAGAGCTCCTATGAGGTGCTGGGCACTGTTCTGGGTGCTAGGAATACAGTGTGAAACAAAACAGATAATATCCTGGGCTTCATGAGACTGATATTCTAGTAGCACTGCACATTAAACCCATGTTTTTGTCTTTGTTTTTGTCTTTGTTTTTGTTTTGTTTCATTTGAGACAGGGTCTCAATCTGTCCCCCAAGCTGGAGGGCAGTGGTGCTATCACAGCTCCCTGTAGCCTCCACCTGCATGGCTCGAGCAATCCTCCCACCTCAGCCTCCTGGGCAGCTGGGACTACAGGTGCCTGTCACCACACCCAGCTAAGTTTTTAAAAAATTCTGTAGAGACAGGGTCTCGTTATGTTGCCCAGGCTGCTCTTGAACTCCTGGGCTCAAGTGATCCTCTCGCCTCAACCTCCCAAAGTGCTGAGATTACAGGTGTGAGCCATTGCACCCAGCCTAAACCCATGTTTCAGTGAAAATTAACTGCTCGGTTCACTTGCAAGAGCAACAGGTAATCCAAAGCACAGCCTAAAGGCTGTGACAGAATGAGACAGAACAAGTGAGTTTTGATCTGGGTTTGATGTGGGAGAAAGCTCTCGTTCAGGAAAGAACCAGTCTGGGAGTCCAGAGGCTGGTTAGAAATAGATCAGGAAGCTTAAGCAAGTCACCTTCCCTCTCTGGACTTTGGTTTCCTCATCAGTACAGTAAGAGTGCTGCACTAGGTAGGGGGTATATTCCAGCCCTGAAATTCTCCAGGCCTCTGACACATTTGACAACTTCTGGTCCAGCTGCCTCCTCACATCGATGTTTCAATCTCTTTAAATCTCTCAGGGCCCCTTGAACCTGCCTCCCAGCCTCTATTCCCCTCCCTGAGATCACTGCAAATGCCTCTAGAGTCAGATGGTCCCCTCTCTCAGACCGTAAGCTCTCTCTACATCTTTAAGAGGAGAGGCCAGGGGATAGACTGTCCTGGGACTCTTCTCCCTCCAGAGAAAGCTCCTGGCCCTGGATAATAGCTCCAGAAAGAAGACAACTCCACGGACCCTGACAAGAAAGGCCTGAGGTTCAGAGGCTTGTGATCTGCAGCAACCCGCCTACACGCCCTGTTTCACAGATAAATGGGTGGAAGCTGGCCCCGCCTTCTTGCCCACCCATTTCTCCGCCTACAGGTCACCCTTCTGGTACTTCCTCCTCCTTCACAGTCTGGTTGAGTTGTACACTGAAGGATGCTAAAGATAGGCAGAACCCAGGAGGCCGTCTTGTCCAAGCCCTATGTTTGACACTGAGGAGAGCAGAGATCAGAGTGGTTGAGTGACCTGATGGCAGTCACACAGCCAGTTGGCAGAAGGTCTAGCTCCAAAGCTGTATAATTTGGGCTTAGTCTCAGTACCAGGTTTGGAAAAAGGGGCCTCCCTGGTGTCTGGGAGAACACAGGGTGTCCTCTGTGGTTCAGTCCTGGACATGCTGGCCCTTCTCAGTCCCAGGCCAGGACAAGAGCCTGGGGGCGATGACCTTCCTCCCAGCCCAGTCTCTGTCCCATGACAATTTTTTTTTTTTCTGAGATGGAGTCTCGCTCTGTTGCCCAGGCTGGAGTGCAATGGCGTGATCTTGGCTCACTGCAACCTCTGCCTCCCGGACTCAAGTGATTCTCCTGCCCCAGCCTCCCAAGTAGCTGGGATTATAGGTGCACACCGCCATGCCCGGCTAATTTTTTTGGATTTTAGTAGAGACGAGGTTTCACCATGTTGCCCAGGCTGGTCTTGAACTCCTGAGCTCATGCAATCCACCCACCTCGGCCTCCCAAAGTGCTAGGTAGGATTACAGGCATGAGCCACTGTGTCCGGCCAACAATTATTTGTTTTAATGTCCATTTCTTCCCCCACTGTTCTCAGTAACAGGGGGTGACACTGCAGCCTGCATTCATCAGGCTCTGTGCCAACTAGTTTTCTGCCACTTTGGGGCAATAGGAGGCGCTAATGAGATTGGAAGGCAAGAAGAAGGGAAAAGCTGGGTATTTGCTCCCCGCTCCCCCCGCCCCGCCGCTTTGCCTCGGTTGGCATCTTTAGCAGCTGCTGCATCTCCTTCGTGGCTTCAACTGCTGCCCGACAGGCCTGCTGCAGTTCCTTGGGGGCCCACTAATACCTTCCTCCCTTTGTCTTGCAGACTCAGGGCCATAGAGTTTCTTACTCTCACTAGTCTCCACATTGACCCCATCATCTGTTATATGGCTTCTCCATGCTCCCAGCACTTGTATAACCAATCTCCTGTATCGCATTCCTCCTGTTGGAAACATCTGAAGTGTCTTCTGCTTTCCTGTTTAGACTCTGACTGATGGCCCTCTAGAACCACTGTGCTAGGGGAAAATAAAGAGGTCCTTCCACCTCAAACCCCTCTTTGTCCCTCTCTGGCTTCCCTTCCTACCACAGTTATTTTGTTCATTCAGTCAGTCACTTAGTTCATGACTATTTGTTGAGTCCCACCCATGTACCTAGCAAGTTCATGGTTCCCAAACTCTGTGCCAAGGTACCCTGGGGCACCACAGTGAACTCACAGGGGCAGTACGGGATATTTTAAATTTTCTTTTTTTTATATTTCAAGACAGAGCCTCACTCTGTTGCCCAGGCTGGAGTGCAGTGGCATGATCACGGGTCGCTGCAGCCTTGAATTCCCCGGGCTCAGGTGATCCTCCCACCCCAGCCCCTTGAGTAGCTAGGACCACAGGCATGTGCCATCACCCTCAGCTAATTTTTGTATTTTTTGTAGAGGTAGGGTTTTGCCATGTTGCCCAGGCTGGTCTTGAACTCCTGGGCTCAAGTGATCCCCCAACCTTGGCCTCCCGAAGTGCTGGGATTACAGGTGTGAGCTACCACACCTGGCCTTAAGTTTTCAAAGAAAACAGTAACACCACACAAGCTTGAGGTAGTTCACATTCATACTAAACATTAGATTGCACTACATACATTTCTTTTGATGATGTCATATCTTTGCGAAGATAGATTTTCATTGATGCGAAAATCAATGCGAACAAGAAATGAGGATGAGGATGGTGTTCGACCTGATTTCAAGGTTTGTCAATGGGCCAGGTGCAGTGGCTCATGCCTGTAATCCCAGCACTTTGGGAGACCGAGGTGGGTGAATCACTTGAGGTCAGGAGTTCGAGACCAGCCTGGCCAACATGGTGAAACCCCATCTCTACTAAAAACACAAATATTAGCTGGGCCATGGTGGTGCACATCTACAGTCACAGCTACTCAGGAGGCTGAGGCAGGAGAATCGCTTAAACCTGGGAGGTGTAGGTTGCAGTGAGCTGTGATCGTGCCACTGCACTCCAGCCTGGGTGACAGAGTGAGACTCTGTCTCAAAAACAACAAACAAACAAACAAACAAACAAACAAAAGGTTTGCCAACAGGCACACAGATTCTGCCAGTTAGTAACTACAATTAAGAATGAAATAAGGCCAGGTGCAGTGACTCGTCCCTGTAACCTCAGCACTTTGGGAGGCCCAAGGCAGGTGGATAAACTGAGATCAGGAGTTCAAGACCAGTCTGATCAACATGGTGAAACCCTGTTTCTACTAAAAATACAAAAATTAGCCAGGCGTGGTGGCACACACCTGTAATCCCAGCTACTCAGGAGGCTGAGGCAGGAGAATCACTTGAACCCAGGAGGCGGAGCTTACAGTGAGCCAAGATGGCACCATTGCACTCCAGCCTGGGTGACAGAGTGAGACTCCGTCTCAAAAAAAACTAAAAAAAAAGAAAGAAAAATATGGGCTGGGTGCAGTGGCTCAAACCTACAATCCTAGCACTTTGGGAGGCCAAGGCAGGAGGATTGCTTGAGCCCAGGAGTTTGAAGCTGCAGTGAGCTATGATCACACCACTGCATTCCAGCCTGGGTAACAGAGTGAGACCCTGCCTCAAAAAAGAAAAAGAAAAATTAAATAAATAAAAATAAAAATATTTTTTCTTTCAATTTATATGTATTATTTTTCAAATGGCTACTAAATTATTAGGATATAAATACATATTAAGTTCTTCAGATAAAGCTACTTAATAAATGGAAGTGTTAGGTATTTCTTTTGATCTAGGGGCATCATGAAAAAAAATTAAGACACTAATGGAACTGTGACCCAAGAAAGTTTGGAAACCTCTATATTAGAGAACAGGGATGTCTCCAATTTAGAACAAGACAAGGTCCCTGCTCTTAAGGAGCTCATTCTAGAGGGAAAGGAAGATGGACTTGTTAGCTATTGCTGTGTGACAACTTACTACACACTTAGACGCTTAAAACAACACACATTCCTTATCTCAGTTTCTGTGAGTCAAAGGTTCTGGCATAGTTTACCTAGGCCCTCTGCTCACGGTCTCAAAAAGCTCCGCCAGGTGAGACCATGAGCACAGCACCCAGGTAAACTTTGGGCTGCAGTCTCAGCAGAGGTTTAACTGGAAAAAGATCTGCTTCCAAGCTCCATCAGATCCCGGGCAGAGTTCATTTCCTTACTTGGTGGCTTGATTCTTCAAGGCCAACAGGAGTCTTTCACCTCAAGGACGGCGTCAGTTCCTTTTTTAGGGCCTTTCCCCTGATTAAGTCAGGCCCACACAGGGTAATATCCCTTTTTTATTGAATTAAAATCAACTGGTTTTGAGCTGCTAAATCTCTTCACCTTTGACACAGTCTATGGACTAGAGGCAAACCACAGGTCCCACCCACACTCGAGGGGAGGGGATTATACAAGGGCATGTCTCTCTGGCATGGGGTCACTTTAGAATGTGTCCAACCAACATGCCGGGAATTATGGAATTACAAGAGTGATCATCTTTTCAGAAGGAAAAGTTCAATGTTCTGTGGGAGTGAAGAACCCAGTCTGAGTGGGGGCAGGGACAGTCTCCTGAAGCAATAATGTCTGAGCTGAGACCCGAAATTCAAACAGGAATGAAACAGCCCACATGTGGGGGAAGAGTGCCCCAGGAAGATGAAATGGCGTGTGCAAAGGTCCTGCGGCCAGAGAAAGCTGAGTGAGTTAAAGGAACTTAAAGTCTAGTTTGACTGGCATGTAGAGAGTTGGAGAAGGACTTGGAGCTGGAGAGAGAGATGCTTCCCAGCCCAGGCTTTCCTCGCAGCCACTAAGCAGCCTGTTGTTGCTGCAGTTAAGACAAGTATCAATAAAGCCAAAGCCACACACAAAATATGAACAATGGTTACCTCTGCAGGGGCTATTACTAAGAAAGGGCACAAGAGCACCTTTGGAGGTGCTGGAAATGTTCTCCCTCTTGCTCGGAACAGTAGTGACATGAATGTGTACATTTATAAGAAGTCATTGTGCTTAGACTTAAGATTAGAGAACTTTAACGTCTATAAGTTATACCTCCACAAAGTGCTATTAAATAAAAGCAAATAAGACATAAACACAGAATAGGTCCATATGTGCATCAGCTCCAGGCTGTGATCCTGACACCTACCAGGCACCTCCAAAGCTACACCACTGGTCCCCAGGGAGGAAGGACCTGAGATGCTTAGGAGCCAGTTCCATTTGGTCAACATATGTTTACTGAGAACCTTCCCTGCCCCATTTGCAACTGGCTCAAGGTTATAGAAGGAGGTTTAAGGTTATGGAAGGCACTGCTCCTGTCTCCCAGGGGCTTATAACCTAGCAGGGAAACCAACTCCAGAACTGACTGCAGTAGATGACAGAGAGATCTGGTAAAAACTGCAGGCAAGGGCTCAGGAAGAAGTGGCTAATTCCATTTGGGGATCTGAGGAGTCACTTAAAGGAAGAGGCATTTGAATGGGCCTCTGTCAAATGACATTAGAGACTTCCAGTTGTTCCCTAATATGTTCTCTCTCCTTCTTTCATAGTAATACAATCCCAGATCAGAGTTTTAGCCAGGTACATGATTCAAAATAAAGACTAAATGTCACACCGCTTCTTTGCAGCTGGCCGATGGGATGTATGTGAAAATGCAGCATGGTACCTTGGGTAGGTTTCCTTAAAAGCAGCCACACATGCCCTTGTCCTCTTTGATGCTTAGAATGCAGAGTTAGGCCAGGTGTGCTGGCTCAGGCCTATAATCCCAGCACTTTGGGAGGCTGAGGCAGGTAGATTATGTAAGGTCAGGAGTTGGAGACCAGTCTGGCCAACATGGTGAAAACCTCTCTCTCCATTAAAAAACAAAACAAAAAACAAAAATTAGCCAGGCATGGTGGCCGGTGCCTGTAATTCCAGCTACTCGGGAGGCTGAGACAGGAGAATCACTTGAACCTGGGAGGTGGAGGTTGCAGTGAGCCGAGATTGCACCACTGCACTCCAGTCTGGGTGACAGAGCAAGACTCCATCTCAAAATAAAGAAATTAATTAATTTTAAAAATGTTTTAAAAAGAACACAGAGGTAATGGTTGGAGTCATAGCCACCATCTTGGATTATGAGGATGGGAACCATATCCTTGAGACAAATCAGTAAACTAGAATAAGCCTGGGTCCCTAAGGACTATATGGACTTTTATATGAAAGAGAAATAACATCTATCTTAAGTTACTATTATTTGGTGTCTCTATTGCTGGCAGCTGAACCTAATGCTAACTAACAAAAGAGTAGGAATGGGATCGGTAGAAATCACAGTGGCTGAGGGACAAATGTATGCAGATGCCTGGTGTGTTCTGGGAAAGTTGCCACATGCAGGGTGTCTTAGTCTGTTTTGCATTGCTATATAAAGGAATACCTGAGGTTGGGTAATTTATAAAGAAAAGAGCTTTACTGGGCTCAAAGTTCTGCAGACACTAGCGTCTGCTTCTGATGAGGCCTCAGACTGCTTCCACTCATGGTGGAAGGGAAAGGAGCAGGTTTGTGCGGAGGTCACACGGTGAGAGACAGGAAGGGAGGGCAGGGGAAGGCGCCAGGTTCTTTTTAACAACCAGCTCTGGATAAAACTCTCATGGGAACTAATAGAGCAAGAACCCACTCATTACTGTGAGGATGACACCAAGCCATTCAGGAGGAATCCATCCCCAGGAGCCACACACCTCCCATTAGGCCCCATCATCAACACTGGGGATCAAATTTCTACATGAGATTTGGAGGAGGCAAACACATGGCTGATGCCTGGGCACAGGGCTCAGGGAGAGGGGAGTGAGTACAGGGAGATGAGGGATGGAGTTGGTTGGGGTCAGTCTTAGAGAGCTCACATCTCCCTTCGTGAGTGGTCTGGACTTGATACCCTGGTTAGGGTTTGGAGGGTGGATGGGAGGAGGACAAGATGAGAGGCAGAGTCCCTGTGAGATGTCTGAGACTCCAGCTGGGAGAGTGCTCAGTGGGGAGGGTGAGAAGGGGGTAGAAGAAAGAGATATTTAAGAGCTGAACCCCCATGGTTTTGGTGGGGACAGGGTGTGACTCCCACGTTTCTGGATTGAGAGACTGAAAGGGCGGTGGTGCTGGTTGAAGGCTTGGGGATTGCAGAAGGATAATCTAATTTGCAGAGGAAGAGTCTGACAAATTGATACAGACAAATTGAATTTGAGTTTCCAGCAGGACAGCCGAGTGGAAGTGTCTGGTACGCAAGGGGAACTGCTGTCTGGCGTCCTTGGAGAAAGATCAGAACAAGGGGTAGGGAATTATTTGGGTGTTGTCTGCTTGATGGTAATAAAAGACTTGAAGACAAGAGGATCAAAGAGATCACACAAGGGGGCATTGGTGCGGGAACTGAACTCTGCTGAGGATAGAGTCTCAGGGGGCTGCCTGCATTTAAGGGGAGGACAGAGCAAGGAGCTAGTAGGGAAGAGCCATCAAAGAGGCATGAGGAGAAGTAAATGAGTTCAGGCCGGGCAGGGTGGCTCACGCCTGTAATCCCAGGGCTTTGGGAGGCCCAGACGGGCGGATCACCTGAGGTCAGGAGTTCGAGACCAGCCTGACCAACATGGTGAAACCCCATCTCCACTAAAAACACAAAATTAGCCAGGCCTGGTGGCACATGCCTGTAATCTCAGCTACTTGGGAGGCTGAGGCTGGAGAATTGCTTGAATCTGAGAGGCAGGGATTGCAGTGAGCCAAGATCGCACCATTGCACTCCATTCTGGGCAACAAAAGTGAAACTTCATCTCAAAGACAAAAAAAAAAAAAAAAAAAAAAGAAGAAGGAGAAGAAGTGAATGCGTTCGTGTCCACAAAGTGGAAGGGGTCAGGTTTTAACAAGGAAGAAGATGGATACAAAATGCCAATGCTGTGCAAAGGGAGTGGGCAAACCCAGCTCCTTGCCCATGAAAAGTGTGGCTTACCCAGGGTCGGGGAGACACTGGCTCCCGTGCCTAATCTCTCAAGCTTATTTGTCTGTACTCCCTGCAAATTGGCCATGGGAGCTCCCCGAGCACAGAAAACAGCTTGATTCATTTAAAATAAAGGCCATTTTAAAATTCTTTTGTGGAGTTTAAGTTATTTTTTTAAATGCAGCTAGTCATACAGTCTCACCTATTTGACAGAGAAGTGTTTCTAAATTAACTTCTTATTATTTCTCACCCTGACAAAAGCTTCTCTGTAACAGGTGTTCCTTGATGATGTGTGCACAGGACAGCTCATTTGCAAGCCAGGGGTGTGAGTCCACGTGTGTGCATACATGCATGCACACACACATGCACACGAACACTTTCACACATGGCATTCCCATGCTCAGGGGTCAGGGCCCTAGCAGGCCAGTTGCAGAAACTGATGGACAATAACACATCACCGCATGATCATGCTTGTCTTGGTATAGATCACTGCTTAACTCATTGTGTTCCAACCAGGTTGTGGGCTCCATGTGGGCAGGGGCAACAGCTTCCATCATCTCTTTCTTACCTCCCTAATTACCCAGCAGTGTACCTGGGAGCAAATACGACACAGCACCTCTAGCACTCCAGCACAAAGAGGTACCCAAGGGACTGCCCAGATTTCGCAACTTAATGCCATGATGCCCCCATCTGAGAGAACTGAAACTGGTCCTCCAGTGTCCCTGATTACCAGCCCATCCCTCATCCCTCAGTTCTTCAAGCCAATGAAGGAGAGCTAGAGATAAAGGAATGTACATCATGAGCCAAATGGGACACGCTGGGGGCCATAGCTCAGCTGTGAGGATGCAGCATCCTCTGTGATCATTCCCTTGGTCCCCCATCACAGCTCCACAGGTCAGCTCCACTGCAGACCTCAGCATGCAGGATCTCATTAAATCCCTGCAACAACCCACAGGCACAGGAAATGTTAATAACAATCACTCCAGCCTTGCCTCTCTATACCCCCAAGACTTATCTGAGCAACTCCTGCACCAGCACCTGGAGATTCTTGCACATGCCTGTGTAGGATTGTTCTCTGGGTGGCCTTGGACCAGCCAGTTCTCTCCCCTTTCTTCCTCACAGTTCTCAGAAATAACTGCAGAATGTGCTGAGAATGCAGCATCCTGAGAAAAGGAGGGACTAGCTAGACCAGCTGGGTCCCTCTTAAAAACAGGATGCCCATCTTTGCTTAGCCGGGCGATTGCTACATCCTCCAGGATATAAAACCCAGGGCAGGCTGCTTTCTGGAATCTCAGCTATGGTGCAAGTGCAGCATACACAAACAAGACTCCATCCACCCAGGATAGCTTTCCTGGGTCTTGGGGGACCAGCTCATCATGGGTCCTGGGCTTCTGTTGCCCCTGCTGCCTATCTGTAAGTAATAAATCTGCCTCATGTAACTTGTGCGTGTGAGTGCTTTGTCTCACCAGACTTGGGCAAGTAACCAGTACACAGGATATCTGCTGCACACCCTGGCTGTCTTTCACTTTTCCTCTAGACCCTACAGATTTAAACAAGCAAGCAAACTAACACTCCCCCACTGCTTTAATAATCATAACAAATACCTTTGGAGTGTCTGTGTGCCTTATGATCTGAGCATGCAGGATCTCATCAAATCCTTGCTAACAGTCTTATGAGGCAGAGGCTCTTACTACCTGCATCTCATTTTACAGGTGAAATGATATGATGTCTGGGACTGGTTTTAAAATACTTGAATAACAAAAAGGACAAGAATGGAGGGCGAGATAGATAAAACAACATTAAAACAATGTGGATAACTTGAAACTGGTTGTTGAATTCATAGGAGTTTATTATTGCATTTCTCTTTTTATTTAAATTTTCCATAATTAAAAATAAAATTTTAGGCTGGGCGCAGCAGCTCATGCCTGTAATCCCAGCACTTTGGAAAGCTGACGCAGGAGAATCTCTTGAGCTCAGGAGTTCCAGACCAGCCTGGGTAGCATAGTGAGACCTCGTCTCTACAAAGTAAAATAAAATTAGCCAGGTGTGTCGGTGCATGTAGTGGCGTGCACTTGTAGTCTCAGCTACTTGGGAGGCTGAGGCGGGAGGATCGCTTGAGCCCAGGAGGTTGAAACTGCAGTGAGCTATGATCACACCACTGCACTCCAGCCTGGTTGTCAGAGTGAGACCCTATCTCAAAAAAAAGGGGGGCGGGGGGAAATAAAATTGTAAAAGCGAAGCAGTACTGCTACATAGTATGTGCTCATTAAGTGTTTATTATTATTGCATAAAGATTAAATAAGGCCAGACACAGTGGCTCATGCCTATAATACCAGCACGGTGTTTGAGACCAGCCTGGCTAACATGGCAAAGCCCCATCTCTATTAAAACTACAAAATAATTAGCCGGGCATGGTGGCGCATGCCTGTAATCCCAGCTATTCTGGAGGCTAAGGCATGAGAATCACTTGATCCCGGGAGGTAGAGGCTGCACTGAGCCGAGATCACACCACTGCACTCCCAGCCTAGGTGACAGAGTGAGAAGCTCTCTAAAAAAAAAAAAAAAAAAAAAAAAAAAAAGGGTGGGGGGGAAATGAGATAACGTATATGAAGAACTAGTACAGTTCCTCTACTCCATAAAAGGTGGGAATGATGCTATTTTGCTATTACTATTATTATTATTACTAACTAGAGCTGGACCCTCCTTTTGGCCCTATTACTCTGCCCCTTTATCAACTGCCCTTTCCTCCTGCTCCAGGACAAGCCTCCTGTCCTGGTCTCTACCTGCTGGCTTCATCCCAGAGGGACCCCCCAGCACCTCCACCTGTCTGCCTTGTGTTCCTGGGAACCCCGTGTAGCCAGTGCACAGTAGGTAGAAACAGTATCCATCCTCTCCCCATTCAGCAAACATTTTTGGAGCCAGCCAGACATGGGAACCGTGGTGTTCCCTGGCTCCGACAGTGGGGTTGGGACTCCCCTGCTGGTCCCGACAGTCCCAGACGCCCACAGCAGAGGGCGGCCTCCTTGGGCTCTAATTTTAACCCCGAGGAAGGTGCCAATCGTTCATTTTCAAAGCTGTTTCAAAGTGACTCTGATAAGCAAATTGCTGGCAGCCCTGGCGGGTGATTATTCCTGCATTAATCAGGGGGAAATTATGCCAGTTACTGATTAACTAATTACAGCAATCAGATCGGCTGGGAGAACAGTGCAGTGGGAGGAGGACAAGGTAAACACAACCTGGGAAAGGTGAAGGAGGCAATTTGGTTGTGAACAGAGGACAGAGGCCGGAGCCCCCTTCCTGCCTCCTCTTGCCCAAACCACCCCAGCCCAGCTGGGGGACCCCTGAGGCCAAGCTGGCTGTCCAGTCTGTTGGGGCAGGCAGGGCTCATCCTCTGGGAATTAGTGTCCAGTGTGACAGGAGGAGCTGTCCTCTCCCAGCCTTTGCTGGGTTTCCCATCTGCCAGAGGACACAGGTGCTGGCCTTCAGGAGGCCCCTTTTTGGCAGAGGAGGCCGAGGTTCCTACATCCACACCACCCCCGTCCATCTGAGGGGGCACCCTGGAGGAACAGTTACGGCTTGGCTATTAAGACACAATCTCAGCTGGGTGCAGTGGCTCACTTTGGGAGGCCGAGGCGGGCAGATCACCTGAGGTCAGGACTTCAAGACCAGCCTGGCCAACATGGTGAAACCCTGTCTCTAATAAAAATACAAAAAAAGTAGCTGGGCATGGTGGCGCATGCCTGTAGTCCCAGCTACTCAGGAGGCTGAGGCACAAGAATCGCTTGAACCCGGGAGGTGGAGGTTGCAGTGAGCCGAGATCGCACTACTACACTCCAGCCTGGGCGACAGAGCGAGACTCAGTCTCAAAAAAAAAAAAAAGACACAATCTCAGAAGCTGGGAAACAAGTGACAAAAGAGGGTGACATGTGGCAGCCAGGGCTTCCAAGCACAGAACCCAAAAGTCACCCAGTTAGCCCAGTTAAGGGTCACCTGCCTCAGGTCACTGGCTCTCCTCTCTCACCCACAAAGACCATGGGAGGGGAGGGGAGGAGATGAACAGATAATTTTCTCCGTACTCCCAGCTGCAGAGCCATGGTCCACCTGAGAGGAGGAAAGGGGATCCTTCCAGAATACTTTATGCTCATTCCCCCAGTCCTGTCTCCCAAATGCCTCTGCTCATGTTTGTTTGGTGGCAGGGGTGTGTGTGACTAAAGTCAGAACCTGGTTGCAGTTTGCTGACTGCCACTTCACCCAGCACAGAAGTTACCACTGAATGAGAAGCTGATTCCGGACACAGCCGATGCCAGAGGACAGCCATTTTTCTCCCCATAGCCTACAATGTATGCGAGGGGGGGTGGGAGGCTTGATGTCCTCTGACTGCACAGGACTCTGGAGAGGAGCTAAGGGGTTCCCAAGAGGCCACTGCTAGCCTGTGTATATAGAGTCCAGTTACACATCTATAGAGCAGGTCTACAGGGTTCCTGCACTCAGACCTGAATCTCCCTCCTCCAGTAAAGTTCCTCTGCATGGAAAACTCTTCTTGAAGGTGTCCCTCTCCCCAAAGTTCAGGATGATTTCTCTCTTCCTGGGGTGGCAGACCCAGTGAATGGGTACCTGAGGATGGGTGAGGGCTGCCCAGCCAGAGGCTGTGGAGCAGGCTGCTGAGGTGGACATCAGCTGACACTGGGGGCTGTGGGGTAAAGGTCTCTCCCCATTTTGGGCACCTGTTCTCTTCAGGGTCCTGAAGAACTGTTTCTGCCCAGTGCTCATCCCATCCCAAAAGGATGATGTGACGTCCTGTGTGTAGGTTGTCCCTTCTGATCAATAGGAAGGGAACCGGAGCCAGTACCAGGGACACTGCATAGGCTGTGCCCTCTGGGAGGATGCACGGAGGGTTAGGTCACTTAAGGGCCATCAAACTTCCACCCTCCTCCTTCTTCCCTCGTACCTCCAGTTTCCACATCAGGGCTGGTGGGAGGATGGGCTGGGCCTGGCCTAACATGACCTGGGAACTGGCCGCAGGGCTGGGCAGGGGATGTGGGTGACATGACTCTACCCAACTGGAAGAGGGGTAAAGAGTGCAGGGAAAGAGAAAGATCCCAGCCCCAGGCATCTACTAGGAATCTCTACCATGTATTGAGCGCCTATGGCATGCTGACCTGAACTCCAGTTGATAAGTGAGGAAACTGAGACTTTAGCAAATTAAGTAGTTTACCTAAATGTTATTACTGGAACCCAGGGCTGCTGGCTCTCATCTATAACCACTGCACAATATTGCCGCCCACTCCTGTAAAATGGGGCAATAATGATACCGACCTCACAGGTTGATGTGAAGACAAATGAGACAAATGCTTGCAGAGAGCATCGGGCAGATTCATTGAACATCTACTATATAACAGGTGCTATCATGAGTGCCCAAGGAGAGGAACAAATGAGTGGCAGTCCCTGTCCTGGAGGAGCCCCTGGTCTAGTGCGGAAAGTGGATGCAGAAGAAATAAACCACCGGACCGCACAGTGCGTGCTCAGAAAGAGTGCCGAAGGGCCGGGGCGGTGGCTCACACCTGTAATCCCGGCACTTTGGGAGGCCAAGGAGGGCAGATCACGAGGTCAGGAGATCGAGAGCATCCTGGCTAACACGGTGAAACCCCGTCTCTATTAAAAATACAAAAAAAAATTAGCCAGGCGTGGTGGCGGGCGCCTGTAGTCCCAGCTACTTGGGAGGCTGAGGCAGGAGAATGGCGTGAACCCGGGAGGTGGAGCTTGCAGTGAGCCGAGATCGAGCCACTGCACTCCAGCCTGGGTGACAGAGTGAGACTGTCTTAAAAAAAAAAAAGTGCTGAAGACAGTAGAGGCGCAGGCAGAGGACTGCCCAGGCAAGGAGGGAAGATTTCTCCCGGGCAACAACTTTCGTGTGGCGTTTGTAAAGACAAAGTGGGGAGCAGGAAGGGCATGTTAGAGACAGGAACCAGACGCAAAGTCACAGAGGCAGGGAGTTTATGGTGAAAAGTGAGGGAATCAGTGTGTCCACATTAAGACTGCGGGGAGGAAGGAGGAAGCTCAAAGGATGACCCAGACAGATCCGAGAGGGCCTTAGGTATAAGGCTAGGAGATTTAGAATTCATGCTAGAATAGTAAGAGCCATGCAAGAGGTTTTTAAGAATATGTTTAAAATGGGGCAAAAAATAAATAATTAAAAAATACGACTATGTTATTGGGGATTTTTAAATTTCAGAAGTAATACAAATAATACTCTTTTCTTCTCTCTCTCTCTCTCGTTTTTTTTTTTTTTTTTTTTTTTTTTTAGAGACAGGATCTCACTATGTTGCTCAGGCTGGTCTCAAACTCTTGGACTCAGGTAATCCTCCTGCCTCAGCCTCTTATTTTTATTTTTTTTTTTTGAGACGGAGTCTCACTCTGTCGCCAGGCTGGAGTGCAGTGGTGCTATCTCGGTTCACTGCAACCTCTGCCTCCAGGGTTCAAGCAATTCTCCTGCCTCAGCCTCCCGAGTAGCTGGGACTACAGGTGCGCACAACCACGCCCAGCTAATTTTTGTATTTTTAGTAGAGACGGGGTTTCACCATATTGGCCAGGCTGGCCTCGAACTCCTGACCTCATGGGCCGCTCACATCTGCCTCCCAAAGTGCTGGGATTACAGATGTGAGCCACCGTACCCGGCTTGTGGTTAGGTTGTAACTATAGAATTAAGTTCTAGCAAATGAGATATAACGAAAAATAATATAGGAGACTTTGAGGAAGTGACCTTTTAAGAAGAAGGAACATGATACTGTTGGTGCCTTCCTCTTTCCTACCCGCTGGAATGTTAAGGTGATGGCTGAAGCTGAAGCAGCCATCTTGAGCCATGAGGTAACCTTGGGAATGGAGGCCACTCATGGTGGATAGAGGGAACCTGGAGGATTTCTTGGAGTAGAACTACCACACCAGCCCCGAACCACTCACCTCCAGAAGGTTAAAGAAGAGATACATAAGAAATATGTTATCTTGTTTAAACATTTGTTGTTTGGCGGTCTTTTTTTCCTTTTATTCACAGCTGACCCTAATCTTAATATGACTCTCGCCACGTTTGTGCTTTTCCTTACCTATCCACAAACATATACAGGCCTGACACCACACCTGGCTAATTTTTTGTATTTTTAGTAGAGGCGGGGTTTCACTGTGTTAACCAGGATGGTCTCAATCTCCTGACCTCATGATCCGCCCGCCTCGGCCTCCCGAAGTCCTGGGATTACAGGCTTGAGCCACCGCGCCCAGCCCAGATTTCTTTAATGGGACCCAAACACACTTACCACTCTGCAACTTGATTTTTTCATGTACAGCCTTGTGAGTCAACAATTAGATATGCCTCCTTTTAAAATTTAATTAATTAATTTTTTTTTTGACAGAGTCTCACGCTGTAACCCAGGCTGAAGTGTAATGGCACAATAATGCCTCATCGCAACCTTGACCTCCCAGGCTCAGGTGATCCTCCTGCCTCAGCCTCCCAAGTAGCTGGGACCATAGGTGCATGCCACCATGCCTGGCTAATGTTTTGTATTTTTTGTGGAGATAAGTTTTCACCATGTTGCCCAGGCTCATCTCCAACTCCTGGGCTCAAGTGATCTACCCACCTCAGCCTCCCGAAGTGCTGGGATTATAGGCATGAGCCACTGCAGCAGACCTACCTCCTTTATAATAGCATCATGATATTCAAAAATTGGACCATAAAAACTTATTCAACCATGCCTCTATCAATGGACATTCAGGCTTCTGGGTTTTTGCTATCACCAGCAATGTGACAATAGATATCAAGTATGCCATTCTTGTGGGCTGGTGGTTTTGTTCTATTTTGTTTTGCTTCTGTTGGATAAATTTTACAAAAATAGGCTGCTGCTTTAAAGAGAATATGCACTTAGGCCATTCTGCCTTGAAGGCAGAATAGGAAGCTCCTTGAGTGACTTCCCAGTCTAGGAAGTGTCTCTTCTCCACTCCTGCCCCAACTCCTCCTCCTCCTCTTCCATCTCCTCTTCCTCATCCTCCTTTCCCCCAGAGGATATAAGCACTTTGACCCGACAGGTGGAGAGAAGACTTTGGCCACCTCTGAGAGAGGAGGCCACTGAAACTCACTCAGAGGCACAAGCTTTGGAAGTAGGTCATTTCCCCAAAGCAAACCCTGATGGTGAATGGGCCCTGGTCCCCTGCAGAGGCATAGGAAAGAGAGTTCAGAAAGGGATGCTGGGGGGCCAAAGACAGAACCTTAAGCAAAAACCCAGAGGGCCAAAGCTGAGATTCCTGGTATCGCTTGCTGCACAAACTCAGGCTCACTTCTCTTAACCCAGGAGTTCTTAGCTGTGAAAGGGGCTAACATCCCCTGGACCTTTTGCTCAGAATGGGCCTGGTCCAGGTCTTGCTTTTTTTTTTTTTTTTTTTTTTTTTGAGATGGAGTCTCACTCTGTCGCCCAGGCTGGAGTGCAGTGGCATGATCTCGTCTCACTGCAACCCCCGCCTCCCGGGTTCAAGCGATTTTTCTGCCTCAGCCTCCTGAGTAGCTGGGATTACAGGTGCGCACCATCACACCTGGCTAATGTTTGTATTTTTTTTAGTAGAGACGGGGTTTCACTATGTTGGTCAGGCTGGTCTCGAACTCCTGACCTCATGATCTGCCTGCCTTGGTCTCCCAAAGTGCTGGGATTACAAGCGTGAACCACAGCGCCCAGCCTGGTCCAGGTCTTTCTAACCCAGGGCTCCCACACTACTCTCCACCCCTGCCACCTTGTTCTCCTACTGTCCCCTCTACCACATGGCCCAGAAGAGGGGGAACGCTGCCCCTGCTTCAGTTTCCCTCCAATTCAGGTTTGAGGCCATCATCCTCTTCCCTGGGTAGGTAGCAGAAGCACAACTCTGGAGAAAAAGCTGAGCGCATAGTGGAAGAAGCCTCTGGTAGGGCTCTGGCGGGCTGTCAGGGGGCGATTTAGGGCGATTGCTTTCCACCAGGCACATTGTTTCACTGCAGCAAATATTTCCTCAGCGTTGCTACAAGACGTCTATTTGGCAAACCACAGAGGGCCTGCAGGCCCCACTCTCTACTGGTAAAGAGGCAGGCGGGCACTGCTGATGACTGGAGTAAATCTGAGCTCACAATTAAAATCTCTTTAGAGATTGCAGCCAAGTGACTGATGGATAGGACCCCAGGCTCCATCCATCCCCTCCACGCTCCTCCACCAAGACAGATATCGACAGGGCATCATAAATAGCCTCGCATATCCAGGGCTTGCAGGCTGGCAGGAGATGAGGTGGAGGAATTTAAGGAAAGGGCTGAATTGGGCTCTGTTCTGCAGGGTCCAAGCTGGGGGCTTTGTGCAAATCATCTTGGATGAGTGGGGAAAGTATTTTTATCACCTTTCTATAAATGAGGGAGCTGAGGCCCAGGCTACACAAAGACAGATTTCCTGAACTTGAATTTTGGAACCACACAAAACTATGTGTGGCCTCCTGGGGTCACCACATATTTTGCCCTCGATCACACTTTCCACCTGTCTGGAATGCCCATCCCTTCCCCCAGCACCTGCCATAGCAGGTGATGTTGGTGCCCAGCCCACACTCCTTCATTCTTACGGCTTCAGTGCGTACTAGTCTGACTCCCAACTGCTACAACCTGCATTTTTTTTTTTTTTGCTTGAAGGCTCTCTCTGGCCACCAGAGTCCATGTTGCCATCTGTGCAGCAGGCCAGGAGTGTGGGGTAATTAATGCCTCCCCAAGACAGCCCTCATCAGTGATGGATGGCAGGTGACAAGAGTGTAAATACCCCAACTCCTTCACCACTCAGTTGGGATAACTCTAAGGTGTGTTCTACACAGTCTCCCAGAGGATCCCAGAGGAACTGAGCCCCAATTGCCCGAAATGGCAACCTCTCATTGATGTACTCTGTATTGACTTCCTCCCTTTCCTCCAGGTCTCTCTTCCCCATTCCCCTGCCAGTACTCCCCGGGATCCTCCCAAATTAACTACTTGCACTCATTTCCTTGTTTTAGGATCTGCTTCTGGGTGAACCCAAGTCAAGACATCTATTCACATTTGAATTCTCAGCCCAGCTTGCTCTCCCCCAGGAAGCCTTCCCCACCCCTTTGCACCACAGCCAACACCATAAACATTGACATAGCAGCTCTAACTTTTTCTGGCATGTACTGGTGCCTGAATCAGTTTCCCTAGCTAGATAGGAGCACTTGAGGACAGGAATACTGCTTTATATTATCTCTATGTCCCCTGATATGGTTAGGCTTTGTGTCCGCACCCAAATCTCATCTTGAATTACAATCCCCACAATCCTCATATGTCAAGGGAGAGACCAGGTGGAGGTAATTGGATCATGGAGGTGGTTTCCCCCATGCTGTTCTCGTGATAGTCAGTGAGTTCTCACGAGATCTGACGGTTTTATAAGTGTTTGGTAGTTCCTTCTGTGTTCATTCTCCTTCCTGCCACCTTGTGAAGAAGACGTCTTGCTTCCCCTTTGCCTTCCACTATGATTTTAAGTTTCCTGAGGCCTCCCCAGCCATGCTGAACTGTGAGTCAATTAAATCTCTTTCCTTTGTCAACTACCCAGTCTTGGGCAGTTTTTTATAGCAGCGTGAAAACAGATTAATATACTCCCTGAGTCCAGCACAGTGCCTGGCCCACAACTAGGGCTCTTACTGAATAATTTACTGAGTGAATGAACCAGTGAGTGAATTAAGTGTTTTTGTCAATTAAGAGACCGTGGGTGAGGAACCTTTTCTTCCTACAGAGAAAGAAATATGCAAAGAAGAGCCGCATGAACAAAGAACAACTTAACTTAGCTTTGTTTTGTTTTAAACCAGGAATATAAAGCATCTTATTGATCTGCCTTTTAAATTAAGAACAGGAAACTGAAAGCCATTCAATAAATAAAACATAATAAAAACACTTCTGTTCCAGAGTATTGCTAATTAAGGGAGACAGAACAAAGGGGGAATGGGGAGGGGAAATGAGAGACAAAGAAGACAGGGACAGAGTCAGAGATAGCGAGACAGAGACTGAGGGACTGAGCAAGACTGCTGGGGGCGGTGGGTCATAGAAATGCAGTAAGAAACTTGAAGGGGAGGGAGAGCATTAGGACAAATACCTAATGCATGCAGGGCTTAAAACCTAGATGAGGGGCTGGGCACGGTGGCTCGCGCCTGTAATCCTAGCACTTTGGAAGACCGAGGTGGGTGGATCGCCTGAGGTCAGGATTTCGAGACCAGCCTGGCCAACATGATGAAACCCTGTCTCGACTAAAGATACAAAAATTAGCCAGGCGTGGTGGCGGGTGCCTGTAATCCCAGCTACTCAGGAGGCTGGGGCAGGAGAATCGCTTGAACCCGGGAGGCGGAGGTCTCAGTGAGCCGAGATCAGGCCACTGCACTCCAGCCTGAAGAACAGAGCGAGACTCTGTCTCAAAACAAACAAACACAAAAACAAAAAAAAAAACCCTAGATGACAGGTTGATGGGTATAGCAAACCACCATGGCACATGTATACCTATGTAATAAACCTGTAAGTTCTGCACATGTATCCCAGAACTTAAAAACAAACAAACAAAAAAAACTTGAAGCTGGAGGGCACTGTGCAGCTGGGCACCAGAGGCTGGGCAGCAGGAGGGGTGCAGCAGCAGAGGAAAGAGAATTTCTGCAGACATTTAGGAGCCAGGAGTAGAGGTCTGTTGTTAAGAAGGTGCCCACTGCAAATCTAGAAGGAAAGACGTGGAGAAACTTTTGAGCCTTTGGAAGCAATATTCTTTTTTTTTTTTTTTTTTTTTTTTTGAGACGGAGTCTCGCTCTGTCGCCCAGGCTGGAGTGCAGTGGCGCAATCTCAGCTCACTGCAAGCTCCGCTTCCCGGGTTCACGCCATTCTCCTGCCTCAGCCTCCCGAGTAGCTGGGACTACAGGCGCCCGCCACCGCGCCCGGCTAATTTTTTGTATTTTTAGTAGAGACGGGGTTTCACCTTGTTAGCCAGGATGGTCTTGATCTCCTGACCTCATGATCCACCCGCCTCGGCCTCCCAAAGTGCTGGGATTACAGGCGTGAGCCACCGCGCCCGGCCGGAAGCAATATTCTTAAGACTGGTCAGGACCAGCAGAGACAGAAGCTTCCTTGAGATTAGAGGTGAGGACAAACTGGAACACAAAAGGTGAGTCACAGGGGGGCCAGTCACCTACATCAGCCATTCAAATACCTAATGTGAATTGAGCATTTCCTACCTGTGAGGCCCTGTGGGCTAAGCGCTTTAGGGGCATAAGCACATTTAAACATTTTAACAACTCTGTGGGGCAGATACTATCATCAGCCCTAATTCACAGATGATAAAACTGAGGCTCAGAAATGTTAATTCACTTGCCCAACACATCATGCCCAGCATCTGACCCTTTGTCATCTGACTCCACAGTCTGTGCCTTAATGCATCCCCACTGTCACTGTGGAGGGGGAAAGGCCGCACCGGGAAAAGGAATAGCAGTTCTGGGGGGTTCATAAAACCCTAGCCTCTGAGAAACCGTAACATTTGACACTTCTAGTTTGAGGGTACTGGGGGAGTGTGGGCTGGGAATCTAGAAAGATGGGGGTGATATCTTCTGTGACTGCCATCACGCTGTCCTTCCAGGCCAACCCATCTATGGGACCTGCCTGGCCCGAAGTCACTGAGACCCCCAAAGCCTCGGGCTTGCCTCTTCTGAGATCAGGATCTCCTCTGCTCTCCCCACCCCCTTCAGGTCCTGCTCTGGGTCCTTCCACATCTCCTTTCCTCTCCTTCTCCATCTTCTATCCAGCCCATAATTGGGTGGTCTAGTGCCAAGAGATCAGACCCCAGGGCAGAGGTCCAGGGGCTTGGGACACTGCTGTTTCCTTGGAAAAGAAGTCGGGGAGGAGAGGACTGTCTACAGCCAGTGTCCCCAATGAACCTCACGTATTACAGCCTAAAAGAATACTTTTGAATTGGGGAGGGGAATAAAAGAGGAAGTCGATAACTTGGAAAGGATTTTGTGATTGATTGTCTCATTCCCCAGTCCCAAACTAACATCAGCTAAACACTTGCACAACCCCTCACCAGTATCTAAGCCCGTCCTATATGAGCTCCAACCCGGGGCCTTCGTCCAGCCTCCGTTCCAGTGCTCATTCTTGGCCAAGGCCAAGCCAAGCTTCCGCAATCTCCTGGGACCTCAGTGACTTTCCCAGTGGATTTTAATTACCTGACAAAAGTAATGCCAATATTTATAAGGGAACAAACACAGATACCATAAATAAATACATTACTGACTCATTGAATTAATTAGTGTTTAATTACTTGAAATTACTGTCAGTTACTACCAATTACCTGAACAACAAATGCATTCTTTCTCTATTACCAATGGCAGTTTTCGGAGTGAAACCCAGAGACCTTGGGCTGTAGGAAGAGACCTCAGGCCATATTAGCTCTCACCTGGCCCCTCCCCACTACTGCCTCCCTCTTTTGGTCACTCATTCACTCCTCGAGCACACATTTATTGAGCATTTATGATATACCAGTCATTGTTCTAGGCACTGGGGATGCATTCATAAACAAAACAGACAAAATCCCCAGCTTTGTGGAGCTTACAATCCAGTGAGTAAGGAAAAAAATTATGGATATTTTAAGAAGATGTTAAGTGGTATACAGAAAAACAAGCAGGAGCTGGGCATGTTGGCTCATGCCTGTAATCCCAGCTACTCCGGAGGCTGAGGTGGGAGGATCGCTTGAGCCCAAGAATTAGAGACCAGCCTGGGCAACATAGCAAGATCCCATCTCAAAAAAAGAGAGAAATAAGGAAGAGGGATGGAGTACTGGGGGTTTAAATAATGTGGTCACTATTCAGGTGATGACCTGGACATCCTTCCTTTGCCCCCTCCAGACCCACTCTCTACTCTTCTTCACCCAGGTCTGTGCCCTGGGAGGCTGGCCTGCATGGACGGCATCACCCAGCTCCCTGCCCTCTGGCTTCCATGGAATTCAGCCAGTGGGGAGTCCCCGAGAAGCCCGGAAGCAGAGGGTGGATGCTTCCCTTGACCAAGGATCTCAGCCTCTATCAGGTCACCCTTTCCAGGCAGCCCTTTTTATTTTGGGATTCTCTAATAGCTGCCTCCCACAACCTCCCCATCCTGTCTGGCCTTGCAACAGCTGCACCCACCCTTCTTGAACCCCCTCCCCAGTCAATTGCCTGGGGGTCCTGCACTATCCCTGTGGGTTCCAAACCCCCTGCCCACACCTGTGTAGACTCTCCTCACAGGATCTGAATCTATGTGGCCTGCTTTCTGCTGTGACCTGGCAGATAGAGATGGCTTCCTTGGTGAGGTGACTCTGGAGCAGAGGTCTGAAGAAGGGGAGGCACAAACACGTGGCTATCTGTGAGGAAAGCGTCCCAACCACAGGAACAGCAAGTGCCAAAGCCAGAGGCCAGACTGTGCTTGGCATCTTTGTGGCTGGAGCACAGCGTGAGGGAAGAGCCATGGAGGCAAAGCCAGCGAGCAGGCAGGGGCACGTGGGGGGCCTGGCCAGAGACCAGGCAGGGGCGCGTGGGGGGCCTGGCCAGGGAGCGGGCAGGGGCGCGTGGGGGGCCTGGCCAAGGAGCGGGCAGGGGCGCGTGGGGGGCCTGGCCAGGGAGCGGGCAGGGGCGTGTGGGGGGCCTGGCCAAGGAGCGGGCAGGGGCGCGTGGGGGGCCTGGCCAGGGAGCGGGCAGGGGCGCGTGGGGGGCCTGGCCAAGGAGCGGGCAGAGGCACGTGGGGGGCCTGGCCAGGGAGCGGGCAGGGGGGCACGCGGGCCTGGCCAGGGAGCGGGCAGGGGGGCACGCGGGCCTGGCCAGAGAGCGGGCAGGGGGGCACGGGGGCCTGGCCAGAGAGCAGGCAGGGGCGTGTGGGGGGGCCTGGCCAGGGAGCGGGGGGTGGCCTGGGAGGCATTGCAAGGACCCAGGCTTTCCTCTGAGAGAAAGAAACCCCTTGTGGCATTTCAAATGGCAAAGTGACTTGGTCAACACACACTGAAAAGGGTCACTCTGGTGGCTCTGTTGAAAACGGACTGTCATGGGAGAGACATCTGGGAACTGCAGTCATCTGGCAGTGGATTAGACCAGCGGGTGGGAGTCGTGGAGCTGGTGAGATACATAGGTTGAGGTGGAACCAAAGGATTCGCTAGTGCATTAGAGTGAAAGAAAGGAGCTGTGGCCCCAGAGCAGTGACTCACGCCTGTAATCTCAGCACTTTGGGAGACTGAGATGTGCAGATCACCTGAGGTCAGGAGTTCGAGACCAACCTGGCCAACATGGCGAAACCCCATCTCTACTAAAAATACAAAAATAAGCCGGGTGTGGTAGCACGTGCCTGTAATCCCAGCTACTAGGGAGGCTGAGGCAGGAGAATCGCTTGAACCTAGGAGGCGGAGGTTGCAATGAGCTGAGATGACACCACTGCACTCCAGCCTGAGTGACAGAGCGAGACTCTTATCTCAAAAAAATAAATAAATAAAAAGAAAAAGCAAAAAAGAAAGGAGCTGTGGATGACAACCAAGGGTTTTGGCCTGAGCCACTGGAAGGCTTTACTGAGATGGGGAAGACTATGGGAGAGGCAGTTTTCACAGAAGATCCAGAGTTCAAGTCCGAACATGTCAACCAGAGGCACAGCGGAGAATGTGGCGGTGCATCCCAGGCGTTGGGAGGTCAGCCCACTACCTGGCCCCGAATGCACGCAGCTCCCAAGTCTCCCCAGCTGGGCAAAGACACTCTGACTTCTCCTCCCATCCTCTCCTGCCCCCTTCCCTGTTGGAAGTTCTCCCTCCACTCTAACTGAAATTCCCTCTCTCCTTGGACCAGCCCCTTCTGCTCCCCATTGAATGGCCAAGTGCCCAGATACAGCTGCATTTAGGAACAGGGAAGGAGAAGAAAATAAGGAACCCAGAAGATTCCTGCCTGGGTAGAGTGGAAGGCAGTGGGGTTGTTTTCCTCTCCTGGCAACTTAAGAAGCTTGTACCAAAAAATAAATGTGGAGTGAGAGTAACCCCAATCTCACTTGGGTCAGAGTAATCAAAATGTAATTGGGTTTGTGAATAACTAATGTTTACCCTGATGTTGTCCTAATAGGATGATGAGACCTGTAGATGTGACTCTGCCATCTCTGCTCCGTGAGAAACATGGGTTTTCACAGAAACTGGGTCAGGCAGCAGGAGATGGGGAGAGAAGTCACTGTGCTGAGCTAGATGACCGGGACAGCGGGAGGCTCAGGAGAGTCTCTGGGCAGAGGCAAGGAGGCCGCCATTTGGGGAACTGAGTGTCTAGGAGAGAAGTTTTGCCCTGGAATAATGATAACTATGATCATCATTGTATGTGCCACTTATTAAACACCCACTATGTACCATATACTTAACATGTATCCCTACGGTAACCTAGTGAGGTGACTCTCACTATCGCCATCTTACAGATAAGACCACTGAGGCACTGGCTCCGGGCTTCTCATCCAGTTGGCGGCACAGAGGAGTCCAAGGTCAGGTTGTCTAGAGTCCAGCTCTTCTCACGACCCTAGTCCGCCTCCACAGAACCAGGGACGCCGGACAAGGAGGACACTGCCTTCAGGACCCTTCTGCGGAGGTCCCTCATGGTGCAGAAGTTGGGAGTAGAGGCAGAAACAGCTGTGAAAATTCTGATTTGTTTGTTTCTCTGAGCCAAGCTAAAGTGGATAATGAAGCCAAGCTGGCGATTACCTTCCTGTGCGTGATAATGGTGGTAGTGGTGATGCTGACTGCAGCAGGATGACGGTGATGTCAGCAGCGACACCATTGGTCTTATTGATGGTGGCAGTGCCCAGGGTGGTGTGGGGGTAATAGCATGAGTGGGTGCTGGGATGCTGTTAGTGATCCTGCTAGGGCCAGGTTAGCTTGGAGGGGAGAGTGATGTCCATCACTGCAGTGGTGGCAATGCTGCTAGAGACCTCCTGAGTAGTTGGACTCGGGCTGGCATTGCTGCTGGGACCTTCCCTCACCCCCATCAGGAAGACCCCTCTGCTCCTCCCCACCCTCAGTGAAGGGGGCAGGGCTCAGAGCCTTCCGTAGAACTGGCTTTATTGCATTCCCTGTTCTGGACAGTGTAAGCGATGGCCCTGCCTCTCGAGAGGGACAAATGTGATAAATAACCAGGGAGGACAAGCGGGAGGAGGCAGTCCTGCCACCAGAAGTCATAAGTCTCTGTCCAGCCATGTGACAGGCTCATTACGGAAAGCTTCGGGGCCATCCCGGGCTGCAGGGCCTGGGGCTCGGGAGAGCCCTCCAATGCGTGGCTACTGATGAATCTGCAGCTCAGGGCTCGTGGAATCACCAGCCTCAATCTCTCCACCCTTCCCGCACACCAGACCAGTCATGCCCAACTCACCCTGCAGCTGCGGCCACTCTTTCACCTCCCTCCCTCCATCCTGGGAAATCCAGGAAGGCATTTGACAAAGCCTTTCCTGGTGTTCTTGGAAATAGGATGGACAAATATGAGCTGGATAGCAGTCCAGTTAGATGCACTGGACTCCAACAGACCCACAGAGGCCTGGGTTCACATCCCAGCTCCAGCACTTACAGGACATGTGATGTTGGCAGTTGCCTTAACCTCTCCTCGTCTGCAAAGCGATGACAGCACAAACTCTGCTTCGTTCAGTTGAAAATGTGAGATGATATAAGTAAGCTCCTGATCAATAATTAACATTCATGTGCCTTCTATGAGCCTGGTATGGGTCAATACATAAATTACTTTTTATCTCTATATAAATTATCTCATTTAATTCACACAGATCCTGCGTGGCTAGATACCATCCTATCCTAAGGAAACAAGCACAAAGATGCTATTTGCCTGATGACACACAGCTAATAAGTGACAGAACTTGCATTTGAACCGAGGTAATCTGACATCAGAGTCTCTATCACTAGATTGTCTACCTGGTATATCCTAAAAACATAACAATGCGTATTTATTGAGCAGCTACTAGATTAAGCCAGACTTGTGCGGTCCTCCCAACTGCAAGCTATATATGACATTTGCATAAAATATTACATTTTTATAAGCTTTCTAATTTAACCTCAGAAAACCTTGTAAAATGGGTATTATTATCTATTATCCAGAATCCCCTAACAGATGCTTAAAAAGGCGAAGTGATTTATCCAAGATCACACATCCAGAAGTGGTGAGGCCAGGGCCCGAGCTCAGCATTTCTGACAACTAACCTCAAAGTCTTTCATGACCCTATGATGCCCTCCCCTGCCATCTCACCCCACCAACTTATTGGGTTTGCCCTGTTACCCTCAACATGTTGTTCCTGGATTCTTTCATCTTGCACACAGCCTCATCACTCTTCAAGAAAAACATGGCATCCTGATTATGAACAATGACAACTGGAATGACCAGCTCCTCCGTGATTCAGCGTCTCACTAAAGGGATTCTCACTCTCCAGCTGCCTCCTGCCATCAAATATACTCATTTGCAAAAATAATTGGCTGAGGTTAAGAGTAGAGTCAGTGCACATCCAGAATGTAAAAAAGAAACTCCTACAAATCAATAAGAAAAAGGCAGACAACCCAATAGAAAAATGAGCAAAAGATTTAAACAGACACTTCACAAAAGAGGCCATCCAAATGGCCAGTAAGCACGTGGAAAGGGCCCCACATCATTAGTCATCAGGAAAATACAAATCCAATGAGATATCACTTCATGCTATAGAAGGGATAACATTTAAAAGACTAACAATACCAAATGTTGGTGGGAGTATATTGCTGGTGGGAGTATAAAATGGTGCAACTACTTTCCAAAACTCTGGCAAAGCTGCAAAATGGATACATCGTGACCCGGAGATTCCACTCCTAGGTATAGACTCAACATAGGACCTACATGCACCACATTATAAATAACAAAATGTCCATAGCAGCACGACTCATAATAGCCCTAAACTGGAAGAAACACTCATCACCAGTAGAATGGATAAATTGTGCATATTCATATAATAGAATATTATGCATCTATGAGAGTAAGCATCTATGATAGCATACAATGAATTTCACATATCATGTTGAACAAAAAAAGGCAGATACAAAAGAATACATTCTGTGTGATTCCATTTATGCAAAGTTCAAAAATGGGAGAAGCTAGTCTATGGTGTTGGAAGTCACATGAGGGTTACTCCTGGCAAGGGGAGGTGACAGAAAGGAGAAATGAAGGCACTTTCAAGGGGCAGGGTGGTATTGTTCCATTTCTTGATCTGGGTGATGAATACATGGTGTGTCACTTTGTGAAAAGTCATCAAGCTGTATGGTTATGATGTGGGGACTTTTCCAAATACATCCTTCAGCAAGAAGTTGAGAAAAAAAAGTTTGGTGTTGGTGGCTGGAAAACAGAATCCACTCTTCTTCTCTTGACAGGGTTGCCAGACTGACAAAAAGGAAACCATGTCAGAAGTGATGTGTCTTGTCTTCACTGAGAAATGTGACAAGGCCCCTTGTGATGTCCTTGAGAACAAACAGACAAACATGCCTGGGTGACTGTGTAATTAGGTGGATTGAACCACTGTCCCCAAAGGGTACTGATTAAGGAATCTGTGTCCACCTGGAGGGAAACTTCTAGTGCCTCCAGGCTCTGTCCTCGGCTTGGGCAGTCGAACACTGTTATCAGGGACTGCAATGAAGACATAACAGGCAGGCTTATCACCTTCGCGGATGACACAGAGCCAGGAGGGAGAGAGAGGACAGGGCATGCAGAAACAAGATCCAAAATGATTTTGGCAGAATGGTCAAATGGAGCAAATTGAATAAGATGAAATTGAGTTGAAGATCTGTGGAAGGCTCTGGGATTGGAGCTAAAAGCTAACTTCGTGGGAACAGGATGGCGGCACAGGGAGTCATGAAGTTACAGCTGCCGCTATGCAAGTGGAAGGTATAAGCTCCCCAAGGGCAGGGACTCTCCTGTTTGTCTCTGCATCCCGGGGCCTACCTCGGGGCCTGGCGCAAATGAAACACTCTGAAATTGTTGCCAGGTTAATCCATGAATGAAGGATGAGCAGTGCCTAATTGTGACACCTTGGTCCCAAGGCCATTTGAGGGAATCAATGGTTGCATGGAGTTGAATATCCTGCTCTGGCAGATGCAATCAGGAAGCTGTCACTCAGTTCCGGGCCCTTCTAAAGGAATGTAGACAAACTACCACCAGGTCAGACAAGAAGCAGGGAGCTGTTTCTGAGGAATCATAGAAGGCACTGGTCATGTTTACCCAACAAAAGAGAAGCCTGGGGATAGAGGCAGGGGTGAGGAGGATCAGCGTCAAAAACCTGCAGGGCAGCCCCGTCCTTCACGGTCTCACAGTCCATGGACAGAACTGGATTCGCCACGTAGCTGATGCAGCTTCTGCTTCAGGGCCGCTCACTTACATAGGCCCCTTCCAAGGTCCTTGGAAGGGCTTTAGCAAACATGTGCACGTGGTCATATGGCTTTGTATAATTTGCAAATGTAGAAACTTCAACCATGATCAGTTAAGATCCCTGTCTCTTTTCCACTTTTTCTCTTCATCACACTTTCCCTTGTGTTGGGTGGTACTGGAGTGGCCATGGACATTTATGGGATCCAGCTCAGGGGAATTTGAGTAAGAGATCCATTTAGGTTGGGTTTAGTGGATATGTTTATTTGATTTGCAGTCACTTCCATGTTAGCTAAGGAATACTCCTGACACCCACTGTGCTGACTGACTCATTGGGCAACAGGACACAGAGTCAGAAGTCAGATCTCCGTGTGACTGTGCCCTGCCTGGCACCAGAAGTATGTGCCCAGCAAAGAAGAAATAGTTTCAAATGTGCGGGGCTGGAAAACCAGAGCAAATCAAAAAAAACCCTGCAGGTTGGTCGTGTGTGAGGTGTTACTCATACTCCATGGTGCTAAGGTTCAGAACAGGGACCAAGGGCAGAGTTTTGGGCTTCATACGAGAAGACTTTCTTTTTTTGTTTGTTTTGTTTTTGTTTTGAGATGGAGTTTTGCTCTGTTGCCAGACTGCAGTGCAGTGGTGCGATCTCAGCTCACTGCAACCTCCGCCTCCCGGGTTCAACTGATCCTCCTGCCGCAGCCTCCCGAAAAGCTGCATACAAGGAGACTTTCTAATAGAGCTATGCAAAGAAGGGCAGACATTCTTCATGTTTGTCTGTGTCTTCTAAGTATCCAGCATTATCTTGCATTACTTTTCAGCATGGATGGAGTGAGCTCCTGTCACTAAAAGGGGTTTCCACATAGGATGAAACACCCACCAGGGGTATAGGAGAGCAGGCTTGCCTTCGCTGACTTCAAGAGTCTAAAGTTCTAACCAGTTCATTCAGGAGGTGAATCCCCAGTTGGTGCTATTAAAGGGCAGCCATCTATCATCTAGTGCCTTGACTTCATGGAGCATCCCAAAGCAAGATTTTTAAGGACTTAAAAAAATTGTTTTAATTGTGATAAAATACATATAACATAGAATTTACCATCTTAACCATTTTATTTTTTATTTTTTGAGACAGGATCTGGCTCTGTCACCCAGGTTGGAGTACAGTGGTGTGATCTCAGCTCACTGCAACCTCTGGCTCCTGAGCCACGCCTAGCTTATTTTTGTATTTTTTGTAGAGACAGGGTTTTGCCCTGTTGCCTAGGCTGGTCTTGAACTCCTGGACTCAAGCAATCCACTTGCCTCAGCCTCCCAAAGTGCTGGGATTACATGCGTGAGGCACCATGCCTGTCCCATCTTAACCATTTTTATGAGTACAACTCAGTAGATTTAAGTATATGCATATTGCCGAGCAACCACTTTCCAGAACTTTTTCATTTTGTAAAACAGAAACTCTGTACCCGTTAAAAAAACAACTGATCCTGCCTCTCTCCCTGCTGATCCTGGCAACCACCATTCTGCTTTCTGTTTCTATGAGTTTGACCACTGTTGATGCCTCAATAAGTGAAATCATACAGTATTTGTCTTTTTGTGACTGTTTAGGGTTTGGTTTCTGCATTTTAAAAAACGAAGTATAATTTACATACAATAAAATACGTAAATCCTAAGTGTAAAGCTCAGTGACTTTTTAACCTATGCATACGTGTGTGTTACCACAACCCAGATCAAGATATGGTCCTTCCAGTTCCCCAGGAGGCTCCTGTGTCCCTCGTCCCACCACTACCCTCACCTGAAGCTTACCCACATTACTGACTTCTGCCAAAGTTATTTCTAGCAGAACACACTAGCCGAGCTTAGATTCAAAAGTCCTGATTTCTCTGCAGCCTCAACCTCTGGGGCTAAAGTGATCCTCCCACCTCAGCCTCAGGAATAGCTAGAACTACAGACACGCACCACCACGCCCGGCTAATTTTTGTATTTTTTGATAGAGATAAGGTCTCACTGTGTTTCCCAGGCTCGTCTCAAACTCCTGGCCTCAAACAATCCTCCCGCCTTGGCCTCCTAAAATGTTGGGAATCCAGGCATGAGCCACTATGCCCGGCCTCTTCCCTTGTTAACAGTGCCGCTTTAGGCAAGTTAGTCTGAGCCACGGTTTCCTCTGCTGTGAAATGCGGATGCTAATGTCTACAACACAGGAGCTGGGAGGGATCCAAGACATAGCTTATAAGAAAGAGCCCAGAAGAGACTCAGAACACATTGGTCGAAATATGAATGTCCTCCCCTCATAGTGGCACCACGGTGCGGTGGGGTGTTGAGGGAAGGACACTGTACCGTGGGTGTAATGAGAGGGGTCCTAGGCTATAGATGACTTCAAGAATGAAGGTCCATGGCAGGAGCTGTTGGGAGTGTCCCACTATGTGGAAAACCTGGCCAAACCAGCTGAGCTACCAGCCACAGACCTGGGTCCACAAACCCATAAATAGCCTCATGTGCAATCTGCTGATCAGCCACACCAGCTCTAAGTCCCACAAGTACCGAGACTATGACCCTTGTACCCTGTGGTTCAGTGTTCTCCAAAGTTAGCAAGTGCCAGAAGCACCAGGAGGAGCTGCTAAAGCAGAGCTTGCAGGGCCCCACACCCAGAGTGTCTGATTCAGGATTTCTGAGATAGGACTTGAAATTTTTCATTTTCCACAGGATGCAGATACTGCTGGTCCAGAGGCCACACTTGGAGAACCACTGGTGTAGTGCAACCTGCTGATAGCATGCCTGGAGCCCCTGCACCCACGCGGGTGCACCCATCCCTCAGCTACTGTGGATATTGGCTGCTAATGGCTCCCAGCTGCCCCTCTGCTGGGGTCTCACCATCTGCTGATGGGAAGCACCTTGCCCTGGAGGTTACCCACCCCCCAACAGCGCACAGGTAATGACCAACTGAGGAGGGAGTGGGAAGGGCTGGCCCTCTTCTTAAATGGGGAGAAAACTTTGCAGTGTGGCGTACACTCCAGAGCCCTCTGTGGATCAAGTCGAGGCTAGACTTTAGCTGAGAGCACATCCTCGCTCGGCCTCCTCCTCTGCCACGGGTTCCTGAGAAGTGAGCACTCCCTGAGTAAGCAAAGGTGTCTGAATCCCTGTCTCGGGTTCTGCTTCCAGCAAACCTGATCCAAGACATAGAGCAGGTGCTTAGTAGTATTTGTTGAGTGAATGAGCAAGTGTGAGATGCACCAGGCATGGGAAGACGAGCCCCTTCTTTCTACTCCCCCTACCCAGCTCAGACTGCAGGATCCGAGGTTCATGTGGTCTGGGTTGGCAGGGCCTCCCTGGCTGCAACCTGGTTGCAGTGGCTGCTGTCTCTGTCTGCTGTGCTGTGTCCAGGAGAGGCTGTCATGGGCCTCCCCAGATGGATTGATTAATTAATTATCGCCATCCTGACAGCTCCGGGCTGCTGGCAGGGCCCTCGGCACCCCTCCCAGTTCCTTTTGGCAGGTGAGATCTTCATTTCCCAGCACTTGGCAGAGTCAGGCTGGGGAGGGGGTAGAACTGAATGTTGCAGGTTGTGGGGAGTGCAGGGTGGAGGAGTAGTCTAGAGGGAGAAGACACAGGCAGAAGAAAGGCCTGGAAAATTGGTATTTCTTAGGCTCTCATCTAGGGTCTCCATGTGGAGAAGTTATCCCACTGTCCAGATTGAGAAACTGAGGGCTGGAGATTTGCCTAGGTTCATAGGTTTGGCAGAGAGAGGAGCAACATCCCAGGCCCTTTGCCTCCCAAGTTGGCTTTTGGCCTGCTTTGGAGTGTGGGTGGTAAGGGAAGAGGGATTTCTGGTAACTTCTCTCCCCTTTTCTTTTCTCTACTGTAAACCTTCCCCATCAGCAGGTGCCTCCCCAGCTTGAGACAGACCAGGAGAAACCTCATCCATGCACATTCTCCAGAAGGGACCAGGAATGATGAGATGTTCCACTTCCAGCTCTTTGAGTTTCTCCATGGCTCCCCCACCCCACTCTCCATCCCATCCTCCCCTGGGCTGAGCTGACAGCTGTCAGGCTAAGAGGAGTGACAGGTGCTTTTGTGATTAATCACTGCAGACCACACACCAAGGAGAAGGGAATCGGGGCGAACAGAGGGGAGGACTGGAAGGGCCCCCCCAGCCTTCTCTTGGTGGGAGTTTTCCAGGGTGGGCATCCTCTCTGGTGTTCTCTTTGTTGCCCTGTACAAGCCTGGTTACAAGCCTGGCATTAGTGTTTGCAAGGGAGTCCATGGGGCTGTCCGCTTTTGATGGGGAGATAAGAGTTCACCTCTTTGGCCAGGTGCAGTGGCTCATGCCTGTAATCCCAACACTTTGGGAGACCAAGGCTGGATTATCACTTGAGCCCAGGAGTTCGAGACCAGCCTGGGCAACATAGCAAGAGCCTCGTCTCTACAAAAAATAAGAAAAAATTAGTCAGACATGGTGGCACTCACCTGTAGTCCTAACTACTTCTAAGGCTGAGGCAAGAGGATTGCTTGAGCCTGGGAGGTCGAGGCTGCAGTGAACTGTGATTGCACCACTGCACTCCAGCCTGGGTAACAGAGTGAGACCCTGTCTCAAAAAAAAAGAATTCACCTCCTGGTGCCTCAGTTTCCTCATCTCTAAAATGGAGACAGTAATAATTCCTACCTCAGATGGCTGGGAAGACCCAATGAGTTAATACATGTAGAGCAGTTAGGACAGTCACTGGTGTGTTGTAAGTACTATAAGCACAGCTACTGCCATTTTTCATTCAATCTAAGCTGTCATGGTTTGGACACACCATGACTTTATGTATGTCTAAGAAAAAAAAAACACTGCTGGAAATATAATGTTTGTTGCTTGTAAGGCACTTCCTAGTTTCAGAAATGTTAAAATTGTGGGGAAAATATGCTTCTTAGAAAGAAGAAAAATGGCATTATTCTCATTCTTATTGCTCTCTAACTGAAGCACTTAGCCCCCCACCGGCAGCGCAGCAAGTGCTGAATAAACATTTGTTGAACAAATGGATGACAGGCCAGCACAGGTTGGAGGAAGGCAAAGGGAGCCCAGCCCCTCTACCTCACACTGGCTCCTGACTCCCTCACCTGGAGCCTCCAAGGACAACAGTTTTTCCATCTCTACCCCTTCCCCTTTGTCCAAACTCCAGCACCCGGCACAGCTCCCAAGGGGTTACTTGGGTAGACTGGCTAATGGCCCCTTCCCCACTCCTACCCATCCAGTGCTCCGCCCAGATAAAACACACCTTCTCTGTGGGCCCCTCAGGAGTGACTGGTCACAGGGAAGAGCAGTTAGAAAGAAGGAAGGACTTCCCAGCTCCTGAACTGGCTGCAGAGCAATGCTCTTGGGGTGGAGGGATGGGATGAGGAAAGGGCAACAATGTGTGTATTCCCCTCCTTTGCTTTTTTTTTTTTTTTTTTTTTTTTTTTTTTTTGAGATGGAGTCTCACTCTGTCACCCAGGCTGGAGTGCAGTGGCGCAATCTCAGCTTGCTGCAGCCTCCGTCTCCCGGGTTCAAGCGATTCTCCTGCCTCAGTCTCCCTAGTGGCTGGGATTACAGGCGTGTACCACCACGCCTGGCTAATTTTTGTATTTTTAGTAGAGACAAGGTCTCACCATGTTGCCCAGGCTGGTCTCAAACTCCTGAGCTCACGTGATCCACCCGCCTCGGCCTCCCAGAGTGCTGGGATTACAGGTGTGAGCCACTGCACCCAGCCCTCTCTCTCTTCCTTTTCTTCTCCCCTCTCCTCTAAAAGGAGATTCAAATCCCAGCTGACATTAGCAGCATGACCTTGGTCATGTCACTTAACTTGGTGAAACCTCAGTTTTCCCTATCTGTAAAGTGGGGCTAGCAATAGCAACTCCCTCCTGCACTTGGTGAGAGAGGTAAATAAAGCAGTAGACTGGCAAAGGGCCCCACTCCCTTCCTCCACCCTCCCCTCACTGCTTGGCTCCCTCACCTGCTTTTTCTTTCTCTCTCCTCCTACCACTCTCTGGCCCTGCCCTATAACCTACTTAATACAAAGACTGATTAATTTCCCCTCTTGCTGCTGAGATGCACTTTAATCCTGCGGGGAGAGAGGAGGGTGGCGGGCCCAAGGCCAATGGAAACCTGGGGCTGGGGGCAGCGGTACCCTGAGGGGCCTTCCTCACACAGGGAATCGCACTCTGGCTGTTCCCACAAAGATTTAATTTGTGTCTTAATGGGCCTCAGCCTCCTCCGTAAAAGCCCTAAAGTGCCTTTTTATTTAAAAAAAAAATAAAAGTTGCTGATTGTGTCTACTGCTTCCTGGGGGATGGTGGAGGAAGGGCAGAGGAAAGGGAAGACCGGGAGAGAAGAGGAAGGGGTGGTAGGGCCTTAGGGCTGTCAGATTCTGCTTTTCCCCTGGCCCCCCATTTCCCAGGCCAGCACCATGGGGAATCAGCCCTGGGGGCAGTGAGGATGTGGGTGCTGCTGGCTGACGTTTTAGAACAATTGTGGTCTGAATTACTGGACCCTGTTTCCCTAGGTCCCAGCCCCTGGGAGGTCAGGGAAGGTCCGGCTGCAGCCATTCAGCTTAATCCAACCAACAACTGGCTGGGCCCAATGGCTCACGTCTATAATCCCAGCACTATGGGAGGCCGAGGCAGGCGGATCACGAGGTCAGCAGTTTGAGACCAGCCTGGCCAACCTAGTGAAACTCCATCTCTACAAAAAATAAAAAATAAAAAAAATTAGCTGGGCATGGTGGCGGGCACCTGTAATCCCAGCTACTTGGGAGGCTGAGGCTTGAACCCCGGAGGTGGAGGTTACAGTGAGCCAAGATCTTGCCATTGCACTCCAGCCCGGGTGACAGTGCAAGACTCCATCTCAAAAAAAAAAACAAAAAAAAACAAAAAACAGCTGATCAGACATCCTACACTGTATGAAGATCTGTCAGGGGCCCCTGGAGCTTTAGGGAGAAGGGGAGGGATGGAAAAAGGAGCCAAATATTTTGCCAAGTGCTTAGTTGGTTCTCACTGGAGAATTGTAGCAAGTTCCACCTCCCTCTCCCTCCCCACACACAGCAACTGCTCAGCATCCCCTTCAAAGCCTCCTGGCAGAGAGAGATGAGTGAAGACCCTGGCTTTGTCAAAAGGCAAAATTACAACAGATTTATAGATTTCACTGGCTTCTATTCACAATTCATGAATCAGAGGAGCCTCCATTCTATGAAATAGAATGAGAGCTCCCACTGGGCAATGGCAGAACAGTGGGTTTGTAAAATGGGAACACTGAAACAGAACAATAGAAATAAATTAATTAACATCAGATTAGTTCATGTTACCTTTCTGTAAGGGGTAAAGTAGAAGGGGCTTCCTTATTACGCTGACTCAGGTAGACTGGAATCTCCTGTTTTCAGAAAAAGACTGGTATATTTTGGGATCTGCTTCCTTAAAGTTGCAGTTTGACTATATGCCATTTAGCATGAGTGACTCCATTTTGGTTTGGGCTGGTCTGCTGGGGCCTAGGGCAGGAGCTCAGTCCAAAACAATGGCCTCTCATAATTTCAACAGCCTCAACCACCTCTGCATCTGTAGCTCCTCCTGGAATCCCTCTTACTGCCTTTTGTCTCTTTCATAGCTGAAAAATTCCCACACCCTCCAATATTGGAGCAGATGAGTATGGAGACAACTGAGGAACCCAGAGTGTCTCCCAGCTGGAGACACCAATTCCAAAAACAGGACTCCCAAATCATTGTCTCTTAGTATCAAGATCTCTCCTTCCAACAGTGGAGCCCAGGTAGGTAGTTGCAATGGGGAGGAGTAGATATATCTGAGCAATACAATTCATTGCCAATCAAGATAACATGTTGCACTGCAGATAAAAGTGAAAATAGCCAAGCACCCAGCTTTCCTTCTGTTGAGGCTTCTTATGTCTTTAAAAAAATTTCTTTTGGCCGGGCATGGTGGTGCATGCCTGTAATCCCAGCACTTTGGGAGGCCAAGGTGGGCAGATCACCTGAGGTCAGGAGTTCGAGACCAGTCTGGCCAACATGGCGAAACCTCGTCTCCACTAAAAATGCAAAAATTAGCCAGGTGTGGTGGCAGACGCCTGTAATCCCAGCTACTCTGGAGGCTGAGGCAGGAGAATTGCTTGAACCGGGGAGGTGGACGTTGCAATGAGCCAAGATTGTGCCACTGCAATCCAGCCTGGGCAGCAGAGCCAGACTCCGTCTCAAAAAAATTTTTTTAAATTATTTGTAGAGACAAGGTCTCACTCTGTTGCCCAAACTGGTCTCAAACTCCTGGGCTCAAGTGATCTTCCCACCTTGGCCTTTCAAAGTGCCGAGATTACAGGCATGAGCCACTTGCCCGGCCAGAGGCTTCTCATGTCTTTTTTTTTTTTTTTGAGACGGAGTCTCGCTCTGTTCCCCAGGCTGGAGTGCAGTGGTGCCATTTCCGCTCACTGCAAGCTCCGCCTCCCGGGTTCACATCATTCTCCTGCCTCAGCCTCCTGAGCAGCTGGGACTACAGGTGCCCAACACCACGCCCGGCTAATTTTTTGTATTTTTAGTAGAGACAGGGTTTCACCGTGTTAGCCAGGATGGTCTTGCTCTCCTGACCTCATGATCCGCCCGCCTCAGCCTCCCAAAGTGCTGGGATTATAGGCTTGAGCCACCACGCCTGGCTCTTATGTCTTATTTCACTGTGCCAACCTCATTCCACTGGGCGTTGATGATTGTGCCTATTAGTCAAATAGGAAAACTGAGGCAGTAGAAAAGAAAACAGGAGCCAGTAGATTACACGACTAAGGAATCAGAAAGTCAACCAAGCTAAAGTGAGCCAGCCTTATTTCCCTCCTCTCCTAGCCCAATTTCCTAACTCTAATTCATTCTACTTCTCTAGCCCAGTTCCAGGATATTTTTAATGGGAAGAATTAGGCAGAAGTTACATTGCCAAATACCTCCTTTGCCATGGTGCCATGCTTCTCTGGAATTCTGATCTCTAGAGGGTACCTCAAGCAGTGATAACTGCAGAAGGAAGCCAGGTAGAAAACATAAATGTGCAAATCAGACCTTGGGCAGCACTGCAGGGAGTGGGGAAGCCTGAGGCACACTAGACAGTGCATGAGCTTCCTTACAGCAACCAATCTTAAATAATTAAAATTAAGAATGTGCGTCTCCTGATTAAAGTAATTGAGTATACTCATTTATCTCTTCTCCTTCCTAAAACACCACTAAATGGCAGTCAAAGGTGTTTTTAAATAAAGGCAAAACCACACAAAACAGTGAAAGATGATAGCAGATGAGAGAGATTACAATTTTGGAAAGTTGGAAAGTTGATGGATGCGTAGCATGAAGGTTAATTTATGTGTTAACTTGTCTGGGCCAAGGGATGCCCAGATAGCTGATAAAACATTTCTGGGTGTGTCTGTGAGGGTGTTTCTGGAAGAGATCAGCATTTGAATTGATAGACTAAGGAGGGAAGACATCATTTCATTTACCGAGGGCCAAAATTGAACAAAACAATGGAGGAAGGGCAAATTCACTCTGGGTTTTTTTTTTTTTTTTCTTTTTGAGAGGGTCTAACTCTATCACCCAGGCTGGAGTGCAGTGGCGTGATCTCAGCTCACTGCAACCTCCGCCTCCCGGGTTCAAGAGATTCTTGTGCCTCACCCTCCTGAGTAGCTGGGATTACAGGCACGCACCACCATGCCCAGCTAATTTTTGTAGTTTTAGTAGAGACGGGGTTTCACCATGTTGACCAGGCTGGTCTCGAACTCCTGACCTCAAGTGATCTGCCTGCCTCAGCCTCCCAGTGTGCTGGGATTACAGGCGTGAGCCACCGCGCCTGGCCACAAATTCACTCTCTTGAGCTGAGACATCCATCCTCTACTGCCCTTAGATATCAGACCTCCTGGTCCTCGGGCCTTTGGACCCCAGGGCACACACCAGTCCCCTCCCCTGACCCCTGTGCAAGTTCCTGAGCTTTCAGACTCAGGCTGAATTGTCCCATCAGCTTTCCTGGTCCTCCAGCTTGCAGATGGCATATCATGGGACTTCTTGGCCTCCATAATTGTGTGAGCTAACTCCCATAATAAATCACCTCTAATGTATCTATATGTATATTCCATTGGTTCTTTTCTCTGGAGAACCCTGAGTCATACAGGTGGTAATGAATTTTTACTGTATAAAAAGGAGAATCATAACCCTGCAAGTTTGGGGGTTGGGAGGGGATTTGCCAACAAAAAGCCAGACAATTCGCACCAGAGAACCTCAGCAAGGCCCAAGTGAGGACACCAGGTACCACTGCAGGTGGGAGTGAGGGGAAGGCTGAAAACTGGAATATTAAAAGCCTCTAGTAGATACAATGACAGCCTCAGATCTCAGCCAGTTACTCCGCTGTCACTCCAGCAGAAGACTGAAGGTTTATTCCCAGGAAAGGTTGAACCAAAGGGCCCCTGGTCACAGGACTAACAGGCTAGCTGAAGGTGGGGTGCTGTACAAATGCTCCTTAACTTACAGTGGGGCTATGTCCAGACAAACGTATCATAAGCTGAAAATATTATAAGTTGAAAATGCATTTAATACTCTAATAAACCCAACATAAGGTTGAAAAATTGTAAGTCAAACTGCTGTAAGTTGGCAATCTTATAAGATTTTTTTGTTGGGTTTTTTTGTTTGGTTGGTTGGTTTTTGAGACAGGGTCTCACTCTGTCACCCAGGCTGGAGTACAGTGGTACAATCTTTTTTTTTTTGAGACGGAGTTTCCCTCTGTCGCCCAAGCTGGAGTGCAGTGGCGCAATCTCGGCTCACTGCAAGCTCTACCTCCCAGGTTCACGCCATTCTCCTGCCTCAGCCTCCCGAGTAGCTGGGACTACAGGCACCTGCCACCAAGCCCAGCTAATTTTTTTGTATTTTTAGTAGAGACGGGGTTTCACTGTGTTCGCCAGGATGGTCTCGATCTCCTGACCTGGTGATCCGCCTGCCTCGGCCTCCCAAAGTGCTGGGATTACAGGCGTGAGCCAACGTGCCTGGCCCAGTGGTACAATCTTGGCTCACTACAACCTATGTCCCCTGGGGTCAAAAGACCCTTCCACCTCAGCCTCCCAAGCAGCTGGGACCATAGGTGCACACCACACCTGGCTTTTTAAAAATATTTTTAGTAGATATGGGGTCTCACCATATTGCCCAGACTGGTCTTGAACTTCTGAGCTCAAGTAATCTGCCCACCTCGGCCTTTCGAAATGCTGTAATTACAGACATGAGCCACTGCTTAGGGCCTTTTTTGTTTTGTTTTGGAGACAGGGTTTTTTTGTGTGTGTGTTTTTGAGACAGGGTCTTGCCCTCTTGCCCAGACTGGAGTGCAGGCGCTATCACAGCTCACTGCAGCTTCAACCTCCTGGGCTTAAGCAATCCTCACAAGCAATCCTCAGCTTCCCAAGTAGCTGGGACTATAGGCAAGCACCACCATGCCTGGCTACTTTTATTTTATTTATTTATTTTGAGACAGAGTCTCACTCTGTCGCCCAGGCTGGAGTGCAATGGCATGATCTTGGCTCACTGCAACCTCCACCTCCCAGGTTCAAGCGATTCTCGTGCTTCAGCCTCCCGAGTAGCTGGGACTACAGGCACATGCCACCATACCCGGGCTAATTTTTGTATTTTTAGTAGAGACAGGATTTCACCATGTTGGCCAGGCTGGTCTCAAACTTCTGACCTCAAGTGATCTGCCCGCCTCAGCCTCCCGAAGTGCTGGGATTACAGGCCTGAGCCACCATGCTCAGCCCCTGTATAAGTTTCCAAGAATGGCCATAACAACCCAAATTGGGTGGCTTAGAACAATAGATATGTACTGTCTCATAGTTCTGGAGGCAAGAAGTCGGAAATCAAGGTGTTGGCAGAGCTGCCCTCCCTCCAGGAGCTCCAAAGAGATGCCATTCCTTGCCTCTTCTAGTTTCTGGTGGCTCCAGGTGTTCTTTGGCTTGTGGCTGCATCACTCCCACCTCTGGCTCCATCTTCACATGCCCTTTCTCCTCTTCTCTGTGTGTCTCTCCTCTGTGCGTTGCTTATAGAACACTTGTCATCGGATTTGGAGCCCACCTGTGTAATCCAGGATGACCTTATCCAGGATACTTAATTATATATGCAAAGACCCTTTTTCCAAATAAGTTCATATTAGGCTGGGCACGGTGGCTCATGCCTGTAATCCCAGCACTTTGGGAGGCTGATGCGGGCAGATCACGAGGTCAGGAGTTCTAGACCAGCCTGACCAACATGGTGAAACCTCATCCCTACTAAAAATACAAAAATTAGCCAGGCATAGTGGCGCACACCTGTAATCCCAGCTACTCAGGAGGCTGAGGCAGGAGAATCACTTGAACCCGGGAGGTGGAGGTTGCAGTGAGCTGAGATTGTGCCACTGCACTCCAGCCTGGGTGACAGAGCAAGACTCCATCTCAAAAAAAAAAAAGGTTTATATTAAAACATCCACAGCCAGGCATGGTAGCTCACACCTATAATCCCAGCACTTTGGGAGGCCGAGGCAGGTGGATCATGAGGTCAGGAGATCGAGACCATCCTGGCTAACACGGTGAAACCCCGTCTCTACTAAAAATACAAAAAATTAGCCAGGCGTGGTGGCTTGCGCCTGTAATCCCAGCTACTCGGCAGGCTGAGGCAGGAGAATGGTGTGAACCCGGGAGGTGGAGCTTGCAGTGAGCTGAGATTGTGCCACTGCACTCCAGCTTGGGCGACAGAGTGAGACTCCATCTCCCAAAAAAAAAAAAAAAAAAAAAAAATCCACAAGTTTCAGGGTTTATAACATGGACATATCTTTTTGAGGGTCACCATTCAGCCCACGGCAGACACTTTGCTGGAAAAGGTGATAAGGTGAAAGTCGGTATTCTGAATAGTGGAACTACAGCCCTCTCCCTCTGCTCAGTTCTCAGTATGCTGGCAGTCGGGTTTATACCCTCAGGCAGGAGATTGGAGAATCTCTCCTTGGAGAAACTGACTGGCTCAAGAGAAAGTGTGTATATACTGACACTGGGCATCTGCCAAGGAAGCAGCTGGGTCCCCACCTGATCACCCTTCCATGAGGCCCACATAGTTGACAGCTTTCCCATGGAGCTGTCAAATGATTTCCTAGTAACCCACTTTTAAATATGAACAGACAGCAGGGATCATCACATGGGTACAGAAAGTCTCCAACTTGAAAGACAGAGACCAAAACAAACAGACAAAAAGGAAATATGAGAAAACATAAATTACGCAAGAAGCAGATTAAAACTTACATAATAAAAAAGCAATATAAACATTATTTGTGGAGAGATGAGACTATGTTATACCCATGAAATAAAAATAATATAAAAGGAAACAGAAAACAAGTGCTCTTAAAAATTAAAAATAATTTCAGGCCTGGCGCGGTGGCTCACACCTGTAATCCCAGCACTTTGGGAGGCCAAGGTGGGCGGATCACGAGGTCAGGAGATGGAGACCATCCTGGCTAACACGGTGAAACCCCGTCTCTACTGCAAATACAAAAAAAAATTGCCGGGCGTGGTGGCGGGCGCCTGTAGTCCCAGCTACTCAGGAGGCTGAGGCAGGAGAATGGCGTGAACGCGGGAGGCGGAGCTTGCAGTGAGCGGAAATGGCGCCACTGCACTCCAGCCTGGGCAACAGAGCAAGACTCTGTCTCAAAATAATAATAATAATAATAATAATAATAATTTCAAAGGATAATGGCTTAAAATCAATATAAAGGTTGAAAGATCAAGTTGTGGGACTCTCCCATGAAATAGAAAAAAACAAAACAAAGAGTGGGAATATGAGAGACAAAAATAAAAAAATCCAAAGATTAGTCAATTAAGTCTAACATAGGACTAATAAGAATATCAGAAAAAGAAGAACAGGCTGGGGAGCAGTGGCTCATGCCTATAATCCCAGCACTTTGGGAGGCTGAGGAGAGACGACTGGTTGAGCCCAGGAGCTCAAGAACAGCCAGGGCAAAATAACAAGACCCCATCTCTAAATAAGCAAGTAAGCAAGTAAGAAAAAGAACTGAGACTATAGAGGGAAAAAATAAGTAAAGAAATAATAAAAGAGGCGGACGCAGTGGCTCACGCCTGTAATCCCAACACTGTGGGAGGCTGAGGCGGATGGATCACTTGAGGTTAGGAATTCGAGACCAGCCTGCCCAACATGGTGAGACCCCGTCTCTGCTAAAAATACAAAAATTAGCTGGGCGTGGTGGCAGCCACCTGTAATCCCAGCTACTAGGAAGGCTGAGGCAGGAGAATGGCGTGAACCTGGGAGGCGGAGCTTGCAGTGAGCAGAGATCACGCCACTGCACTCCAGCCTGGGTAACACAGCAAGACTCTGTCTCAAAAAAAAAAAAAAAAAAAAAAAAGGAAAGCAAGCAAGAAAGAAATAATAAAAGAAAAATTTCCAGCACTAAAATACATGTTTGAGATTATCGAGAACAATGAACAGAGACCAATACAAAGCATACATCATTATGAAATTTCAAAACACTAGCGATAAAAAAGAAACCCTAAAAGCTTCCAGAGGGGGGAAAAAAATTGGTTACTTGCAAAGAAAAGGAAGTCAGAATGAACTCAGATTTTGTTTATCCATAAAAGTGGAAGCTAGAAGACAATTATCAATGTATTTTAAATTCTGAGGACATGGTTTTCTATCTAGAATTGTATACCCAACAAAACTATCAACCAAAGGGCAGGTAGAATAAAGACATTTTCAGGCTTGCAAGATCTCAACATATATGTCTCCTATAGACCCTTTCTCAAATCTTGGAAAATATGCTCCACTAAAAGGAGGAAGTCAATCAAGAAAGAGAAGATTTTATGGCCCAGGAAAGAAGGAATGCAACACAGGCGAAAGGTACATGGCATTTGTCAGATAAGTGTAAAGGGAACTCCCAGGATGAGAGCTGGGCAGCAGTCCCAGAGAAGAATCCATCCAGATTGAGTGGAGGACAGGACACTTCCAGAAAGATATCACTAAAAAGGAAACAAAATGGTTAGCATCTAATGTGTTTAAAAGTGTTAAAGAATTTGTCGGGGCCAGGTGCAGTGGCTCATTTTGTAATCCCAGCAATTTGAGAGGCTGAGGTGGGAGCATTGCTTGAGCTCAGGAGTTGGAGGCTAGCCTGGGCAACATAGGGAGACCCCATCTCTGAAAAAAAGAAAAAATTAAAACATTAGGCAGGCATGATGGTGCACACCTGTTAGTCCCAGCTACTCTGGGGGCTGAAGTGGGAGGATCACTTGAGTGGGAAGATCAAGGCTGCAGTGAGCCATGATCATACCACTGCACTCCAGCCTGGGCAACAGAGTGAGAACTTGTCTCAAAAAAAAAAAAAAAAAAAAAAGGATTTGTCAAATTTGTGATATATATAGGAAAAACTAAGATTTTTTTTTTTTTTTGAGATGGAGTCTTGCTCTGTCGCCCAGGCTGGAGTGCAGTGGCACAATCTCGCCTCACTGCAAGCTCTGCCTCCCGGGTTCACACCATTCTCCTGCCTCAGCCTCCTCAGTAGCTGGGACTACAGGCACCCGCCACCATGCCCGGCTAATTTTTTATATTTTTAGTAGAGACAGGGTTTCACTGTGTTAGCCAGGATGGTCTCGATCTCCTGACCTCATGATCTGCTCACCTCGACCTCCCAAAGTGCTGGGATTACAGGCGTGAGCCACCACACCTGGCCTAAGATTTTTTTTTTTTTTTTTTAACAGAGCCAGTAATTAACTCCACAGGAAGCAGGGTAATACAATTTTCAAAATGTAATCAGAGTCTACTTTTTGGCTCAACCATGAATAATATTTGCAAAATCATAATAAAATAAACATTGAATATTGATGTATTAAAATGTGAAAAAAAGTGGAGCCAGGTATGATGGCGCATGCCTGTAGTCTCAGCTACTCTGGCTGGGGTGGAAAGATCGCTTCAGTCCAGGAGTTAGAGGCCAACCTGGAAACGTAACAAGACCTTGTCTCTATTAAATTAATTTAAAAGATGGAATAAAATGATAAAACTACATTGGTGGAGAAAAAGTGGAGGGTTGGGTTTAGCAAACTTAACGTTTTCATCTTCCATACTATAAAGGCAATAGTTTATACTTAAAACTAAAACATCAATAGGAAAATAAGTATTTTTTTGCATAGAAATCTGAAAATACTAGGAAAAAACCAAAACAGTTAACACTTAAAAATGGCTGCCTCTCAGGAGCAGGACTGCAGGGTGCAGAAGGCCAGTGTGGAAATGGCTGTTTCATTATAAGCCTTTAAGTATTTGACTTTTTAACAATGTCTATGTATAATTGTAATTTATAAACATCAGTGAATATTAATATAATACTAACATGCCAGCCAAACAGAAATTAGTGAGATCGCTAATTTTTACTTCTACCTCCAGCTCTAATTCTCTGAGTCTTTTTTTGAGACAGAGTCTGGCTCTGTTGCCCAGGCTGGAGTGCAGTGGCACAGTTTCAGCTCACTGCAACCTCTGCCTCCCGGGTTCAAGCGATTCTCCTGCCTCAGCCTCCCGAGTAGCTGGGATTACAGGCGTGTGCCACTGTGCCTGGCTAATTTTTGTATTTTTTGTAGAGATGGGGTTTCACCAAGTTGGCCAGGCTGGTCTTGAACTCCTGACCTCAACTGATCTGCTCACCTTAGCCTCCCAAAGTGCTGGGATTACAGGCATGAGCCACCGCACCCGGTCCTCTGAGTCTTCTGTGCCTGATTCTAGCTGTGCCTCAATGCTCTTTGTTCCTCTATCCTCTTCCCACCTCTTCTTTCCTCTCTTCACTCCCTCCTATCTCCCCACTCCCACCACACCCTGACACCATGCTCCTGCCAGTCAGTGAATCTCGGGAGCTGCCATAGTGCCCCCAACTCCCCTCTTACCTCTGGCTTGTCGTCCCCGCCCCCTTGATCTCACCCGCAGTTCAAGGGCTGAACTGAGTGGGCATGAGCACGAAGGCTGTTGTCCGCAGGCCGGGGGCCTATCATCTCCTGAGCCTGTCTTTATGTAAAAGGCTGGTATTCGGTTCTTCATTGTATTAGTTTCTTATTGCTGCTGTCGTAAATTACCACAAACCTAGTGCCTTAAAACAACACAAGTTTATTAGTTCCCAGTTCTGTAAGTCACAGTCTGACACCGGTCTCACTGAGCTAAAAACAAGGTGTCAGCAGGACTTCATTTCCTTCTGGAGGCTCTGGGGGAACATCTGCTTTCTCGCCTTTTCTAGTTTCCAGAGGTTGCTTGCAGTCCTTGGCAGTGGCCTCCAAACGTCTTCAAAGCCAGGCGAGTCTTTCTCACACCATACTTCTCTGACTCTACTTCCGCCATGACATTTCTTTCCCCGATTCCAACTCTTCTGCCGCCCTCTTCTGCTTTTAAGGACCCTTATGATTACATTGGCTCCACCTGGACAACTCAGGCTCCTCCCCCTACCTCAAGGTCTGCTGATTAGCAACCTTTCTTCCGCCTGCACCCGATCTCCCCTTTGCCATATAATTTAGCATATTCACGAATTTTAGAGCACGTAGACCTCTTCAGGAGGGGGGCATCATTCTGCCCGCCACAATCACAGATCTTGTTTTGCATTAATTTTGATTTTTAAAACTAGCTCATTCAAGTATTAAGTCTCTTAATTGCTGAGTTTTTTGGCACCCCTAAAATTTGATGCCTGAGGTGAGTGAGGCACCCTCATCCAGGCCCTGTCTATCTTTCTTTCTTGGCCCACCCCTTCCATCCTCAAGCCCAGCCCAGCCAAGCATCTTGCACCTCAGGCTGCCCAGGATCCAGCCAAGTTCTGCAGGTGGTTTCCCAACCGCATGCATTTCTCTGCTCCGGTTTCAGAAGTGGGGGCTCAGGCTCTCAGGCTGCCGAGTCAAAGATGGGAAGAGAAAATGTTCGATTTCTCCTGGGCCCCAGGGAGGAGTCAGGCCCCAGTCACTAGACACCTGATCCTCCCCTCGTGGCTGCAGAGACAGCAGCCTTAAGGCTGGCCACAAGCAGCGGGGCCTGAAGCTGGAGGAGCGGGGAGGAGAGTTGAAAGAGGATCCTAGCACTGCTTGAAGGTCATGGGCAGCCAGCGGGTGTCTGGGCCACCACAGTGGGGGATACTGGAAAGCTGATGTGGCTCTCACACTGGAGAGGCCCCTGGGAGGTAGAGGGCGTGATTCCCAGCCATCCTAGCAATGTCACAAAGGAGACTGCTGTGTTGTGGGGGGACGGGGGAAGACTGGGAGGGGAGAGGAAAACTGGGAGAGGAGTGGGTCTTCCTGAGGCTGTGGGGGAAGGGGAGTGGCTACCAAACATTCTGCAATGGAGACAGTGCGTACCTGAGTTCTCAGGAAGGTGGGGAGGGGGTGGTAGAAGGAGAAGGGCAAGTAGAACCAGCATGCCGCCGTAACTTACACCTCTCCATGAGCCTGCAAAGCCACCCTCATGGGGAGGCCATGCACTTGAGACCCTACCCTTACATAAAACTTTCAAGTCCCCAGAGCACCTCAACATTCTCATCTGATTCCCACAACCCCAGGAGGCAGGCAGGAGCACCCCCATTTTACAGATGAGGAGGCTCCATGCAGTGACTTCCCACTTTCATCATGGCTCAGAGAGCCCCCACATCTCCCAGCTCCTCCTCTTTGCCTCCTGGCTTCTCTTCCTAGAAGGAAAGGGAGTGTGATGGAGAAAACTGGGGAAGAGGTGAGGGTCCCTGGGCCAGATAAGAGACAAACACCACCACCATTGCCACCCCTAACAACAAAGTGTCTGACTCCAGGAGTTACTGTGCAGGAAAATGCCAAGCTCAACACATCCTCCTGGAGTCAGCACTCCACGGAACTGGCATGAGGATTTTAGGGGCTCCTCCCCTACTGTCCTCCATCCATAACTGCTCAGAACTGCCTGGTGCCCCCTTGCTACCCACATCCACCACTACTGAGGGCCAGACTGTGGGGTCCAGTGTCACTGGTTAAGGCTCCTGTCACCCCATCCCCTGGGGCAAAGGTTGGGCCAGATGCCTCCTCCTTCTACCCTCTGGGTCTCCCTCACCACCTGCTTCAGGGGCCCCTCACTTTCCCAGAGAATGCCCCAGAGATGGAGTTCCCCACTCAGGCCCACAGGCCTACAGACCTCATCTTGCTGGCAGGGCACATTGAGGAAGGGGGTTTCAGAAAAGGTGGTTTCTCTGAATACATTGTGCCCACTCCTTCACTTCATTTTATAGCACTGTACCCAGAGCACTGCCAGCCACATGGCAGGGACTTGGCAAATACAGTATTGATTAATTTACTTCTCTCTCCCTGCCGTGGCAGAGACCCCAGGAAGAATTTGCCCCCTCAAGTGGTCTTGGGGGCAGGCTCAGATATTCAGAAGGTGATGGGATCTCCCTGGGTCCTGCCAGCATGGAAAGCCCTCCTTATGTGCCCAGCATGGCCTGGTGGGAGGCAGCAAGATGGACAAGCTGCCCTCAGAGGCAGGCATGACTGGCAGCTCCCATCAGCAGCTGCCGGTGTTCTCAATGAAGTGAGGTGATAGAGGAGGTCTCCCTTCTCCCTCCCTGCCCCAGGGCTGGCTGGGCCCTCTAAATGTGTCAAATGAGAACCAGGTGCAAATTAAGTGACTGAGGCACAAAGGCATTGAAGTTGGTATTTCCCATCCGAGGTACTGAGGCAAGGTCACTGGGAATCATTAACAGGTGGAGAGAGGGAGGAAGTGGGGCTATTCAGACAGAGGCTGAGAGGCCAGAGGGAAAAGGGTAGGGTGGAGGGGGAGGGAAGAAGGGAAATTTGCACACCATGAAAGGGGAGGGGAGAGAAGAGACTTGGCCCCAGTACCCTCAGTGGGTGAGCTTGGCATGGCCGCCTTGAGGCTGAGGGCTGCCTGTGCTCTGGAGCAGGTGGGGCGGTTTGTAGCATGAACAGAGGTTTCTCTGATCCTCCAGCTGCCTGGATCCCTTATTGCCCAGGGGTGGTGGCCTGGGAGGCTGCCCAGAAGGGCTGGTGACCTGAGGGGCTGGAGGTCCTGGGCCAGGCCCCCCAAGGTCATGCCAGCTGGCCCTCCCCTGGGCCCAATCAGAGGCTTGGAGTGCACAGCTGCCAACTTATGACTCAGAGGACCTGAGTAATTGACCCACAACTAATCACTAATGGTTTGCATATTTTGCATTTACTTTACATTCTCCTGGGGGTCTCTCTGCAATCACTCCCTACAGGCCCCTCCCCCTGCCCCCATCCCCCGTCCTTCTGTCTCCCTGCTATTTCCTCCAGGCCCAGACCCACAGACCCCCATCTCCTGTCCCTGCTCTCTCACCTGGGATCAGATAGGGCAGGTCATGGGTGGGAACATCCAAACTCCATCCTCTCTGACTTGAGGGCGCAGCAAGGGCAGCTAGGGGCACCTTGGGAGTGGCCAAGATCTGTCTGATAATTAATCTTCCTGCTAATGGAGGCTTCTCTGCCATCAGGGCTTTTAAGGAAACTCAGGGAAGTCCTTTAGTGCCATCAGCGCTGTCTCTGAGGTCCATAGGGGGCTCATTAGCAGCCCTCCACCTCACAGTTAGTGGCCCCTCCTCCAAATGGCTGCAGGAAGGGAGGAGAGCAGCCCAAGGCCCTGAGTGGAACTACTGCAGCCTGAACTGCTTCCCCACTACACCCCCCGCCAAATCTCTGAAGTGGAGTGAAGCGGCTCCTGCCTCTCTTCCAAAGTACTCCCCTTAGCTAGAAAGGACCTATCCTAGACAAGGAAAGCAAGGTCCAGAGAGGCTGAGTGATTTGCCCGAGGCCACCCAGGCAGCGGGACAAGCTGAACTGCAGTCGGCTGTAACCTCCTAACCTCAGGTCTCCTCTACCTCCATCCCTAACATGGGGAAAGGCAGCCCTTTCTCCAAGGGCTTTGGAAGGCAGGCAGGCCACTGATCCAGTTGGGACTGACCCCCAGGCCAGAGGCCAAATGGGATGACCCCTGGGAGTTTCCCATCATCCCAGGATGCTGGGGTTCTTTAGTACATTGAACCAGACCTCTTTCACTTTCAGGACAGGCTGTAAAGCTCTCCATTGTTTGTCACAGCAGTTTAAGGCCAAAGAGGCCTCTCTCAGTGAGAAATCAGGTGCAGAGTGGGGTGGTGGGCAGCAGCCCTTTTGGGGCTGCCCAAAAGGAAGGATCGGGCACAGAGGGCTGCAGTTTCCACCTATTCTACAAACAGGAGCACCCCCCTGAGCTAGACCCTCTGCTGGGTGTGAGAAGTCCCAGGAGTGAAAGAGACGTGTTTTACTTTCAGTAAATAACTGATCAAAATGGATGGAGTGATTTGCAGCAAATCTTTTAAAGTATTCTGGGATTCAGTTTCCCCATCTTGTTTTGTTTGTTTGTTTTTGAGACAGAGTCTTGCTCTGTTGCCAGGCTGGAGTGCAGCGGCACGATCTCAGCTCACTGCAAGCTCTGCCTCCCAGATTCAGGTGATTCTCCTGCTTCAGCCTCCCGAGTAGCTGGAACTACAGGTGCACACCACCACGCCCGGCTAATTTTTGTATTTTTAGTAAAGACGGGATTTCACCACGTTGGCCAGGACGGTCTCGATCTCTTGACCTCGTGATCTGCTCACCTCAGCCTCCCACAGTGTTGGGATTACAGATGTGAGCCACCACGCCCGGCCTCCCCCACATCTTTAAGATGGGAATCTGATCTGATGCTCGAGGAAGCCTGAAAGGCCACAGAGAATCAAGTCTCAGGGAGCAGCCACAGATGCTGCCTATTGCCACAGATGCAGATGATTCACAGATTGGAGAAACAACAATATAATTCTGCAGCACAGTACCAGCCATGGGAGTGCTCGAGAAATGGTCATGGGTACTCTTAATATTACTTTGTGGTGGTGGTGATTGCTTTTTGTTTTTTTGAGACGGCGTCTCACTCTGTTGCCCAGGCTGGAGTGCAGTGGTGCGATCTCGGCTCACTGCAACCCCCACCTCCCGGGCTCAAGTGATTCTCTTGCCTCAGCCTCCCGAGTAGCTGGGATTACAGGCACCTGCCACAATGCCCAGCTGATTCGGTGGTGGTTGCTTTTGAGATGTCTTTCTGACCTCAGGTCCCAGGCTGGAAATTCTATATAGCAACCTTCTTTCCCAGCTTCCCACAGATTATGGGGATAGAAGAAATGACATTTATTAAGCACCTGCTGGCACTGTGTTGGACACTTTGCATGTGTTATCCCATTTAACCCTCATGATTTCCTAATGTGATAGCTAATACCTTCCCTCCCTCCCATTTTAGAGATGAGAAAATTGTGGCTCAGAGAAGTTAGGCACCTTGCCCAAGGTCACACTGTTCTTAATGTGCAGAATGTTACAGGTATTAGAATGTGCATGAAGCTTTATTCATAATAGCCAAAAACTGAAAAAAAATCCAGCTACTTATCAGCAGGAGAAGGGTTGAATGACTTGTGGAACGTTCATATGATGGAGTACTCTATAGCAGTGAAAAATAATGAGTTACCGATACAAACAGCAACATGGACAATAGACAGACATAAGTTGAGCAAATGAAGCCAACATAAAAAGATATATACTACATGATTCTATTTATATGAAGTTCACCAACAAAACTAATTTGTGGTGGTAGGGGTCAGAATAATAATTACCTTGGCCGGGTGCAGTGGCTCAGTCCTGTAATCCCAGCATTTTTTTTTTTTTTTTTTTTTTTTTTGTGAGACAGAGTCTTGCTCTGTCGCCAGGCTGGAGTGCAGCGGCGCGACCCCAGCTCACTGCAAGCTCCACCTCCTGGATTCAAGTGATTCTCGTGCCTCAGCCTCCCGAGTAGCTGGGATTACAGGCACGCGCCATAACACCCAGCTAATTTTTGTATTTTTAGTACAGACAGGGTTTCACTATGTCGGCCAGGATGGTCTCGATCTCCTGACCTCGTGATCTGCCCACCTCAGCCTCCCAAAGTGCTGGGATTATTGGCACCTGGCCAATCCCAGCACTTTGAGAGGCCTAGACAGGTGGATTGCTTAAGGTTGGGAGTTCGAGACCAGCCTGGCCAAAATGGCGAAACTCCATCTCTACAAAAAATACAAAACTTAACCAGGCATGGTGGCGGGTGCCTGTAATCCCAGCTAGCTACTTGGAAGGCTGAGGCAGGAGAATCGCTTGAACCCAGGAGGCGGAGGTTGCAGTGAGCCGAGATTGCGCCACGCACTCCAGCCTGAGCGACAGAGCAAGACTCTGGCAAAAAAAAAAAAAAAAAAAAAAAAAAAGAATAATCGTTACCTTAAGGTGATGAGGGGATGAGCTTGAGCTCATGGTGATTGTGGTATGAGGGGACTTCTGGGGGTGCTGGAAGTGCTTTATCTTGATCTAAGTGGTTAGTGTTATGTGAGTGTGTGTATACTATGTAAAAACTCATCCCGCTGTACCCTTAAGATTTTTCTTAACAAAAGAGAAAGTCAATAAATAAATGTCTCATATATATCATTTTAAAAGATGCAGGTCTAAGATTCGGGTAGCTCAGTTAACTCCGGCTGTGCATCCTGGCAGGAAGTGGGGCTGGGGAGGCCGACCCTGCCCACTATCCCTTTGAAGGCACACGTCCTGAGTCTTTGCTCAGGGACAGGGGTGTGAGCTTCCAGTCCCCAGCAGCACACCCTGCTAGCAGCTCTGCTTCCTGTGTCCACCCGGCAACTCGTGGGTAGGGGCACGTTTTCTCCAAGCCGCCCCTGGTTTTGAATTGGGTGGGGTGAGTTCAATAAGACCTTCTTAGGCTTCCCGGGAGGAGGCCTGGGGATGGCAGGAGGCTGGGAGGCCGGGAGAGAGACATTTCTGTGCATTTTGATGGGCCCTGAAGAGCATTCTCCCTGAGTGCTCAATGATATGCCAGAGCATGTCTCAAATGCGGAGGATGGGGAGGCCGGCTCCCTGGCAGATCTTCATGGAGAAGCTGACTCCAGCCGGCTTGTGTGCCCGTCCCAGAGGAGCGGAAACAGAGCCGAAGCCCACACCCCCAGGGCCCAGGCCCAGCCCTTCCAAGTCCGGAGCTCACCCAGCCTGCCCCTCGGCTCCTTCATCCTCCTCCAGACACCGTCCCTTCTTCTGTCTCTGCATTTCCCATCCTCTCCGCCCCTCCCTGTGCTGCTCTGTCTCCACCTCCCTGCCCCTGTCTCTCCATCTCCATCTCTCATTTCTCCCCCAGGCCCCCTGCTCCCCGCTTCCCCGGGCTGTGCTTCCTCTCTAGCCCAATATAAATAATAGAAATTAATTTGTCAGCCAGCACACGCAGCCCAGGCGGCGCAGTAGCGAGCTGAGGAGGAAAGCTGGTCGAAATAATTATTCTTGACTTACGAAATCATTCTTTTTATTCCTGAAGGCTAATGTGCGAGCAGCGCCGGGCCGGGCTGTGCTAATGGCGGACAGCGTGGGCCTGCGGAGGGCGCGCAGCCTCTTCTGTCCTCCTGTAATGAGCAGAGCCCCCACTCACAGCCCATCCCACTCTTCATTTAAAAGGCAAATGAAGCGTGGAGAGGCACTCTCTCGGTTAATGCAGTCACAGGTGTGGTTTTAAACAGGATTTGTCCTCAGGAGCACTCCCTCTGTCCCGAAGTTCCCGTCTCAGAGCGCGCGCTCTCCCCAGGTCAGCTCCAGGCAGGTGTGGGGAGGAAGCCCCTCCGCAAGGGGAAGGAGCCGATGGTTACCGAGGCTCTGCCGTAGGCCAGGCACTGTGCCACGCACGCGACTCGCGAGCACGCGTTGAATCCTTGCAAACATCCCGGGAATGAAGTCGGACAATTATTCCCACTTTTCCCAAGAGAAAACTGAGAGCATAAGCAACTTGTGCAAGCTCAAAGGGAAGAATCACCAGTGACCAAGGGAGATCTACAAACTCTCTCGCCCCGCAAGAGGGTGGAGGGAGAGGGAGGCGGTGGGGGGTTGAGGAGTGTATCAGTCAGTCCTGGCAGGGAACACAGGAAACACGCCAAGGTTTCATTGAAGGGGCATAAATGAAGAGGCTATTTACAGAGGTGGGGGGCAGCTTTAAGGAAACTATGATAAAGCACCCAGGGTGGCTACCATCCCAGGAGGAGAGGGAAAGGGCGGGAGCTGTGGCCATGGGAGCTGGCAGCCCCCGCAACAGGAGCTGCAGCCTACAGCCTTGGTAGAGAAATGTAGCCGCTGCCCAAACTGCCGCCTGGCAGCGAGGGAGGGGGTGGATAGACGCCCTGGGCTTTATCTCCTCCTGCCTTCAGATCTACAGCAGTGCCTCCCATTGCCTGCATCCAATTAAAAGCCAGAGGGCAAGAGAGTCCAGTGATGCAGTCGTAGAGGTCAGCCTTCCAGGCACAAAGCAAAGTGGAGGACAGAAACCAGCACCAGATGAGATGTTCTCCTGGAAGCTTTGGGAAAGGCCATCTCAGTCCCATAGAGACTGGAGACTTTAGGAAGAGAGAGCCCCCAGTCTTGGAAAAACAATTCCTAATAGGAGAGACACCAGTTCCTGTTCATAAGAGGTACCAAGTTGGGCGTCCTTGGACCCAGACATAAGCTGGGGAGCCAGAGAAACCTGGATGGAACAGGGACCCTAAGAAGTGGCTGAATAACCACCAGGAGAGAGGGAGTGGCTTCCTGAACAGGAGCTGACCTGCAAGACCGGAAGAGGGAGGAGGAGAGGAGCTGGCTGAGTGATGAACAGGGGCCAGCACTGAAGTACTGGGAAGAGATGAGGGGCTACAGCGTTGGTGGCAGGGGAGCGCAGAGCCTGCATAAAAGCATCCAGGTAGGAAAAGGTGTCTGGAGAGGTGGGCAGGCAGGGACGGGGGACCCAGGATGACTCCTGGGTCTACCCAGCAGGAGGCTGAGGTCATGAGTGAGCTGTGGGCTGAGTGAATCCGTCTCCCTGCTTCATTTTGGAGGTGAGGCAATGTGGCCAGAAAAGGCTATGATTACCCCAAGCCCACATGGGAACGGCTGGGTGGGCTGCCAAGCCGGCGAGGTGAGTGGCAAGGCCTATGGCTGGAGTGCCCAGCTGGCCTCCCTGCTGCATCTGCGGCCCCTCATCCCATCCATCTTCCTCCCACACAGCAGCCACCGGGATCTTTCCAAAACACGAGCCCGATCACGTCACTCACACTTGAGCCCACTGGATGCTCTCCACTGCACGGATCAAGTCTAAAGTCCTTCACTCCTTCCAAGGCTGACAGGAGGGCCATCAGCCCCCCTACACTTCCCCGTATTGAATCATAGCGTCTTATGTCTGCGCCTTGTGCAAGTTCCCTCAACTTGAAATTCTCCTGCCTGCCCACTCGGGCCCCATCTGGCGCCCAGCCTCGCTGTACTGTCACTTCCCTCGGGATCCTTTCCCAACACTCCTCTGCCTTTCTAGTTCTCCCGTTATAAAACTTACCAGGAGACAAAGGCACCTGTCTGTGTTCTTATCTTTGTCTCCCTGACTGTAAACCCCAGGAAGGCAGTAACTTTGGCTGGGTTGTTGTTACAACCTCACTGCTCAGCAAACGCACAGTGCCTGGCACTTAGTAGGTGCTGCATGTACGTGTTATAATCCATTCAAGGGAACAAGCGAGGAAAGCTTGATGTGTGCTGACATGGAGCCACCACCACGACACACTGTCAAGAATTCAGGACAGGCTGGGCACGGTGGCGCATGTCTGTAATCCTAGCACTTTGGGAGGCCAAGGCGGGCGGACCACTTGAGGTCAGGAGTTTGAGACCACCCTGGCCAACATGGTGAGACCCCCATCTCTACTAAAAATAAAAAAATAGCCGAGGGTGGTGGCGCAAGCCTGTAATCCAAGCTACTCGGGAGGCTGAGGTAGGAGAATCACTTAAACCCAGGAGGCGGAGGTTGCAGTGAGCCAAGATCGCGCCATTGCACTACAGCCTGGGTAACAGAGTGAGACCCTGTCTAAAAAAAAAAAGAATTCAGGACAGTGTGTGTTTGTATAAAACAGAATATACGTGTATTTATGGATCTGTACATAATATCTTCACAAGCAGACTGAAGAAACTGATAAGGTGATTGTCTCTGAGAAGAGCTGGGTGAGTGGAGATAGGAGTAGAAAGACATGATTAACACTAAGTGGGAAATATTTAATAATTAATTGGGGCTGGGCGTGATGGCTCACACCTGTAATCCCAACACTTTGGGAGGATGAGGCAGGCAGATCACTTGAGCTTAGGAGTTGAAGACCAGCCTGGCCAACATGGTGAAACCCCCATCTCTACAAAAAAAGAAAAAAAAAATTAGCTGGGCGCAGTGGCACGCACCTGTAATCCCAGCTACTTGGGACGCTGAGGCACAAGAATTGCTTGAACCTGGGAGGTGGAGGTTGCAGTGAGCTCAGATTGTCCCACTGCACTGCAGCCTGGGTGACAGAGCAAGACTCTGTCTCAAAAAAAAAAAAAAATAATGATAAAAATAAAGGGGTGGCCTGGACACCCTGGAGTGTGGAATTATGGGTTTGGTTTGGAGCAACTTGCCACTGCCACCCACTCCTCCTGGGATGTCCAGCCACCAGTCACCCTAGTTGAGATGCCCAGGTTGTCCCAGGTGCCATCCCAGATCTGAGGTGGACCCTAGGGGTTGGTGCAGACAGCAGCCAAGTGAGTCTTCCCTAAGTGAGGAGGGTCTGGTAGAGCTGTCTCGGGGCTCAGAAGAAAGGCAGGGAAGTGGGGCCTAGAGAGAGTGTCATTTACCTCCCTGCTCCACTGTACAGATCAAGTCTAAAGTCCTTCACTCCTGCCAAGGCTGACAGGAGGGCCATCCTGCTGGCTCTCCACTTCCTCTGAGGACAGAGGGCTGGGAAGAAACTCAAACAGGAGGGATGGAAGTTAGATAGCAGAGAGAACTTCCCAGAAGTAAAGTTCTCAGATCAATGGAATCACACTGTATGTGATTTTGTTGTGCCTGTTTACTTTCACTCAATACCATGTCTGTGAGATTCATCCATGTTGTTGCATGTGGTTACAGGAATTCTCTTCATTACTGAGTAGTACTTCATTGTATAATAAAGGAAAGGGCGGAGCTACGATTTGTTGGTGGTCTGTTCTCATGGTACCTCAGGGCTGGCTAGAGGGCAGGGACTCTGTTCTCTCTTTCCCACATAGTAGAGGAACTGTGTGTGTTCTTTCCCTTGAACTGGGACTAATAATCATAGTTCTGCAGGGCATCACATCAAGTGCAAGCAGTCCACCTCTCCTTACTGCCCCCTCACTCCATTGCTGCCTCTTACCCCAGGTCTCCACTGCATTAACTTCTACCCTCTGCACTCCCAGCCAGCTACTAAACATGGGAAATTGTCTTAAAGCAAAAACCACATGGAAAATTGTACTGAAAGGGTTCAGCCCTTCTCAGGGTGGCCAGCAGAGGTCTGTGGGGTGGGGGAAGGGTAAGGAAGGTGGTGTCGTGGACACAGAAAAGAAGGAAAGCTTCCAAGTTTCTTCTCCCCTGGGGAGCGATGTGGGGAAAGACAAAACTTTCGAAGGACTCCATACACCCCCATAACCAGCCCAGTGACTACACACATCTTCCTGTCTTCCTTCCCATACATGGGTACCCATGCTGATATGTCATGGCTTTGGTCACCAGATTAGCGGAGAAGCCCGTCCCCAAACCAAACTCCTACTCCAACCTAGGGAAGAGGAGGGCTGGCTCTAACACCAGCTCTCAGCTAACTCACCAGGGGATCTTCTACAAGCTCCTCAACCCTCAGGACTTGTTTCCTCAGCAGTAAACTGCAGTAAACCCTGGAGGTTTGATCGAGATAAAGAGCCAGCAAGGGCCTCGAACACCACCTCTTCTTGAAAGAAATATGGCAGCTCATTCTTTGGATGGGGGCATGGGTGGTGCCATTTGTTCAGTGTGTCTGGAGAGAATCCCAGAGCACAAACCAGCATGCCCAGGGCAACATTCCTTACTGATGACTTAGGGGATGGTTGGGGAAAAAGGGCACCCACCTGCTCCTAGAAAGGGGCTGGAGTATGGAACAAGTAAGTGTCCATCCTGCCCTCTCTGAGAGCCACTGCTGTCCACCTGCTCAGCACTCCCTGCCCTTTTCTTAGGCAAAGCTTTCCTTTACCCATCCTGCTTCAGGTGGCCATGGCTGAGAGTGTGCACAGGGGATCTGGGGGAGCAGCAAGACACATGTAACACCCTGGGAAACATTACCATTATTTTTTTTCTTGATATATAACATATATGCAGTAAAGTGCATAAGGCTCAACGGTACAGCTCAATTAGTTTTTACATGTGTGTACTTTCATGTAACCATCACCCAGATCAAGATAGAGAACATTTCCACATTTCCAGCTCCTCAAAATGTATATGCCCCTTCCTAGTCAACACCCCCCAAAAGGTAGCCACAGTTATGATTTCTATTGCCATAAATTAATATGGTCTCTTCTTGGACTTCATATAAATGGAATCACACTGTATGTGATTTTGTTGTGCCTGGTTACTTTTATTCAATATCACGTCTGTGGGATTCATCCATGTTGTTGCATGTGGTTATAGGAATTATTTTCATTACTGAGTAGTGCTTCATTGTATAAATATATATACATGTATGTATCACAACTTTTTAATTTTGATTTTTTTTTTTTTTGAGATGGGGTCTTGCTCTGTTACCCAGGCTGGAGGGCAGTGGCACAACCATAGGTCATTGCAGCTTCGACCTCAAATGATCTTCCCACCTCAGCCTCCCAAGTAGCTAGGACTATAGGTGCATGCCACCTCACCCGGCTAATTTAAAAAGAAAAAAATTTGTAGGCCAGGCGCACTGGCTCACGCCTGTAATCCCAGCACTTTGGGAGGCCAAGGGGGGCAGATTACCTGAGGTCAGTAGTTAGAGACCAGCCTGGCCAACATGGTGAAACCCCATCTCTACTAAAAATACAAAAATTAGCCAGGCGTGGTGGCACGCTCCTGTAATCCTAGCTACTTGGGAGGCTGAGGCAGGAGAATCGCTTGAACCCGGGAGGCAGAGGTTGCAGTGAACCAAGATCATGCCACTGCACTCCAGGCTGGGCAACAGAGTGAGACTCCATCTCAAAAAAAAAAAAAAATTGTAGGGATGGGGTTTTACTATGTTGCCCAGGCTGGTCGGAAACTCCTGGGCTCAAGCAATCCACCTGCCTCAGCCTCCCAAAGTGCCGGGATTATAGGTATGAGCCACTGTGCCTGGCCCAATCACAGTTTATTTATTTAACTTCTTGTTGGTGGACACTTGTGTTGTCTCCATTCGTTAGCTATTCTTTTTCTTTTTTTTTTTTTTTGGAGACAGAGTCTCACTCTGTTGCCCAGGCTGGAGTGCAGTGGCATGATCTTGGCTCACTGCAACCTCCACCTCCTGGGTTCAAGTGATTCTCCTGCCTCAGCCTCTCAAGTAGCTGGGATTACAGGTGCCTGCCACCATGTCTGGCTAATTTTTTGTAGTTTTAATAGAGATGGGGTTTCACCATGTTGGCCAGGCTGGTCTCAAACTCCTGACCTCAGGTGATCAACTCACCTCGGCCTCCCAAAGTGCTGGGATTACAGGCATGAGCCACCATGCCCGGCCTTGTTAGCTATTCTTAATGAAGCTGCTGTGAGCATCCTTGTACCTGTCTTTTGAATAATTCATTATTTTGAGACACATTTCTGACTTTTAAAATAAATGGCAACATACCATTTCCACCTCCTTCCACTGGGTTGTGCCATGCTGGGATGAGATTACTACAACACTACATCATGAACGTATCTGTGGGAGAAGAGGACAGCCTCAGGACCCCCTGGACGGGCCCTAGAAGCCTCCAAATACAGTCTTGGGTCTTCATGCCATGCATGGCACAGCTGAAGCCCTGACCAAGGTCTTCGCCATGAACCTAGGGGTGGGGAAAAGCAGAAAGGGTTTCTAAACCCGCTAGCCTGTACCTAGCCTGGATTTTATGTATGGCACAGATTTAGTTTACAGATGAGGAAACGGGTTTGGGGAGGTGGAGTGACCTGGGTTCAAACCATGGCTCTGCCAGCTGTTAACTGTGTGGTCTCAGACAAGTTTAACTAAGTTCTCTGACCCTCCATTCCCTCACCTAGAAAAATGGGGATAATAATATTTACCTCGCAGTGTTGTCAGGAGAATTAAATAACAGATGTAAATCACCTTGCATAGCACTTGGTGTCTATAATAATGGTTTCTTTTTCTTGTTTGTTTTCTGCTCAAGGTCACATAGCTAGTAAGCTGAAAAACTCAGAAACAGAGCTTTTGAAGGGAAGGAGGAAAGAGTAAAAAGGAACAGTTTGGGGTGCCAAATTAGGGACTATGACAATGCTTTGTGTCTTTATACCTCTAGTATCCCCCATAATGCCTGGCATACAGGGGCCACTCAATACATGCTTATTGAAGGTTTGAATGGATAAGTGAACAAATAGATCCAGAAATTCACACTAAGATTGCTTTCAAGCCTTGATTTAGACTGGCTACCAAGTGGGATTTATTGGGATGGAGAAACCAGCTTGGGGACAATGGGGTTGCTGGGTATCAGTAATGAATGATCCGCTGACAGGCTCTCACCTCAGCCAGGAGGGTTTGGGCCCAGTAGACAATCAGGTTGAGTTAGAGAGTACATGTCAGGGAGCAGGGAGAAAGGGGCTGCTGGAAAGAGAAAGAGGACTTGGGAGCAGGTGCCTAAGGGAGGGTAGGGGAACCATTTGGTCAAGGAATGGAAGTCTCGCTGGGACTATCAAATGTAGAGGCTCTGGGGGCTGGGCATAGTGGCTGGATCAAGAGGTCAGCCAGGGCACCTGGGAGATAACACTGCCATCCCTGTTCTCCTGTAGACCCAGGGGCTGGACAAGCAAGTTTGCAAAGAATATGCAGCAGCCAGGCAGGGGAGCCACTCTGGGATTCCTGCCCCCGCCTCCAGAAGGCGGGGTTTGTTCTCCAGCTCATTCATTCTTTGGGATGACTCATTACTGAGTTGTCATGTTGTCATCGAGTGCAGAGTTACAGGGAGGAGGGGCAGCCTGTCTCGCCCATCTGTGCACAGGCAGTCCTGGCAGCACTGCAACTGGAGAGTTCCCAGGCTGGCCACATGGGGGCGGGGGGAGCCAGGCCTGACATCCTGGCCATCTGGGCGACTCCAGTTCTGGGAAGAGCACTGGACTGGGAGTCAGGGGCCTGACTTCCTGGGCCTCCTACACCCTGGCCACCCTCTGTGCCTCAGCTAATTCCAAAACAGAAATGATGATACCTCTCCTGCCTAAAACCAGGACGTCTCATCCCTCATTTGTGTTTATACCTTAATTTGTGTGTCAGAGAAATCTCCCTGGTAGTTAGCCATACTCCAGTTTTGTTCGCCCGGAGGACTTAGGGCAACTAGTTTTCTTGAGATTACATCTTGCAGATCCATCCCAGGTGCAGATAGGGGATGAGAGAACACTGCGGTGCCAGGCAGGCCCTGTGCGAAATGTTTCGCTCTCACCAACCCTGTAGCCCTCACAATCACCTTTTAGGATGGACTTGAGAATGAGGGGCATCTTTTCTGTTTGTTAACTTTTTTTTTTTTTTTTTTTTTGAGATGGAGTTTCACTCTTGTCGCCCAGGCTGGGGTGCAATGGCGTGATCTCAGCTCACTGCAACCTCCACCTCCCAGGTTCAAGTGATTCTTCTGTTTCAGCCTCCCAAGTAGCTGGAATTACAGGCATCTGCCACCACATATGGCTATTTCTTTTTTTTTTTTTTTTTTTTTTTTTGTATTTTTAGTAGAGATGGGGTTTCACCATGTTGGCCAGGCTGGTCTCGAACTCCTAACCTCAGGTGATCCACCCATCTCGGCCTCCCAAAGTGCTGGGATTACAGGCATGAGCCACTGCGCCTGGCCTATTTGTTAACTTTTATATTGGGCTATAACTTACATGTTAGTAAAGTGCCCTTATCTTAAGTGCACATACAGCCGGATGAATCTTTAAATGTATGTACACCTGTGTAACCGCCCTCCACATCAAGATACAGAGCATTTCCAGCATCCCCTATGCTTTGCCCCAGTCAAGGCTGCCCTGTAGGTAACCTGTATTCCTACCTCAAAATAGTATTTTTGCCCATTACATAGATGAGGATACTGAGGCTCAGATATGTACAGATGGATACTGATGCTCACGATAAACTGCTGTGCCCAAAGCCACATAGCTAGAAATACTACTGTTAATGCTTTTGGAGGCAGAGGGTGGTGGGAGAACTTGAAAGAGGATGTAAGACTGCTGGAACCAAGACTTCCCATTCAGCAGCTGTCCAGCATCATCTGCGCATCCTTGCACCCTCGATCTTCAGCACCCACACTTCTCATTGCACCCAGCTTTAGGCAGGAAATGCTTTTGCCTCTGCTGGCCTAGGCTACACCCTCCCTGGCTCTCTGCTTCTTGTCCCTGCTGGTGCCAGAGTGCCTCCCCTTGACTGGAGGGTCCCCTCAGGAGAACAGAACCCTGCCCAATCCCAAAGGGTTAAGCCTGAAAGCCTTTACTGAAGAAGTGATTGAGGCTAAATTCTAGGAGCGAAATGCAGCAGTTTCCTATTCGCAGCTGATAAGCCCTCTCCATAGCCCAGCACTGGGCCACCTTGGAGTGCTGCTGCAAACTGTCTTGTCACGAGGAAACTATGCTCCCTCCCAGGTCCTCCCTGGGGGCCTGGCTGAACCCGGGCTACAGGATTCTGCCTCTTGAAGCTGTTGCCCAAGAAGTGACCTAAGTCCTTCTAGGAGACTTACCCCAACCTCTTCCTCTACAACTAGTGACATCACGCGTATTTGCCAGCCCCTCAAGGAGAGATAATCCACCCCTGTGGGACCTGACTCAGTATGTGCATTTTGATGCACAAGTTCCTGTTGATCTTGACCTCAGAACTCTCCTATCTCCAACTCCTAGCATACTCTACCCTCTCTTTAAAAAGTTGTAAATACCTTGCCCTATCCTTTTGATTAGAAGTGTCTCATAGAGATGGGCTTGAGTCCCAGCTTTGGCGAATTCTCCACTGTGTGGCCTTAGCTAGGTTACCTAACCTATCTGTGGCAAAGACTGCTAGGGTTGCCTCTCTTCTTCCACAGCAATAGAACTTCCAAATTTGGCTGGGTGTGGTGGCTCATACCTGTAATCCCAGCCCATTGGGAGGCTGAGGTGGAAGGATCACTTGAGCCCAGGAGTTTGAGTCCAGCCTGAGCAACACAGCGAGATCCCCTCTTTAAAAATGAAAATTTATGGGAGGCTGAGGCAGGCGGATCACTTGAGGTCAGGAGTTCGAGACCAGCCTGGCCAACATGACAAAAACATGTCTCTACTAAAAATATAAAAATTAGCTGGGTATGTTGGTGCACACCTGTAGTCCCAGCTACTCAGGAGGTCAAGGTGGGAGAATCACTTGAACCCACGAGGTGGAGGTTGCAGTGAGCCAAGATTGTGCCATTGCACTCCAGTCTGGGTAACAGAGCGAGACTCCATCTCAAAAAATATAAAATAAAAATTAATTAATTAATTAAAATTAAAATTAAAAAAATAGAACCTCCAAATTTTGGCTTAGCACATGACCACCCAGAAGACATTTCCCAGATTCCCTTAGTGAACATATAACAAAGTTTTGGCCAATGGGACATAACAAGAAGTACCATGTGGCAGCTTTAGCAAAGCTTCCTTAAAAGTCATGCACCTGGCCAGACGAGGTGCCTCACGCCTGTAATCCCAGCACTTTGGGAGGCCGAGGCAGGTGGATCACGAGGTCAAGAGATCAAGACCATCCTGACCAATATGGTGAAACCCCGTCTCTACTAAGAATACAAAAATTAGCTGGGCATGGTGGCACACACCTGTAATCCCACCTACTCAGGGGGTTGAGGCAGGAGAATCCCTTGAACCCGGGAGGTGGAGGTTGCAGTGAGCCAAGATGGTGCCACTGCACTCCAGCCTGGCGACAGAGCGAGACTCTGTCAAAAAAAAAAAAAAAAGTCATTCACCCTTTGCTCCCTTCTTCATTCTTCCCTTCATCTCTACCTGGAACAAACATGATGGCTGGAACTCTAACTACCATCTTGGACCATGATAACAAGGGGCACGTCCTAGAGACGGTGGAGCAATGAGCCCAAAGGACTTGATGCGGCAGAGCTGCAATACCTGGACAGCTCACCTCTGGACTTTCACTTAAGTGAGAAATAAACTTCTCTCAGGGCCTCTGATACTTGCAACAGAACCTATTCCTAATATACCCTGTAAGTCTCAGTTTCTTGGTCTGTAAAATGGAGATAACATTTTAAGAGTAATTCTCTGAGGAGGATCAAGGAGGGTAACATACAAAAAGAGCATGGCATTCATAGCATGTGCTAATAAATACCTGTCCTCTCTCCCCACCCCAATGTCTGTACTCATTCAGTACAGCACTGAGCATCTGCTGTGTGTGCAACACCATGCTGAGCACTGGGAATACAGAAATAGAAGGTACAGTCATGACCCTCAAGCAGTGCCCAGGCCATGGGAGTCAGACTGGCAAACTGTCAATATAACAGAGAATACGATTACACACACACTTAAGAATGTTTGTTAGAACTCTGCTTGCAAGCAATAGAAACTAACTTAAGGACAAAGAGGGAAATGTGTTATTATAAAGACAGAGGAGTGTCTTGTGGAATCCAAAGATACCATCACAACTTGGCCCCAAAATACATAGTCTTTGCCCAAAATGAGCTTAGATTATAGGACCAGCCTCAGGTTGAGTTTGACTCAGGCCCCCTACAGACAGCTTTCTCGCGCTCTCTTTCTCTCCATTTCTTTTTTTTTTTTTTCTTTTGAGGCAGGGTCTCACTCTGTCACCCAGGCTGGAGTGCATAGTACAACCACAGCTTACTGCAGCTTCTACCTCCCATGCTCAAACGACCCTTCCACCTTTGCTCCAAAGTAACTGGGACTACAGGCATGCACCACCACACTTGGCCTTTTTTTTAGAGACGGGGTCTCACTATGTTGCCCAAGCTGGTCTCCAACTCCTGGGCTCAAGTAATCCTCCCACCTCGGCCTCCCAAAGTGCTGGAATTACAAGTGTGAGCCACTGTGCCCAGCCTCTCTCAATTTCAAATTCCTAGGTAGAGCCTCTGAATGTCAAAGTTCTGGGCAGGTGCACCCTGATCCAATCCCAGGGTCACAGTAAACTAACTTGGTCCCTGGGAGACCATCCCTGGAGAAGGAAAGAGTGGGGAACAATTTAGGGAATAATAGAGGATTGGGTAACTAGCCCCACAGGAGTGTAAGTGATAAGGAGGAGGAACCACAGAGACCAAGATGAGATCAAGGTGTACTTATTCTCAATTCAGAGTCTTACAACTAATAGTAGGAATAATGATGGTAATGATAAGACCTATGCCATAGCCAGGCATGGTGGAGAACTCCTACAACCCCAGCTACTAGGGAGGCTGAGGCAGAAGAATCGCTTGAGGCCAGAAGTTAGAGACCAGTCTGAGCAGCATAGCGAGACCCTGTCTCAAACAAACAAACAAACAAACAAACAACAACAAAAAATACCCATGTCATATGGAGAACTTATTTGTTGCTGGGTGTTGTTAGAAGCATTTTAAGTGTATGAGCTCATTTAGTCTTCAAAACAGCACTGTGAAGCCAGGCATGGTGGCGCATGTCTGTAGTTACAGCTATTTGGGAGGCTGAGGTGGGAGGATTGCTTGAGTCCAGGAGTTACAGGATATAGTCAGCTATGATACCACCACTACACTCCAGCCTGGGCAACATAGTGAGACCCTATCTCTAAAACAACAACAAAAACAGCCCTATAATTAGGTATTATCATCACACTCACTTGACAGATGAGGACACTAAGGCAAAGTGATTTATTAACTTAGTCAAGGTTGCACATTCAGAAGCCAGGATTTGAATCCAGGCAGTATGGTTTCAGATTACTTTTGTAACCATTGCACTGTTCTTTCTCACCCTCATCAGGTTACAGAGATTTTACTGTGTGTCCCAAAGTGAGTGTTTGAGCCTTGGCCCTGACCCCACATGCATGCACAGCAGGACTCGGGTGTGTGCCATTTTCTATTTGGCTTCTAGCCCAGGCTCAATCACAGAAAACTGTCTGGGATAAAATGCCTGACCCTAGGCCGGGTACGGTGGCTCACGCCTGTAATCCCAGCACTTTGGGAGGCTGAGGCAGGCGGATCATGAGGTCAGGAGATCGAGACCAGCCTGGCCAACATGGTGAAACCCTGTCTCTACTAAAATTACAAAAATTAGCCAGGCATGGTAGCACATGCCTGTAATCCCAGCTACTCAGGAGGCTGAGGCAGGAGAATCGCTTGAACCAGGGAGTCGGAGGTTTCAGTGAGCCGAGATCACGCCACTGCACCCCAGCCTGGTGACAGAGCGAGACTCCGTCTCAAAAAAAAAAAAAAAAAAAGAAAAAAAATGCCCGGTCCTGGCTACATGAGGTCTCTATCAGCCCTTACTTCAGGGCCAACCATACCCAGGCCAAATTGTCCCAAACCCTTTTGCCTTCTCCCTTGTCTGCTATAAAACCTGCTCTGGTGAAAGTAGTTGAAACTCATTCTCACAAGGATGTAAATGACTGAGAAGAGCTTAAAATACTATCCTGCATTTAATAATCCTTAAAACCCAATCCTGGCTGAGACAGTGGCTCACACTCTGTCACCCAGGCTGGAGGGCACTGGCGCAATCACTGGTGCTCACTGCAGCCTCAACCTCATGGGCTCAAGTGATCCTCCGACCTCAGCCTCCCCAGTACCTGGGACTACAGGCGTGCACCACCACACCCGGCTAATTTATTTTTATTTTTTGTAGAGACAGGGTCTCACTATGTTGCCCAGGCTGGTCTCGAACTCCTGGCCTCAACAGATCCTCCCACCTTAGCCTCCCAAAGCACTGGGATTACAGGCCAGGGGCGGTGGCTCACAACTGTAATCCCAGCACTTTGGGAGGCCGAGGTGGGTGGATCACCTGAGGTCAGAAGTTCGAGATGAAGCCTAGCCAAAATGGCGAAACCCCATCTCTACTAAAAATACAAAAAAATTAGCCGGGTATGGTGGTGAGTGCCTGCAATCCCAGCTACTTGGGAAGCTGAGGCAGGAGAATCACTTGAACCACAGGAGGTGGAGGTTGCAGTGAGCTGAGATCACACCACTGCACACTCCAGCCTGGGCGACAGAGTGAGACTCCATCTAAAAAAAAAAACCCAAAGCACTAGGATTACCGATGTGAGCCACTAGGCCCAGCCACTATCACTGTTCCAGCACTTTAGGTATATTAGCTCATTTGACCCTCACAATACCCCTATGAAGTAGGTACTATTATTGTTCCCATTAAATGCTCGAGGAAACAGGCACAAGGTGATCAACTCAGCTCCTGTGGCTCCTCTCAGTCTACCCTGGTCTCTGTTAGAGCCCCATTTTGATTCTCTTCTCCTTCCAACCCATTGCTTTCTTTCTTCATCAGTCAACCATTGTACCTGGGCCTCGCGTTCTGCCTCCTGTTTCTGTCTGCCTCGCCTCCCCTCATCTGCTTAGAAAACACACATACACTTCCCCACTCTAGTCACTCATCATTCATCACAGTCAAAGAGGGGGAGCTGGCACAGTGGCCAAGCTCTGTGCCATCAATAGAGTGCTAATGCCCCCATCTTGAAGGAGGCTGTTGGAGAGAAGGCTGGGGATATGGACACCTGCTACTGGTGGAGACCGGGTAGGAGGGCAGTGCCATGGTGGGCAGAGAGTCTTGCTTCATCCTATTTGTCCTAAAAGGGCTTTGCAGTAAAAATGGCATGGATTCAAACCTTAGCTCTCCAGCAAGGGTCTGGAAAATCTGGATTCCTTACACTCCTGCAATTATTCCTGACCCCGTCCTGGGACACGGTAGGGAGAGAGAGTCCATGAAGTTCACTTTGTATGCCAGGCCCAGCTCCTAAGGATGAGGCTCCATTTGGAGCTGGGAGGCTGGGACAACCCAGGGAGGGCTGCGGCAGGAGGGAACAGGCAGGCAAGGGCCCAGGGAAACTGCGATACAAAGAGGGGTTCTGTAGAGGAGGTGGAGGAGTCACTGAGGGCAGAACTTCAGTCCTTGCCACTGCACTTTAAACCCACTCCTTTCCATCTGTCCTGAGAGGCTGGTGCACAGTGTCTACCGGTATGGAACGATCAAAGCGGCTCTTCTGTACACCTGGAAGGGATGAAGGCTGTATTTGAAAGTCACTGCCATGCTAACAGAGCGATGTGAAGATATGTGAAGTGCTCACCCATCTGTTCTATCACTGGATTCTTTATCATCTGCATTAGGGTGTCCTAGCATGGCAGAATTAGCAGGAAAAAAATTAGTCCAAAGACTTAGCACAAGAGCGGTTGGATCTGGATCAGCACATTACAATAAGTTAATAAGCCCAGCAGCCGTGGGTCAAATAAACATCCTACTGACACAAAGCTGGTTGATGGACAATTCTCCAGATTGAGTGTACTTTTGGACCATGGCTTTTTACTGACTTCCCAAAATCAGAAATTCTGGCAGGAACAGACTTTGGCAAGAGGCAGAAATACAGCCGAACACATACACACAAATCAGATTATGAGGAATTACAAAGGTGGGAGGTGGGATTTTAATTATTTTGTGATAGCGAATCCAGTAGGAGGTGGGGGTGCCTCCCCATCCCCTTTCCCTGCTCCTGTTGTATGTCTAGGCTCAGGCTTTGTCATGTGATTATAAACATGTTCTTTGATTTCCTCTGCGTAAACTGGAATGTTCTGGCCAGGCCTTCTTCTGGACCACATAAAAGCTTTAGGAGATGTATAAATAGAGTTAAAGTCACAGGATCGTTTCCCCACAGTTTGTTCTCTAAATTGAGAAGGCTAAAGTGAGAGGTGAAAGGACACAGGGGATGGGGACTCGCCTCTGTCCTCCCTCTCCCTGGGCAAATTCATTGTCATTGCCTCTGTCACCAGGACTTTGAACCCTGGGAGATAATGCTCCTCGTGCTTCCTGGCTTTCTCTTGTCCCAGCTCGAGGAAGCAGAATGTGGAAGTTTTCCACCAGCCCTTGCCCTGCCCTGCCCCTTCTGGGCGCGTGGGCAGTTGAATACTAGAAAGATATCGACAAATTCTAATAGCCCACTCAGTCAGAAGTGTTGAGGCCCTACTTCTGTTAGAAAATAGCCTCCTACTTGGAATTTCCTTCTTTCAGAAATCTCCTCTTGGCAAGAAATTTCTTTCTCCTTGGAGAATCTCAATGTATTGAAACCTCCTTCACCTGGGGCATCTCTGCTAATGGAGAATCCCAAAGGAATCTCCTTTCTTAGCTTTTTGGTTCTTGAGGCTGAGCTGGGTACATTGCGGGACTGGAGTGGGAGAGGGTGGAGGAGGCTGCTGGAGGGAAGAGTTCCTGGTGTTTAGTCCAAAGGCTTAGATGGCCATTTATTACTTATGTTAGAACAATGTTGATAGATTTTAGATGCCATCTTGGGGGCAGGCTAGATGAGACAGAGTGGAAAGACGTGCATGTCTTGTAGGATTCTGTCACCCACTCCTCCTATGCACCCTCATTTCCCTACCTTCCCTGCAGGGCTGTGGTTCTCAATCAGAGGCGATTTTGGCACCCTGACATCAATTGGTTTTTTTTTTAGATGGAGTTTTGCTCTTGTTTCCCTGGCTGGAGTGCAATGGCATGATCTTGGCTTGCTGCAACCTTTACCTCCTGGGTTCAAGCGATTCTCCTGCCTCAGCCTCCCGAGTAGCTGGGATTACAGGCTCCTGCCACCACGCCCAGCTACTTTTTTGTATTTTTAGTAGAGATAGGGTTTCACCATGTTGGCCAGGCTGGTCTTGAACTCCTGACCTCAGGTGATCCACCCGGCTCTGCCTCCCAAAGTGCTGAGATTACAGGTGTGAGCCACTGCATCCGGCCTGCCCCTTCTTCAGCCTCAGCGCAAACCTACCTGGACCACCTGATTGCTTGCCACAGATACTCCCATTGCCACTGCCCCAGCCCCCTCAGTGTCCACATTTTTGGAGCTTTAGAACAGGGCAGAAGGACTTTTTCGAGCTACTCAGGAGGCTGAGGCGGGAGAATCGCTTGATCCCGGGAGGCAGAGGTTGCAGTGAGCCGAGATCATGCCATTGCACTCCAGCCTGGGTGAAAAAGTGAGACTCCATTTCAAAAAAAAAAAAAGAAGAAGAAGAAAAAGAAGAGGTGAAGGTGCCACAGCCTCTCACCCCTCCCACTGATGAATGTGGAGAGTGTAGTCTGTCCCTCCAGAGCAGGGAGGATGGAGGGGTGACGGTGTGAGGGGGGCACAAAGCTGGCCACGCTGCTACTGTCAGAGCGTCTCTCTTCACAGCTGATCTCAGGGGCAGCATTACTGAAGCCCATTACAGCCCTAACCAGAGACAAATACAGCAGCATTAATTTAATTTTATTTACATTTCAGAGTCATTTAGAGGGAATAAATTGAACCAAAGTTGATTGAAAGTGTCCTACAGGATGGCCCCTGAGCTTCCTCAGGCTACTGGGCTTTGATAAATGATGGCAGCAGCCTCTGCCCAGAGCACCAGCCCCCCTTGAAGGCAGGAGGGAGAGAAGCCAGGGAGGGGCAGCCCACTCCAGGCAGCCAGCACGGGGGCCCAGCCCCCTCTCCCTTCAGCACCCTCCACCGACTCCTTAAACAATTTGTCCTCTCTCTGCTCCAGTTGTCCTCACAGGCCCAGGACCTCTTCGTCCACCCACACCCGCCAGCCATCCTTTAATTAGATCCAAATAGGACACGCACTAATTGAGCTCTGACCATGTGTTCTGACACTTTGCTAAGTTCTGGGGCTACAGAGATGAACAAGCCAAACTTCATGGACTTTGGAGTCAGGATTCAACTTCCAGCGTCACCAGTTATGAGTTTTGTGATCAGGGCAAGTAATTTAAACTTTCTGGGTCTCAGTTTCTTCATCTCTAAAATGGAACAAAAGCAGGACATAAAAAGTGTGCTATGTTTTAAGAAGCGGATGTGGTTCCTCCTACCTCCTGAGTAGATGTTTCTTTCATTTAGGAAAACACCTTGATGAGTCTTCATAGAACATTTTGGTGAGAAAGAGGACAGACTGTGGGCCCAAGCTGGAAGAGAAGACCAGGCTAAGAGGAACTGAATTGCTTTGCATAGCAAAGGAGCAGGGTAGGAGGCCCAGAAAGGAGAAGAAGAGAGAAAAGCCCAGGGTTCCCAGCTGATAGCACTGACTGGATGCAGACCTCAGGAATGTTGGTTGGAGCTGAATATGGCTGTCCTTGTTTCATGGAGCCTGGACCCCATGGTTCATCCTAGTCCCTCCTTGAACCCATCCACTTTGGCTGCTTTTCTGTCCCAGGTAGGATTTAGAATTTGTGATCCTCACTGGGCCTAGAGTGCAATCACGTGCAATCACGTGCAATCATAGGATCAAGAAGGAACCTAGGAGAGACCCCCTCCAATGACAGAGAATGGCCAATACCTTTGAGTGCCTGCTCTGTGTTCTAAGAACAGGCAACACTCTAACCTATAGAGATAGAAATCAGAATGGTGATAGCTTTTGTGAGGGGCTGGCTTCTTGGGTGCTGGAAATGTTCACTATCTTTTTTTTTTTTTTAGACGGAGTTTTACTCTGTCACTCAGGCTGGAGTGCAGTGGCAGGATCTTGGCTCATGGCAACCTCCACCTCCTGGGTTCAAGCGATTCTCCTGCCTCAGCCTCCTGAGTAGCTGGGATTACAGGCGCCTGCCACCAGGCCCGGCTAATTTTTGTATTTTTTAGTAAAGATGAGATTTCAACATGTTGGCCAGGGTGGTTTCGAACTCCTGACCTCAGGTGATCCACCTGCCTCAACCTCCCAAAGTGCTGGGATTACAGGCATGAGCCACCGCGCCCAGCCGGAAATGTTCACCATCTTGACCTGGGTGGTGGTTATACAGAGGTGTGGTCTCTGTGTGTTTCTGTATATAAGTCAAGCTGTACATTTTAGACGTGCACTTTTTTGTATGTGTTAGGTTGGTGCAAAAGTAATTGCGGTTTTGACATTGCATATAATGGCAAAAACTGCAATTACTTTTGCACTGACCTAATACATTATACTTTAATAAAAGCAAACAAAAATTGGCTGGGCATGGTGGCTCACACCCGTAGTCCCAGTGCTTTGGGAGGCCAAGGTGGAGGATTGCTTGAGGCCAGGAGTTTGAGGCCAGCTTGGCAACATAGCAAGGGCCTGTATCTAAAAAAAAATTAAAAAATTAGCCAGTCATAGTGGTACATGCCAGGAGTCCTAGCTACTCAAGAGGCTAAGGTGGGAGGATCCCCTGAGCTCAGGAGTTTGAGGGAACAGTGAGCCACGCACTTCAGTCTGCAACAAAGCAAGATTTGTCTCTAAAACAACAACGACAGCAAAAACCCAAACAAAAAATAAGGAACAACAGGAATGACTTTATAAAGTTACAGAATGGTGCAACCCTCACCACAATCTTTTGCCCATTTGGCCTCATTTCTTTTCACACCCCCAGTCACTGGTAACCACAAATGTACTTTCTGCCTCTATGGATTTGTCTCTTCTGGACATTTCATACAAACAGAATCATACAATATGTGGTCTTTCACTAAGCATAGTGTTTTTGAGGTTCATTCATGTTCTAACATGTATCTGTGCTTTTTCTCCTTTTTCTTTTTTCTTTTGAGGCAGGGTCTCACTCTGTTGCCCAGGCTGGAGTGCAGTGGCATGATCTCAGCTCATTGAAGACTCCACCTCCTGGGCTCAAGTGATCCTCCTACCTCAGCCTCCCAAGTAGCAGCAACTACAGGTTCGTGCCACCATGCCCAGCTAATTTTTGTATTTTTTGTAGAGATGAGATCTCCCTGTGTTGCCCAGGCTGGTCTTGAACTTCTGGGCTCAAGCGATCTGCCTGCCTCAGCCTGGCAAAATGCTGGGACCACAGGCGTGAGCCATTGCACCCAGACTTTTGTCCTTTTTATTGCTGAATAGTGTTCCAATGTATGGCTATACAATTCACACGTTAATGAATATTTCAGTTTTTTCCACTTTGGGATATTATGAATAACACTGATATGAACACTTGTGTTCAAGTCTTTGTGTAGAATATATTTTCATATCTCTTGGGGGGTAGATACATAGGAGTGGAATTGCTGGCTGGTATAGTAAACTTATGTTTACTCTATCAAGAAACTGCCAAATGATTTTCCAAAGTATCTGTACCATTTTATATTCCTATCATTTTACATTCCACGTGAAGTTTCCTACCATTTTACATTCTAGATGAGGGTTCCAGTTTTTCCATATCTTCACCAAGACCTGTTACTGTATGTCTTTTTGGTAACAGTCATTCCAGTGGATGTGAAGTGATATCTCACTGTAGTTTTGATCTGCATTTCTATAATGGCTAATGATGTTGAACATCTTTTCATGTGCCTAATAGCTATTTATATACCTTGTTTGGTGAATTATCAATTCAAATGTTTTGTCTGTTTTGTTTTGTTTTTTAGGCAAGGTCTCACTCTGTTACCCAGGCTGGAGTGCAGTGGTATGATCACAGTTCATGGTAGGCTTGGCTTCCCAGTTTCAAATGATTCTCCCATCTCAGCTTCCCAAGTAGCTGGGACTACAGGTGCATGCCACCATGCTTGGCTAATTTTTTTGATTTTTAGCAGAGACAATATCTCACTATGTGGTCCTGGCTGATCTCGAAATCCTGAGCTCGAGCAATGCTCTCACTTCAGCCTCCCAAAGTATTGTGATTGCAGGCATGAACAACTGTGCCCGTCCCTTTTGTCCATTTTTAATTGTTGTCTTTTTATTATTGAGTTTCAAGTGTGTGTGTGTGTGTGTGTGTGTGTGTGTGTGTGTGTGTGTGTACTTCTTGGATAAGTTTCTCCCAGTCTCTGGCTTGTCTTTTCATTTTTTGGATGGCATCTTTTGAAGCATGAGTTTTTATGGACTTCTTTTCTTTTTTGCTTATTTATTGATGTATTTATTTAGAGGCAGAGTGTTGCTCTGCTGCCCAGACTGGAGTGCAATAATGCAATCATAGCCCACTGTGGCCTCCATCACTGTGTCAGCTGGACTTTTTAAAAATGAAACCAAAATAAACTGCTGTTGTGCTTAAGCCACTGTTTTTTGGGGTGTCTGTTATAAGCAGAAAATAACTCATGCAAGGCTGTTTTTCATGCACCAGTTCCCGTGGGCCATGCAATATGTACAGTATGGAGCATGAACAAGAAAGTGCAAAATTCTAAGAGGAATATTGGGAAATAAACCTTCTTTGGGTATTTGGCATTTGAGTTTGGAGATGAGTCAGGAAGTTTTCTTAGGCAACTCATCTGTCAGTTGTCTTCAGGTTGCTGATACTCACTCAGTCTGGCCAAACTAGGTCCCTTCAAGTTTTCAAAACAAATTCTATCAGTCTCTGTATTTTTTGGGAAAAAATTGAGGGGTGGATTCTAAACAATTTCATAGGGAAAGAACTCCCACCGCACAGCACACAGCTTCATAAGCCTCTATAAAATTAGACTGCTCTCCCTCAGAGTTCTGAGTGGGCTACCAACCTGGGAAACTGTCCTCACTCCCCTAAGCCTATGTCTTTTCCTGGGTCCCTTTTCTTGGATCTCTCTCAGGGAAACTTTCATTGTATTTATTTATTATTTATTTTATTTTATTTTCATTTTTTCTTTATTGAGATGGAGTCTCACTCTGTCACCCAGGCTGGAGTGCAGTGGTGCGATCTCAGCTCAACTGCAGCCTCTGCTCCCCAGGTTCAAGTGATTCTCCTGCCTCAGCCTCCCAAGTAGCTGGGATTACAGGCGCCCACCACCATGCCCAGCTAATTTTTGTATTTTTAGTAGAGATGGGGTTTCACTATGTTGGCCAGGCTGGTCTCGAACTCCTGACCTCAAATGATCCACCTGCCTCGGCCTCCCAAAGTGCTAGGATTACAGTCGTGAACCACCACGCCCAGCCTACTTATTTATTTTGGAGACAGGGTCTCACTTTGTCACCCAGGCTGGAGTGCATGGCAACATCATGACTCACTGCAGCCTTGACCTACTAGGCTCAAGGGATCCTCCCACCTCAGCCTCCTGAGTAGGTGGGACCACAACTGGAACCAGAGGTATGCACCACACTCAGCTAATTCTTTATTTTATTCATTAATTTTTTTGTAGAGATGAGGACTCACTATATTGCCCAGGCTGGTCTTGAACTCCTGGGCTCAGGCAATTCTCACGCCTTAGCCTCCCAAAGTGCTGGGATTACAGGTGTGAGCCACTGCACCCAGCCCAGGGATTTTACTTGTAGAGCTTATCAGTTAGTCCCAGCTGCTGCCACCAACCTTGTGCCAGCCTGCCCGTCACAGACCAGGTCCCACCCCATGGGTAATAAATCACTTCGTTCTGGCCACGCAGCTATCCAGTGTGGGTGAGGCATCTTCCACCTGCCAGCCTTTCTGATATTTGAGGAAGCTCTCAGATTCCAGAGCATCTTTTCTTCCACTTTCCAAACACATCTTTACTTGAATGCCAGCCATGTACCATGCTCTGTGCCAGGTGTTTTAACTATATAGTGTCATTTAGTCCTCAAAGAGCCTTTACTACCAGTGACTGCATTGCACAAGGAAGGTAACCAAGGTTCTGAGGGGTTGAATAGTTCTCCCTACATCCCACAGGGAGTAGAGGATCCAGCTGGGGTGTCCATGCTGCTATCTTCTCTTGGCCACTGCATATTGACCACATCTGGTGGCCCAGTCTTTACACTTAACTCTCCTTGTCACTTCTCATTCTCCTTGTAAGCTCCCCTGGAACACTCAGCTCAGAGTCCACTGACCTCAAGACTTTCTACTCCACAGCCTAGAAACTTCCTGAGGCTCAGACTATGTCCCCGTGATTAGAAGAGAAGCCCCATAAAGGTAGGCCCAGTGGTGCTTTCTTTCTCTAAATTCCTCTCAGCACCTGGCAAGGTTTTTCTTTTCATTTTGAACTCCTACTGAGATGAAACATTCATACAGAAAAGTGTACGAACCATACCTACACAGCTCAATGAATTCACACAAACTTAATGCACCCATGTAACTAGCACCAGGTCAAGAAATACAATATTACCGACTGGATGCAGAATTGCTGGAGCCCAGGAGTTCAAGCCTGAGCAACATAGTGAGATCTCATCTCTAAAAGAAATTTTAAAATTAGCCTGACATAGTAGTCCATGCCTGTGGTCCCAGCTACTCGGGAGGCTGAGGTAGGAGGATCACTTGAGCTAGGGCATTCAAGGCTGCAGTGAGCCGTGATTGCACCATTGCACTCCCGCCTGGGTGACAGAAAATATTACCAATTACTAGCCCCCCACAAGTCCCTCCAGTGTCCCCTTCCAGTCATTCCCTGCCCCTTGCAAGGCTAACCATTCTCCTAACTCTTGATATCATAGATTAGTTCTGCCTGTTTTTGAACTTGATATAAATGAAATCGTGTAGTAGGTATTCTTTTCTGTCTGGCTTCTTTTGCTCAACATTAATTTTATGCAAATCACTCCTATTGTTGTGTGTAGCTGTAGTTTGTTGGTTCATTCTCATTGAGAAGATTTAGGAGAGGATGAAAATTAAATATCATGTACTGTGGAATAAGAGACATGGTCTTGAAACCGGGCTCTGCCACTTACGAATTGAGTGTTGGACAGCTCATTTAGCCTCACAAACTTTGGTTTCTCATCTGTAGCATAAAGAAGATAAAATTTCTTTTGAGTGGCACTTGTAAGATTTATATTAACTACAATAACCAAAGTGTATAAAGCACCTACTAAGTTACTCCATGTGGAAAGCATTTAAAAAACAGAAGCATTATTAATTATTAAGGACTTATTTGCTCAATGATCTCTGAGAAGGAAATTGAACGCAATAGTTTTGAATTCTCAATGTTCATGTTTCCCCCGTATGTGCGTGCGCATGCACATATATAAACACATCTAGCTTCACACCTGTGTACTCACACCTGTGTGTACACACTCCTCCTGTACATGTGTATACACGCACACCCTCCCACCAGCATGAGCAGTATGTGGATTTTTTCTTCCAGCAGCCCTTTCAAGAACATACACCAGATGGGATTGGGTCTGCTACATGACTGAGCAGCCCCCACATCAGAAAGTCATCATCATTGAATCCATCATGTGGTGCAGCCTTGGCAAGGGCACAGCTCCTCGTCCTGCCCAATGGGCCGTGGAGGAATGCCTCCTCCTCCAGAGCAGAGAGCAGATATGGGCAGGCAGTTGCCAGGCAGTTGAGCCGGGAGAACAGATGGCAGCTGCACAGCCTCCTTCTAGCCCAGTTTCCTGGCTGCCGGGGAAGGAGTTGCAGGCGGCAAGGATCCTGCAGAAACCGCCCTCCCTATAACAGGCCATCTTGCCCTCTATCCTCTTACTGGGCTTTGGAGGTCCCAATCCTGCCCTGGTTCACCACCTGTGTGGCTTACCAAGCTGTGCAACTTGGGGCAGGATGAATATCCTGAGTGCTGGTACTAGAACTCTAATTCTCTAATCTCAGTTATAACCTCAAGTCTGCTCCTTTACTCCTAATCAGAAGACAACTAGCCTTACCTGATTAATCATGACCTTAGGAAGAAACCCCTGGATAATTTTAGCAAATATCACATCTCTCAAATCTACACACACACATTGTCTCCAGGTATAGGAGACACTGTAGATGCCAGTCTGGTCCGTATCCCTCAGCCCTTACCACTTCAGTGATCCCACCAAATTCCAATGGCCCGTCTCTGCATGTCTTTGCCTGAGGGTTTTCTCTGAAACCAGAGAAGCCTGTTTTGCCTGCAAAGGCAGGCTGAAGTGCAATGATCTATGTCAACTATTGATGGAAGTGGGTATATAAAACTCAGTGTGCCACCTCCCCCGACTCCTCAGATGGGATGGCTTTAATGTGAGGTTTTGCACAGTCACTCCCAATGATAACTGGCTCGATGATACACCCTTTATTGGCCACCTTGCCATCCCCAGCTGTGTTCTCTGTACCCCTCAATCCTTATCTCAGGCTCAGCTTCTGGGGAAACCCAAACGAACACACCAATCTTTTTTTTTTTTTTTGAGACTGAGTCTCGCTCTGTTGCCCAGGCTGGAGTGCAGTGGCGCGATCTTGGCTCACCGCAAGCTCTGCCTCCCAGGTTCATGCCACTCTCCTGCCTCAGCCTGCCGAGTAGCTGGGACTATAGGCACCTGCCACCACGCCCGGCTAAGTTTTCTTAGTACAGGTGGGGTTTCACCGTGTTAGCCAGGATGGTCTTGATCTCCTGACCTCGTGATCCACCCACCTGGGCCCCCCAAAGTGCTAGGATTACAGGCGTGAGCCACCGCGCCTGGCAATGAATACACCAGTCTTAACCTTTCGACTTCATCCTGTACATCTGAGCTTCTTTCCAGGTCATAAGCCTTTCCTTGAGCCACTAATTCTGTCTGGCATTCCAAATGTCTACTCCTGACTCTCAAGCCCAACCTCCCCAACTCTGGCTCCTTCCCTAATTTCACCCTAATAATGAATTCTAACCGTTTTATCCTAAAACTCTCTTTTTCACAAACAGCCTTGGTTCTTCTCCTCGAGTCAGTTCTTGGAGTCCATCCCAGCCACACATGGTGCATTCACCCCTAGAAATGATCTGTACAAACAAGCAAGGGACTTGATAAAAAACTTCAGGCCAGTCTCTGGGATCTCAGAGTTACATGGCAGCCTGGCTGTGGCTTCTGGCTGCTTTTTTAAAACCTCTAGACAAGAACGGGGAAGGCTGGGGCACGTGTCCTGGATGGTTCACCCCAGGGAGCTCAGGGCTGGCATCAAGCCTGATGGGCTGGGCCAATTCATGAAGTTCTTGGCCATTTATTGGTCTCTAAGCTGAGCCCGCTTGAGATGAGGTGGGATGGGGCAGGCTGTGGGGGCAAGATTTCTCTCAGCTGCCTGCTCCCCAATCCCTGCAATATCCTGTCTTTCCCCCTTTAATTTTCTCCTTTTCTTTTTTGCCTTTAAGCAACAAATAGAGGACTTAAAAAAGAGTGCCCATGTAGGCAATTCAAACATTAGCCAAGGTTAATTCACATATTTCAACTGCATTTTAGATATCTTGAAAATCAAAATTCCGAAACCATCATTCTCAGCAAACTATCGCAAGGACAAAAAACCAAACACCTCATGTTCTCACTCATAGGTGGGAATTGAACAATGAGAACACATGGACACAGGAAGGGGAACATCACACACTGGGGACTATTCTGGGGTGGGGGGAGGAGGGAGGGATAGCATTAGGTGATATACCTAATGTAAATGACGAATTAATGGGTGCAGCACACCAACATGGCACATGTATACATATGTAACAAACCTGCACGTTGTGCACATGTACCCTAAAACTTAAAGTATAATAATAATAATAATAATAATAATAAAGAAAATCAAAATTCCTAGATACAATTAAGAGACAAATGACAGAGAAAGAATTTGCAGTGCATATGACAATGAGTTAATATTCTTAAAACCAACATTAATGGCTGGGCGCAGTGGCTCATGCCTGTAATCCCAGCACTTTGGGAGGCCGAGGTGGGCGGATCACTTGAGGTCAGGAGTTCAAGACCAGCCTGGCCAACATGGTGAAACCCGTCTCTACAAAAAGTAAAAAAGTTAGCCAGGTGTGGTGGCAGGCGCCTGTAATCCCAGCTACTGAGGAGGCTGAGGCAGGAGAATCGCTTGAACCCAGGAGGCGGAGGTTGCAGTGAGCCAAGATCGTGCCATTGCACTCCAGCCTGGGCGATAAGAGCAAAACTCTGTCTCAAAAAATAAAATAAAATAAAATAAAATAAAATAAAATAAAATAAAATAAACCAACATTAATATCTTAAGCTAAATAAGAAAAAAAAAAGCTCCTGTAGAAAAACGGACAAAGGACATAAACAGATAATGCCATATAAAAGTAAATTCAAATTCAAATGGTATATTTATATACATTAAAAAACCCAGACCTCATTAATAACTCCCAAAATGCAAATTAAAACATCTATTATGTGCCATTTTTTACCTTTGCATTGGCAATGATTAAAGAGAATGATGATATCTCCAGGCTACGGAGGTATGGGGAAATCTGCTTTCTCATTCACTATTGGAGGGAGTGTAAATTGGTATGAGCTTTCTGGAGGGAAGTTTGGCCATATACAATGAACGTTAAGTGGCATTGAAATTCTTTTTTTTTTTTTTTTTTGAGACGGAGTCTTGCTCTGTCACCCAGGCTGGAGTGCAGTGGTGCAATCTCGGCTCACTGCCACCTCCACCTCCCGAGTTCAAGCGATTCTCCTGCCTCAGCCTCCCGGATAGCTGGGACTATGGGAATGTGCCACCATTCTTGGCTAATTTTTTGTATTTTTGGTACAGACAGAGTTTCACTGTGTTAGCCAGGATGGTCTCCATCTCCTGACCTCATGATCCGCCCACCTCGGCCTCCCAAAGTGCTGGGATTACAGGCATGAGCCACTGCGCCCAACCAGCCTTCCATTTTTTTTTGAGATGGAGTTTCGCTCTTGTTGCCCAGGCTGGAGTGCAATGACCTGATCTCGCTTCACCACAACCTCCACCTCCTGTGTTCAAGCAATTCTCCTGTCTCAGCCTCCCAAGTAGCTGGGATTTACAGGCACTTGCCACCATGCCTAGCTAATTTTTACATTTTTAGTAGAGACGGGGTTTCACCATGTTGGCTAGGCTGATCTCGAACTCCTGACCTCAGATGATCTGCCCGTCTTGGCCTCCCAAAGTGCTGGGATTACAGGCATGAAACACCGTGCCCGGCCTGAAATTCTTTTCCTAAAAAATTTATCTAAGACATTAATAGGACAAATGGACAAAGATGTTCATTGTAAAATTGTTTATAAAAGTGGAAAGCTCACGCCTGTAATCCCAGCACTTTGGGAGGCTGAGGCGGTCGTATCACGAGGTCGGGAGATCGAGACTATCCTGGCTAACACAGTGAAACCTCGTCTGTATGAAAAATACAAAAAATTAGCTGGGCATGGTGGCGGGCACCTGTAGTCCCAGCTACTCGGGAGGCTGAGGCAGGAGAATGGTGTGAACCCGTGAGGCAGAGCTTGCTGTGAGCCAAGATCGTGCCACTGCACTTCAGCTTGGGCGACAGAGCAAGACTTGTCTCAAAAAAAAAAAAAAAAAAAAACAGTGTGTGGCATTCCCCTGTCCCCCAATTCTCTCTTGTTCTTGCTTTCACCATGTAAAGTACCTGATCTTGCTTCACTTTCTGCCATAAGTAAAAGCCCCTTGAGGTCTCCCCAGAAGCTGAGCAGATGCTGATGCTATGCTTCCTATGCAGGCTGCAGAACCATGAGCCAATTAAATATCTTTTCTTTTATGAATTACCTGGTCTCGGGCATTTCTTTATAGCAATGCAACAACGGCCTAATACAGTGCTCAGTAAGTGTCTTTTGAATGAATAAATGAAAGCAAATGAATCAATGAGAGAAATGAATCAAGAGGAGATTCTTTAAATAATTCACCCATACAATAGTCAGTAGCCATTAAAAAGAAACAAATAATAATAACAATAGCACGTGTTTATGGAGCTTTTTTTTTTTTTTTTTTTTTTTTTTGAGACAGAGTCTCCCTCTGTGGCCCAGGCTGGAGTGCAGTGGTGCAATCTCAGCTCACTGCAACCTCTGCCTCCCAGGTTCAGGCGATTCTCCTGCTTCAGCCTCCCAAGTAGCTGGGATTACAGGTGTGCGCCACCATGCCTGGCTAATTTTTGTATTTTTAGTAGAGACAGGGTTTCACCACGTTGGCCAGGCTGGTCTAGAAATCCTGACCTCAAGTGATCTGCCTGCCTAGGCCTCCCAAAGTGCTGGGATTACAGGTGTGAGCCACCATGCCCGGCCTGAGCTTGTACTACACACTACATACTACGCTAAGATTTCCTCACAGATTATATACTTTAATCATCACAATAAACCTATGAAATAGGTAGATACTACTAGGGATGGTCAGGATTTTCTCATGGAACATAATGAAACTCAATTTAAATTGTGCAGGTAAAAGAAGGAATTTATTGGCCCATGTAACTGAAAAGTCCAGAGGGTAGCTCTGGCGTCAGACTTAGTTGGATTGAAGGACTTAGACAACGTTGTGATGATTTAGTCTCTCTCTCTCCAACTCTCTTCTTTCCCTTCTGTGGGCTCGATTCCCCAGGCAGCCTCACTACAGATGGTAGGTCCTTCAGCAGCTCCAGGCTTACATGGTCTTTGGGACACTTGATCTCAGAAGACAAAGCTCACAAGTCACCCTAGGGAGGGCCCTGCCTTTCCCTGAGCCAATCCCAATTCCTGTGTCCAGAAGGATAGGGCTCCCTGACGAAACCAGTGAGTGTGTGCACCCCTGAAGAGCAGGGAGAAGTAGGCAGATAAAAACCACAGCTCATTACAAATGCCTCCTTTACAGATGAGGAAACTAAGACACAGACCAGCTAAGTAACTTCCCTCAAGTCTCTGAGCTAGTAGGTGGCAGAGCCCACATTTGAACTTAGGCAGCCTGACTTTTGAACTTAGGCAGCCTGAGTTTGGAGCCCATGATTTTAGTGTGATAGTTAATGTTACATGTCAACTTGACTGGGCTGCACAGTACCCAGATATTTGGTTAAATATTATTATGGGTGCATCTTTGAGGTTGAGATTAACATTTGCTACAGTCTGAATACTTGTGTCCCCCAACACACATAGTCCCCAGTTTATATGTTGAACTCCTAATCCCCATGGTGATGGCATTAGGAGGTACAGCCCTTTAGAAGATGATTAGATAATAAAGGCACAGTCCTCATGAATGGCATTAGTGTCCAAGGGAGCTCATTTGCCCCTTCTACCATATGAAGACATGGCAAGAAAGTACCATCTATGAACCAGAAAGTGGGCTCTCATCAGATCAAATCTGCCAGTGGCTTGATCTTGGACTTCCCAACCTCCAAAACTGTGAGGAATAAATTCTTGTTGTTCATAAGCTGCCCACTTTATGGTTTTTTTTTTTTTTTTTTTTTTTTTGAGATGGAGTCTCACTCTGTCGCCCAGGCTGGAGTGCAGTGGCGCAATCTTGGCTCACTGCAAGCTCCGCCTCCTGGGTTCACGCCATTCTCCTGCCTCAGCCTCCCGAGTAGCTGGGACCACAGGCGCCTGCCACCACGCTAGGCTAATTTTTTGTATTTTTAGTAGAGACGGGGTTTCACTGTGTTAGCCAGGATGGTCTTGATCTCCTGACCTCGTGATCTGCCCACCTCAGCCTCCCAAAGTGCTGGGATTACAGGCGTGAGCCACCGCGCCTGGCCCTTATGGTATTTTGTTATAGCAGTTTGAATGAATTAAAACAAAATGGTAGACTGAGTAAAGTAGATTGCCCTCCCCAAGATGGGCAGGCCTATTGAAGGCCTGAACAGAAGAAAAGGCTAAGCAAGAAAGAATTTGCTGTCTGCCTGAAAGCCTTTGAGTTGGGACATCCATCTTCTCCTGCTTCCGAATCAGACTAGAACTTACACCATGGATTCTCCTGGTTCCCAGGCCTTTACACTGCAAATCTTGGGACTTCTCTGCCTCCATAATTGTGTAAACCAATTCCTTATAATAAATCTCATATATAATTTCCCATTGGTTCTGTTTCTTTAGAGAACCCTAACTAAAAGACTATACTGCAGAACTATATATGGAAGATGTACGTGACTTATTTCAAAGTTAAAAAAAAATCAGCTAGAGTATACTATGTGTTACATGATTCCATTTATATGACCATACACAAATGAAAAGCCTAGACGGCTATATACCAACTGTTAGCAAAGGGTATCTCTAGAGGACGATGGTATTAGGGAGGACTTCTGCTTTCTCATTGTTTGAATTTCTTTTTCCCCACAAAGGTCAAGTATTTCTAGGAAAAACAATTATTTCCATTCTTGAAAATAAATTTAAAAGTCAGCAAAATCAAATTTCACACCAAGATGGGTGTGAGCAGCAGGGAAATCAGCAATTGCTTCATGAACGTGAGGAACATGGGACGTGAAATGGCAGCATTTTCTCCCCTCCTCCCTTTCTCCCCGTCGCACTCTTCATTTTATTTAATTCATTTTTAGTTTCCTGAGACAGGCTGGAGATGGTATGCTTGGTTGCCCTTCTTTTCCCTTGGCTCTGAGAGTTTATCCATGCCAACTGGACCATAAGTGACTAAAAGAATCAACTGCACATCAGAAAACTCAAGGGCCAGAAGGAACCTTAGAGAGGATCTCGTTCAATGCCTTTTGAAAAAAAATTTCTCATCCCCTTGGAAAGCCAAATTCAAATGAAAGAGGAGAGCAAAACTCAGAATTCTTGCTCTCTGAGAACATAGCGTAAAAGCCACTCGTCTAATCTAACCATATTGTTTTGCAGAGGGGTCACTCGTCTAATCTAACCATATTGTTTTGCAGAGGGGTCTCAGGTCTTCCACTGTAGGCCAACTGTACCTCACATTCCTGAGTCTACATAGGTGACTTGGAGTGCATGTATTCTGGACTTTCAGAGGCTTAGTAGTCCCTGAATTAGGCAACAAGAAATGTGACTGGGCAGGGTCTCTGCCTCCTGCTCTGGTCACAGATGCCCCACTTTCTCTTTCCTGGCAGCCCAAGGCCTTGGATCCAACCTGGATTATTGAAATTGGCTCTCATTCTCTCCAGAGGTCCAGGATGTTATAGGGTTCTCTGCTCTCATTCGTCAGTCAGGGTCAAGGGACCCAAGAAAAAGGAGCTAGGGAAAATAACTCAGTGGCAAGGCAAAGAGCCTTTGTTAAGCTCATAAAACTAGAGTTGGGAACTGAGATTAAATTTTACAGATAATATTAGGATTAGAATTAAATCTAGAGTTTGGATTGGACATTGGGGCTAATACTAGGTTAGGATGGATTATAATGATGACAAGTTTTGAACTGAGAGTGAGTTTCAAGGGTAGGGATTAGAATTAGAGTGGAGGATCATCTGCTTTCTCTCAGGTCTCTACAAGTCCCTTCTTTTTGGTAAAGTCTTCCAGGGCTAAGTAGGTCTTTTGAATTCTTACCAAGAAGGCAGCCATTGTTTGCTCCTGACCTTGAATCATACCAGGCTCTTTTCTATACACCCTCAGTTCCTACTTCAAAAGCTCTGGCTGCTGAAGAATTAATATTATCCTTTACTAGACCCCACTGAGCACGTAGATGGCTCCTTTTGGGCCAATGGTGATTGCAAACTACTCCCAGGAGTCACATCACAGGTTCATCTGGAACATAATACACGACAGAAAATAGTCAAGACAATTACGACAAAAGCACTCTGCCAATTACCCCCACACTTTGCTCCCCTAATTTGATGATGCCCTGAAATTTTATGTCCTCTCTGAGCTTTCAGTCAACTAAGTGGGCTTGTTATAGGAATTGGATCAAGGGCTCTATAGATAGAGACACTGGGAACTAAGAGTAAAGAGTTATCTGGCTAGGAACGTCATAAGCAGCAGCTAAATACTGTCTCATCTCATACAACTTCAGTGTGACAAAAAAGCTGGCAGCCTTGTGATGAATGAGGTCAGAAAAAAAAAAAAGCAGAGAGCTTCAATGTCTTCTAGGGAGGGTGGGTTGGTAACTAAGACATTCCCCCAGGATTGTCTAACTATGACTCCAATCCATTTGTGGGTCTCACATTGACTAACAAATTATTGTGCTTTTATTCATACAACATTTATTGAACGCCTCCCAAATGCACCTTGAGTATTGTGTATATCACAGTAAACAAAACAGACATGATTTTTGGAGAGGAGACTCACAAATACATATTTAAACTATGATAGGTACTATAAAGAAAAAGAGTGCCATGTAAGATAATAATGGGGCCACCAAATTTTGATTGGGGCTTGGGTCAGGGATGACTTCTTTGAAGGAGTTCCATTTAAATTCAGGTCTGAATTTGTTTAAGTAGGAGTCAGTCTGTTGAAAATCCTTAACATGTCAATTGTTCTTTATGCTTTTGAAGTTCAGCTGCAATTTACTCCTTTATGGTCTGTGGTGGACATTTTTTGGAATCTTTGCCAAGTACATAACTTTGAGAACATAGCCTACAAAGATGGGGTTCTGGCAGCCATGTCTGCTTTACAAAACAAAAAGACCTGACTACATAACTGCCCTGTTGGTCAAAGGTGATTGTACCAAGAGTACACAAGCGGACATAAATCGAACCAATCAGTTTCTTTCTCCTGGGGATTGGGATTCATAGATACTAATTAGTCTCTGTTTGTTCTTGAAGTGAGGCTGGGTAAACCTGGATTACGTTCCCAAAAAAGCAGTGAAAACAGCTCTGCCGAGATTATAAAGCAGCTTTGTAGAGAGAAGCAGAGATGGAAGAACCTGTAACCAGAGAGAAAAAGATATCGAAAAAAACCAAACACTTGGCTTCCTGTTGATGTATTAGGTACCTATTTCAGTCCTTCATGCGATCTTACTGCTCTCTGTGTCCTTGGGTTGTATAAGATTATCTCCTTGTGTTGTGTGTATACATATAAAGAGAAAAGGCAGCTGAAGCAGTCAGGAACAGGAGGACAAAGGAATGGAGATGTGGGAAAGCAAGGTATTTGAGGAATGGCAACTAGTGTCTGCTTCGCAGAGTGAATAGAGAAGAGTAGAAAATGAAGTCTGAGAGGAAGACTGGAACCAAATTATCTACATTATATGTAGGGACCTGCTGGTGAATGCTACATTTTATTAATCCTTTTAGTCTCCAGAGTGCTTAGCAAAGTCCTTGTGTATACTGGGTACTGAATAAATGTTTGTTGAATAACTGGCAAACAGGAAAGCAGTTTGGAAAATGACAATCACTTTTTATGTTGAATTCTCCTTTTAGTTGTCGAGTTTCCTTTTCTGTACATAAAAGAAAATCATCAAGATGCCAAGAGAGATAATCCCACTTAATCTTTGTTAAACTCAAAGGCTGTTAAGTATCTCACGCATGTGGGAATTTTATGTCGGCTTAAATGAAGATTTAAGGGTAATATGAATCCAATGAGAGCAAGGTGTGCTGTATGGCTTTATCCTTTCTATGCATTTTTTCTTTCTTTCTTTCTTTTTTTGAGACAGAGTTTCGCTCTCGCTCTTGTTGCCCAGGCTGGAGTGCAATGGCATGATCTCGGCTCACTGCAACACCCGCCCTCCGGGTTCAAGCGATTCTCCTGCCTCAGCCTCCCAAGTAGCTGGGATTACACGCGTGCCACCATGCCCGGCTAAGTTTTTGTATTTTTTTTTTAACTAGCGACGGGGTTTCACCATGTTAGCCAAGCTGGTCTCGAACTCCTGACCTCAGGTGATCCACCCGTCTTGGCCTCCCAAAGTGCTGGGATTACAGACGTGAGCCACAGCGTCCGGCTTTTTCTATGCACTTTCTTACAGATATACTTATTGAAGGCTTTGGAAAATCCACCAAATTAAAACTAAACATTGTGCATAATAAATCAGCACTCACATTTTAGGGTGTTTTGGCTTTAAGTGCTTGATTTTTGCAATCATTAACTTCACCATCAACAGCATCTGTGGCATATTAAGCTAAATGCGATCCTTGCTCTTTAGAGGCCAAAATAAACATCAATGTTAACAAACCCACACAGTATGCACAAACAGAAATGTGATTTGGTATATAAAGAAATAAGATAGCAACATTTGGTAATCAAATTAATCTAGGTAATAGTCTCTCTGAGGCTCTGATATACCCGACAGGCAAGGAGGGTATACGGCAGCTATTCCTAAGAGCCAGGAAGTCTTCCTCAGCGATGGGTCTCCAAAAGGTCTGGAGGATGTTGCCTCCGTGTTGAATTAGTCATCAATAATCGATTTCTCTGTTCATGACTAACTGGAGATCAGAATGAGCTCAGGATCAAGGACTAGGATCGTTAAAGGACTCATTTTTTTAGTGTCTCAAACTTCTTTGGTCACTTACCAATTTCCATTACTGATTCAGCTACAGCTCCCCTTTCCCCTCCAAAAACCAAACGTGTCAGCTGTAGGAAGAAGTGCGGCTCTCCTAGCCTGGGCATAGGGACTCGCCTGGGCATAGATAATGTACTTGTGGCTCTGTGGTTGGGAGTGGAGACAAGGAACTCCCCAACACCGGTGGGGGAGAAGAGACAAGGAAGTTGCCCCAGACAAGGGGCTGGGGGAGGGGCATTTCCCAAAAGTTCCTGTCAAGAGACCAGTATACCGGGTGGAACTATAAGAGTTGTTTGGGTGTGGCGGGACCAGGAAGAGAGAGAGAGATGCCCAGGGAGTTGGCAAATTGGGGAGAATGGCTCCCCGGAATCGCCCAGGAGCCAGAGCGGCAGCTCCAGGGACCTTGACTCCGACGCCCCCGGGAAGCCAGAGCTCCACTTCCGCGTTTGGCATTGCTCCCCCAGGCCCCTCCTCGCACTCGGTTACGGGTTCTACGGGCGCATGCGCCGCCACTCTGGGACTGGCCCAATTTACCCTACACAACTAATCTGCTCCTCCCCCTCCCGCTTGGAGCGCACCATTCGCGTTTAGGGGGAGGCACCGCGCCCCGGAGTACTCAGAAACCTGCTCCCCTTCTTCAGACAGGGGGAAGATAAGTTTGCTTCAGATTCTAAAAGTTCTAAGAATACGAAGGCCTCAGCCGCCCGTCGCCGGGCGACAGCCCGAGGCTCTCGTTTTCTCCCACAGCCCCGCACTCCGCCTTTGAGGCGCGGAACGAAGTGGCACGCCCGGATCCCAGCTGATCAGCGGCTGGGCTTTGGCGTTGGCTCCCCCGGGCGAGACCATTGTGACTCCTCGGGAGGGGCGCACGCCGGGGAGGGGGCGGAGCGGCCATTGTCCGGTCAGCGCAGCCTCCGGGGGAGGGGACGGTGTTACGGAGACAGCAGGGCCCGGGGCTTCAGAGCGGCCGCTGCGACTCCGGAGCCGGCGGGGGGCTCCGGTCCTTCCCTGCGCCACCGCACAGGACATCTCTCTGGCTGGGGAGCGGCGGTGAGACCCGCCGAGGGCGTCTGTGTCCCTCCTCCCCCGCGGTCCTCGGTGCGTCCGCACGCCCCTCCTCCTCGGCTCCCTCCTTCTTCTCTCCGCGCCTCTCCGCCCCCTCCCCGTCTCCGCAGGCCGAGTGGTGCGGCCCGCCTCCAGCTGACCGGCCTGGAATCCCGGCTCCGAGCCCCGGACTCGCGCCCGCCCGCGCGCCCGCTCCTTCCCCCTCCCCCCGCCCCGAGCCCCCCGACGCCGCCGCCACCGCCTCCTCAGAGCGGGGCCCGGGCCCAGCCGCCGCCACCGCTGCCGCCGCCGAGCTCCGCCGCCGCCGAGCACCATGGGAGACGCTGGGAGCGAGCGCAGCAAAGCGCCCAGCCTGCCGCCTCGCTGTCCCTGCGGCTTCTGGGGGTAAGTGCCCGGCCGGGTGGGGGCGGGGGGCGGGGGCCGGGGGCGCAGACGCCAGGGCAGCCTGGGCAGGCCTCGGGGCCCGGGAGGCCGGAACCTTGGAGGCTGGGCCCAGCCCGGGCCTACGGGGAGGGGGTGGGGGTCGCGTTCCGGGGAGGGGTGCCGGGTGGGGAGCTGGGGGTGGGCAGAGAAGGCCCTGCCGGGGGTGCGTTGCTACCCTTTGGGACTCGCCGGCCTGAAGCTCGGGCCCACGGGGGCCTCCTGGGCCACGGGTGAGGGGGGCAGGGCGGCGGGGAGGGATGAGGGGGCGGCGTTGACCGCTCCGGGAGGAGCAGGGGTGCCCCTTCCGTGGGCATGTGGAAGCCAGCCCTTCCTCCCTCCCGGGGCGTGAGTTGGTGCCCAGGCACTAGGAGGGTATTTCCTCTGACTTCTTCACCTCCCCTCCTCCCCGTCCTCCGGAGACTTGCATCATCACTTCCTAGATTATATCCCAGTGCCCCATTTGCTTTTAGGAAGCTATTCACACGTCACCCGTTTGTAAAAACCGAGTCCAGAACCAGGCTGGGGTAAAGTTATAAGATTGTTGAGGTCTCACCTTCATGTAAAACACGTTTCAGGAGATATGTAAAATTTCCTTGTCAAAAAGGAAGAAAAAAACCACACAAAACCTGAAGTCAGCCTGGATTGGGGAATATGAGATCCAGTTTCCTCAGTTGGCTCTCAAATTCTCCTCTTTCTCAATTTAAGTAAAAATGATAAAAATGTTGACAGTGGGTAGCATATATTGTTTGGCCATCATGTGTTAAGGCGAAAAAAATGTGAGGTGGGAAATCAGCTCCTCTTCCTCCCCCCATTACTGTTTAAATTCTCCTGGTAACACTTTAAGCTTCATGGATTGCCACCTAACAGGTGCCTCCATCATACCACATGACTGTAGTTCTGCAGTAAGAAAGCTGGAGACTTTGAAGGCTGGCTTTTGTGATTTGAGTCCCTTTTCTCTTTTATCGTTTTGTTTTAGTTTTATTTTTTGAGAGATTCCGTATATTTGGAGACATAGAGGCAGGAAGGAAGATTGTTTCTGGTGAGGACATCTTGGGAAGAAGTATGGAAGTAGTTTTCCCTTTGCTATCTCCCATATTGTAGGAATGGTTAACAGAAATTAAGAGTAATTTTGGGAGTGCAGAGAAAGATTAGAAAGTGGATCTTAATGTAGACTTCTGTGGAAGTTGTCGTATCTCAAGGTTATGACAAAGAAGTGGATTTTCATTTTCTCATTTTTCTGCCTTTCTCAAAAATTTCCCTGTGGAAGGACATTAGTCAAAAATAAGTTGTGGCATATAAAAAGTCCTAAAAATGTGAAAATATTTCTAGTCTTCCCTTCATTTTGATTTGAAAATAATTGGTTTGCCTGTGAAGTGCTTTCATGGACTGTCTAATTCCCACAAGAATCTTGCGAGGTAGGAACCATTATCTCATTATTAGCTGGGGAAACTGAGGCTTTGGGTGGATAATTTGCCGCTTCACACAGGGAGTGTAGGGTGGAGCTGGTGAGCTCTTTAGAGTGCGTAGTACCATCATGTTTATGGTATCAGTCTGCTGCCCTGGAAAAATCTTGTGTCACAAGCCTCAGATTGTAACTCATTGTAAGACATATGTCCTAAAGAAAGTCGCTGCCAGTGGCAGCTAATGCTCAGGATGTATCAGGTCTCTTTCCTGGCAACACGTTTATGTCCTTCGGACTGTTACCATGAATGGAATCTTTATCGAAAGACTTATATCAAGGCTTAGAAACTAAGGAAATGGAATAGCCTTTTACCTTTATTTATTTATTTATTTTTGAGTCGGAGCCCTGCTCTGTTGCCCAGGCTGGAGTGCAGTGGCGTGATCTCGACTTACTGCAGCCTGCACCTCCCGGGTTCAAGCAGTTCTCCTGCCTCAACCTCCCAAGTAGCTGAGACTGCAGGTGCACACCACTATGTCCGGCTAATTTTTGTGTTTTTTAGGAGAGACGGGATTTTGCCATGTTGGCTAAGGTGGTCTCAAACTTCTGACCTCAGGTGATCTGCCTGCCTTGGACTCCCAAAGTGCTGGGATTACAGGCATGAGCCACCGCGCCCGGCCAGCCTTTTACCTTTAGCCGGTAGGGTTCTGATAATGCCAATAGAGTTTGGTGGCAGCAGACAGGAAAAGTTACACTAATGTTGTACTTGACCTATAAGCAACCAGGGCTTCTTTTTAGATATTTTCAGTCTGATACTTTTTATGAACTTCAGTTTACCTAGCAGGAGTAGTGACCACAAAACTAGTATTTTTATCGTGAAAAGTGTTCTTTTTGGTGCAATGTTTTAACCTTTCCTAAGGACGTTTGTAGACAATTGTGTAGTTTGTATTTTATACCAAAGCATAGCAACATTGCCGCCTTGTTTCCATCGTATCACAACTGACTTTGGACATGTTTCCCTTACTGTATGGGCCACATTCATATTTTGTTCACTGAGTAAACTTAGAATATATTTAACAGATATTTGAATGCCTGTGATATAATGGTGGGCAAGGAGGTGCTGGCCCCATACTCTGGGGCAGGGGGCACAGGGAAGTAAACTGACAGTTGCAATACGTTGTACAGGTGCTCTAGGGGAGGGGCACCTACCCTAGCTGGGGTGGAGGTAGAGGAAAGTAGCCTGGAGAAAGTGACACTTTAGCCTAGACCCACAGGAAGGGTAGAAGTAGAGTATGGAAACAAATATTCCTTTCAGGCAGTGGGACTAACATGGGTGAAGGCCGGGATGTGAGTGAGAGCACTACTCATTTGAGGAACAGGTTTGTTGGGTCTGTTGATAGATTGTGAAGGGGGATCACAATCTAGAGATAAGGGGGTCTGTTGGTAGATTGTGAAGGGTGATCACAATCTAGAGATAAGGCTGGGGAATTGAGAGGAATTGGTGATCCAGGGCCCTCATAGCATTGTAATGCTGAGGACTTTGGACTTTTATCCTGAGTGCAGTGAGGAGCTACTCAAGAACTTTGATCAGGGAGTGATGTATATCTTTAATGTGAAAGACTATTGGTGGTTCTTGAGAATGGCTTGGGTGTGTGGGTATGACTCTGTGTGTCTGTATGAATGTGATATACGTGTTTCCGTGGAACGTTGCCAAGTCCAGATTTGCCCTGTGGTGGCGTGAACCAGTGTAATGCCTGGGGAGAATAGAGCGAAGTACATAGAAGTGAAAGCCATTCAGGAGGTATCTTTTGCCTTTTCCCTTCATGAAAATGAAGGTGAATATGTTTTAAAAATTTTATGCAGCTTTGCACTCCTTGGAAGCTCTAGGTCTAAAGTCAGCTAGCCAGGGCGCACACCCAGCCCTTTGCTGAGGAGCCTCTCAGCAGAATGTTTTGGCTCCGGCAGACTAACGGCAGTTCCTTTAGGATTGCTGCTCTTTCGAGTGACTTAGGCTGCAGGACTTGCTGCCCAGCATTGCCCAGTCAGGACACTAATCAGTGTGGCTCGGTTGAATAGGAGAGCTTTAACTGCATTCTCTTGTGAGAATGCAGTTGAAGAATGCCAAGAGGAGTGTACAATTCAAATGCGTTAGTGCTTGTAACACGTGGTTCCAGTTCTCTCCCTCTTGGCTTGTATGGTATAAATTGTGTACAGGTAATTAAGTTATTTTATAGAGGCCATCTCCACTGGGAAACTTTGCTGCCATGGAAATTGTTGAATATTAACCAGTTGATGATAAAGTTGCAAGTTGTTTGTATTATATATGTATTTTTTTGTATTTTTTTTTGGGGGGGGGTAGGAAGTTTTGCTCTCATTACTCAGGCTGGAGTGCAATGGCGCAAGCTTGGCTCACCGCAACCTCTGCCTCCTGGGTTCAAGTGATTCTCCTGCCCCAGCCTCCTGAGTAGCTGGGATTACAGGCACGTGCCACCACACCCAGCTAATTTTTTATTTTTAGTAGAGACGTGGGAGACTGTTATCGAACTCCCGACCTCAGGTGATCCTCCCGCCTCGGCTTCCCAAAGTGCTGGGATTACCGGCGTGAGCCACCGCGCCTGGCCGGTATATATTAACGTCATATTTTTAGGATTAAAACAAATTTTTCTTGGAGACATGGACTTAAAACTTTAAGTGAAATATGAACATTTTCTTGGCTCATTTTAGGCATTTAGTACTCAGGCAAAAAACGTATTTGTTGATAATTGTTGTATCTGAAATGAAATAGTCAATTAGTACACTTTCTTTAGATGAAATATACACATACACGAAAACACTTTTAAACTATACAGATATAAGTGGTATTAGTTGAAGCTGTATTTTAAATTATTTAGACATTTAAAAAGTGCTGAGGTGTGTAGATTCTTCACAAATGTGAAGACCTAGAATATTACAGAAAAGATAGGAAGAAAAATAAGTATAAGAATATAGTATGTGTATTATAGGATAATAGGGTAATTAGGATGGAAGATGGAATTGTTTTCTAATTCTATTTAAGTACAGAAATATAATTACTATTGATATTTTGCTTTTACAATTGGAGATAATCTCGTGATGACATATGGAAACCTTGGGAATTACTATTTTGTAAATAAGCTTAAAGCGTACTAGACATAAATGTTCAGTCTGGTATTTAGAGAATAATGGAATAGTTAAATATGGGGCTTATTAGGTAAATTATTCATTGTTTTGATTTTAAAAAAGAAGCTCTTCTAACAAGTCATGACAAAGCAAATATCATATGGGTTCATTTTCTTTAGGGAAATAGATTTTGTTAGTATTTCATTTTTATAATCATTGCTGTTGAAGCATTTTGCCTACAAACTAAATTGGCTGGATAAAAGATGTACTTTAAGATAGGGATGGGTAGAGATAAGGATAGGGGTAATCTCCTAAAATAAATTTCATTTCTGAAATCGGTAATAATAGAAAGTTGATTGAAAACATAACATGATTTGTTTTATTCCACTTTATTTTTGGCAATCATAAGATACTGACTAGTTTAGAATCAATGTATATATTTTTTCCCTCTGAGCCCAGGCTTAGTGAATTGCTGTCAAACATCACCTTTGTTACTGTCACTGTGTAGATCATCTAGCTAGTGTGCTTGGCTCCTCATAGTGTGTGGACTTCACACTCATTTTGCCTCTTCAGTCTCAGTCTCCCAATTGTAACATGTTGCCACACTTTAACCAGCTTAACTTGGGCTTTCAAGATCATGTGAACACAGTATGAATTACTAATCAGTAGAATGTTCGTTCCATTGATGTCACTACTTATCCCTTGATTATAAAACCCCCTTAAACATTCTATTAAAAAACAAAATGCTTGCTTGTGGAGTTTTACTTTGCATCTTTGAGTATTGTGTGCATCTGAAGATAAAACATGATTTAAATTAAGTATTCACTGTCGGTTCATTTATCTGCTTGCCCTATTTTCCTCATTACATTTGGGGGATTCAGAAAATAGGAAACTCGTCCCTTTGATGTGATGGAACACAGGGAAATAATTTTTTTTTTTAATTTAAAGAAACATAGTCTTCTTTCTATTGGTTTGAGGCAATAGCTTTTTAGAGTTAGGTCCAGTTAGCATATGGCTCTTTTGGTTTTATCATCTTCTCTTCTCCATTTACCGTCTCCCACTCTTCCAAAATAGAAGAGAATTCTAAACTTTAAATCATACTGAAAAGTTTTGACTAAAAATCTCTTTATAATCCTTAATGGTATCAAAATTAACATTAGTTTTCACAAATTAACCTTTCCTTGCTCTAAAAATCAGAGAACTAAGAAGGCTTTGAAAAGAATAAAGTCCTTAAAAAGAAACCAAGAACAGTATATAAAAGATTATTTATTTAGAACAGAATACTTAGAGGGTGAGAACTAATATCATTTGGATTTTTTATTAGGTCATAGGGAGGTTCTGTCCATGCAAAGTGATGTAGTATTTTGAATTCTTGCAATAATCACAGATTAAAATTGAGGTTAAATATTGTTGTTTTCTTTTTCACCCAGGCCTGGGACTGGCAGGCTGCATGGCTTTGTGGCTGAGGCTGGAAGCAGAGCCTATCAAAGTCCCCTCTCTTGCAAAAAAAAAAGAAATTCTTTTCTGTTTTTGAAGAAAGGTTAAGGTTGATATCTCAGCAAAGCTACTTGAAGGAAGTGATTGGTCTTGACCCAGCACTTGTAATGCAGTACTTACAAAATCATCCAGATTCTGGCTTTTTGGATTTCGTGGGACTTTGTGTCAGAGTGGTTTTCAAAAGAGGGCCTTCATTCCAACTGTGTGGATGACACTGATGTTACTCAATTTTTCTAGGGTTTCTGAGGAACAGCGATCCTGCTCTGGGCTGGGTCCCTGTGTAACAAGATTACATTGCTGAGTGAGATATTTAAACATAAGACATTTCCTGTAAGTGTCATATGCAGAAAAGGAGGTTAAGGAACTTTATTTACAGTGTCTTGGCTGGATGCTGTGGCTGGCGGCTGTAAACCCAGCACTTTGCGAGGCCAAGGCGTGAGGATCACTTGAGGTCAGGAGTTTGAGACCAGCCTGAACAACATGGTGAAACTCCGTCTGTACCAAAAATAAAAAAATTAACTGAGGTGGTGGCATGCTCCTGTAGTCTCAGCTACTTGGGAGGCTGAGGCAGTAGATTCGCTTGAATCCAGGAGGCAGAGATTGTAGTGAGCTGAGATTGTGCCACTGTACTCCAGTCTGGGCAACACAGTGAGACTCCATCTCAAAAAAAAAAAAAAAGTGTCTAATAATCAGAATCTAAAACTGTATCCTAGAATGGCACTGCCCAGTATGGTGGCCATTAGCTGTAAGTAATAATTTAAATTCAGATTAAAGTTAAAAATGTGGTTTCTCAGTCACAGTAGCTACTTTTAAGTACTCACTAGCTCAGTAACTAGTGATTACCCTATTGAGGAACACAGATATACAACATTTTCATCCTTCAAGAAAGTTATGTTGGACAGTGCTGTTCTAGAATGTTGACTGATGGGCAGCCAGAATTTTCAAGCCTGTTTTCTTGTGGGCTCTCTAGATCCCTTTTTTTCTTACATTCTGAACATGAGGGACTTAGCTAATTTAGCTCTAAATTTCTTTCCGGCCCTAACATAGTTTATTTCCACTGGGAGAAGCAATGCTATTGTTAATCCAGATTACTGGGATGTGTTCCTTTGGTCAGGAATGGGAATTAACATTTCAGTAATGGGAATTATAATGTAGTCTGTAATTTGAACCTTTTTTGAAGTGTTACTTTTGAGTCAGACATTTTAGCTCTTTTAGCACTGTTAAACTGGCAACCTCAGCGGCTTGTACAGGGAGGTATTGGTCTAACAATCAGTTTCTTTTTGGTTCAAAGAATTTTTGAAGCTACTCACCTTTTTGAAAGTTGATAGGTTGTAGATAGGCTCTAGTTAGCTTTTATGACTTTTGTGGAGGAAAAATATTTGTTTTCACAAATGTAAATCTCATGGCAGCTTTTTATATGTGATTAGGGATAAGTGCATTGGATTTTCTGGTAAATTCAGGTTACCATATATAGAGAAAGGTGGGGTATATTGGAATTTCCAGCAGTAGTGGACAAAACCAAACTGATCTGTGATGCACCCAGGCTAATAGAAATAAGTGAATGAAAATGCATGTCATCCATGAGGCTGAGGGACAGAGCTGCAACAGTGCCAGGCACCTGAAGTTTTGGCTACAGCTATTAACTCGAGGGATGATGTACTAGCTAACTACATCTGTTCATTTAGCTGTACCAGATGTCCCATATCATAGGCAAGTTCGAATTTATTAGGGCAGAAGAATGTCCTGGGAGAGGTCATTGATGCCACTTGCTACCGCTCTGGCCTTGGATGGAAGAGGAGGGCCAAGCCACACCAGAGCATTTTGTTTCCAGGTTGTGGATAAGCTCTAGTTAGCTTTATTGATACTTTAGTCATTACCTGGCAGAGTGAGGTTGGTGATGTACTTAGGACCTTTTTGGGAGTGTCTTTTCTCATTTATTTCTGCTGAAGTAGAGTGGTGTGGAGGAACAGCTGTTGATGTATCTGCTTCTTGGACTCTTACACACTGATAAGTTGAAGTGCAGTTGCATAAAATAATCACACTCACAGCCACACTTCCTGGAAGGAGAAACATTCTGACCGTTCAAGAATATCACAAACACTCTTCCTGTAGTCAGCTTCTTTGTCCAGGCACTTGGTTTTATTCATTTATTTTTTACAAGAAAGTAAAAAAAAATTTCTGTGGCTTATGGTACCTAACTGGAAGAGTGGAGGCAGGAAGTTGAGGAACACAGAGTGGGTGGTGGGCTTTGCTGTCAGTTCTGTGCTTTGAAAGCTTTTATCTATTTCAGATCATAATTTTTTAATGGCAGCCCTTTCTAGGATGCTTTCGGCAGAAAAATGTACTGGCAAAATCGTCTCCTGAAAAGATTTACGATGAGACACATAAAGTACATTGAGTAGTATAGTTATTCTTAAACTAGTCATAAGAGTATTAACTAGCAATAAATAATAAAAAATAAACCAGAGGTAGGAGAAGGTATGGTGATTTCAATGTGAGTTGCTTTTGGATTTATGATTTCTTGGTTTCTGTGCCTAAGGAGGCATGGATGGTATTATTTTCTTTTCTTTTTTTTTTGAGACGGAGTCTCGCTGTGTCGCCCAGGCTGGAGTGCAGTGGCGCCATCTTGGCTCACTGCAACCTCTGCCTCCCGGATTCAAGCCGATTTCTTCTGCCTCAGCCTCCCGAGTAGCTGGGACTACAGGTGCCTGCCACCACACCCGGCTAATTTTTTGTATTTTTAGTAGAGACGGGGTTTCACCGTGTTAGCCAGGATGGTCTCAATCTCCTTACCTCGTGATCCGCCCGCCTCGGCCTCCCAAAGTGCTGGGATTACAGGCATGAGCCACTATGCCCGGCCTGGATGGTATTATTCTTTTTCTTCAGTTGCTGCTGAAATCTAAAAAAACCAGGTTTTTCAAGTCCTTATGTGTTCGTGTGTGAAACTTTGCTTGTACATACAAAATTTTTACATTGTTTAACTTTACTGCATGCAGTTTAGTTTGCCTTTTCCTTTTAATATAACTTAAAGGTATTCTCTTACGAAGTGGAGAACTGTTCTGTGGACTGATCAGCAGTGGGTTTGAGCCTGTAAATCGCCACTGCACTCCAGCCTGGGTAACATAATGAGGCTTTGTTGCTTTAAAAAAAAAAAAAGTGGAGGATGCCAGACTTGGTGGCTCATGCCTGTAATCCCAGCACTTTGGGTGGCTGAGGTGGGCAGATCACCTGAGGTCAGGAGTTCGAGACCAGCCTGGACAACATGGTAAAACCCCATCTCTACTGAAAATACAGAAATTAGCTGGGCTTAATGGCCTGCGCCTGTAATCCCAGCTACTCGGGAAGCTGAAGCAGGCGAATCACTTGAATCAGGAGGTGGAGGTTGCAGTGAGCCAAGATTGCACTACTGCACTCCAGCCTGGGCAATAGAGTGAGACTCCGGCTCGAAAAATGAAATGAAATAAAATAAAATAAATGGAGAAGTGTTTTTGTATATTGACCCACAAAAATACTTGCATGTAGAAACTTTTAATTTTTTTTATTGATTTGGGAGGACATGTTCATGTAGTCTCTGAGGCCTGAGTTCCCTGTTTCTGTGGATCAGTCACTGTTAACTAGCTCACCCTGTTCCCCCAACCTCACCCATGCTGTAGCACTTCCAATATGTGCTTAAAACCGTGCATTTTATTTGTAAGGCTGATGATCTTCTTCAGGGAATATTGAGCAGGATCTATTAAGGAACAGTTGCTTTGACTTAAATGAAAAAGTCTTTGCAACTGACAGATAAAATCTTGAGTGAAAATGTGTGGAGTACTGCACTCTTGTATAGTAGGATCTCTTTAGGGGATCTCAAAAATCCTGATCTGTGGAAGTGTATGTCCCTACAAACTGCATTTTCTTACCCTTGGTTTTAAACTTTCTAGGATTATATATTCTAATATGATAGTTGAAAGCCACCAAATTTACCTAAATAGTTTTCATTCTAAATAAATTAGATTTTTACATTGTGTGTGTTTTTGGTTGGAGTTAGGGACAGGAAGAGTAGACTGTTGGTTTTGTGTTTAAAGTTGCGGTGCAGAAAAGTCATTGGACAGAGATCTGTGTAATTTGGAGGTGAGTTGGAAGGGAAAGGACACAGAAGGTGGTCAAAGGGGAAGACTGGGGCAAGGGGGATGAGGATGGGGACACACAGAGGAAAGTAGAATGGTGGGATTATAATTGGGAATGAAGTTGCTTTGTGGCCACCATCGTTTAGTCAAACTGTGAGAGGTGGTCTCATCTGTAAGGCTAGAGTAATTAATGTGAAAAGGTGGTGGTTAGGGTGAATGAGATGTTCTGTCTTTTCTTGAAGTGTGGTATGTGAGTCCCCTGGGACCTTACAGGAAAGTGCTAATGATCACAGGATGACAGCTGAGATACAGATTCCAAACTAAAGTTTAGTGGAAATAGCAGCAGCTTTCAGCAAAATTGGTGTTCCATCATTTTAGAAACCCACGGGCTCTTCTGCTAAGACCATAGATACCTTCTTAGCCAGTTAAAGAAAAATGCTTCATGGTTTCTCTTTGCAGCAGGCCATGGAGACTCAACCTACCTTTCTTTTATTGATATTGCCACAACCTATTAATTCCATTCCTTGGGATTGATTTTTCTTCTCTCCTCTTTCCCCCATGCCTGGTGGGGAATTCAACAGTCTTGCCCATCGTCTGTTTAACTTGCTCTTCTTAGAAAAACAACTCACACAAGCCCTTCTTTTTTAAAAGATTTTACAGTGAATACATATGGGGAAGTTACATTAGATCTTAAAGAATTTAACAGTAGTATTTCCTGGGGAATGGGACCTTTTCTTATTTGCTGAGAGGCTGATGAAGGGCCCCCTTTCTCGTCTATCCCAAACTCCTCCAAAACTCCGAAGATGAAGGGCATACTGATCTCTTATCTCCAGAAAACCAGCTGAACCAAGTGGCTAGGCATGGGTTTTGGAATCAAAGATCTGGATTGGAATCAAAGACGTGAGTTTACCTCTGTGTCTCTTTATCTTTAAAAAAATAGTATCTTAGAGTTGGCTTTGAGATTTAATGAGCTCTGATGCCTCTCAAGCCCTTGCCACAGAGCCTGGTCATGGTAATTACATTTATTAAAGGCCAGCTTCCCAACTTGAAAGAAGGAGCACTGATGGCAGATTAGTAAATACAGAACTATCTTACCTCATATGGGAAATTTGCATTTATAGTGATCTCCAGACTGATGCCACCTTATTAATTGGTGAAGTTTCTGACCAGCTTTTGGCCCCTTTGGCCATTTTCCAGAGCCAGTCCTTTTTCCAGCAAGTGTTAAGCACTCTATTGTGTGTCTTGAGCTATGCTAGGCAAGAGATACCTTGGTCTGGCTTCTGCCCTGAGAAAGCTCACGGTCTAGAAGGGGAGATGGATCAATAAACTGACAAAACAGTGTTCGAGAAGTGCTCTGGGAGATCACTGAGTATTGTGAGAACTCTAATGGGCAGCTTACCTAGATGGGAACTGAGGGCGGCCAGGAGAGCTTCTCATGAGTTAGGTTTGAGCTAGATATGAAAGACGAGCAGAAGTTAACCACATGAAGATGGTAAGGAGGGGATTTCTGGGCAGAGGGAACAGCATGTACAGAGAGGCACAGAGGAATGGGAAAGTGTGCTGAATTAAGAGAGGTGCAAACACAAGTCCATATGTTAGCTGCAGTGTATGGCAGGAGGCAAGACAAACCTGGGGAGATGAGCAGGGGCCAGTTATGAAGATACTTCATTGCTGCACTGTTGAACTTAAGGATCAGGAAGCAACTGGGAAGCATTTAAAGATTTTAAGCATGGATAACAGATGATATTTATAATATGTTTCAAAAAAGTTAATGTGGAGGATGCATTGGAGTGTATAGGCAGAGAGACCAGTTAGAGCAATTAAACCTTTTTGGACCATGGATCCCTTTGGCAATCTGGTGAAGTCGTGGACCCCTTCTGAGAATAATGCATAAAACAAAACACTTGTAATTACAAAGGAAACCGGTTAGCCTGTGGACCATGGGAGCCTGTGGACCCTAGATAAAGTAACCCTGGGAGAAGGCAGCAGTAGGGGGCTGAAAATAATTGTAGGCTGGCAGTGGGGAGTGAAGAGGGGGCTTAAGTTTAAGAGCAGCGACAGATTGGATGGTGGGGAGTGGTGGTAAAGGAGAAGAGAGGCAGCAGGGTCTGACATGGACTGCAGGATGGAAGATGATGTCAGGTCACTTGCGGTGGGTGTAGAAGTTCTTTCACTTACAAACTCTAGATATGAAAGGTCATTTGTGAATTCATCTATTCCTAAATCCAAAGTGAAATTGGAGAAGCAACTAGTAGTGCCCTCTGTCAGTGGTATGCATTGTTTTGTACAGTAGGAAAAAGTTCATGCTTTGGAAGTTCTTAAGTTGAAGTGATTCAGTGAATTTGTACTAGAAGATGGTAATGGGTGGTGAGAGAGATGATTAGTTTTAGACAGGTTAAGTTTACTTACTGGTGAATTATAGACAGCTTATAAGACAGTTTCTTGCTTTGCTTTGCTTTTCTCTTCCCTTCCCTCCCCCTCTCCCCTCTCTCCTCGACAGGGTCTCGCTCTGTTGCCCAGGAGGCTAGAGTGCAGTGACAGGATCATAGTTCACTGTAGCCTCGAACTCCTGGGCTTAAGTGATCCTTCTGCCTGAGCCTCTGAAGTAGCTAGGACTACAGGTGCATGCCACCACACCTGCCAAATTTTAAAGTTTTTCTTTTTTTTTTGTAGAGATGGGGGTCTGTCTCTGTTTCTCAAGCTGGTTTTGAACCTCTGGCCTCAAGTGATCCTCCCGTCTTGGCCTCCCAAAACATTGGGACGGGCGTGATCCCACTACTGATGAGCACAGGAGTTTTGACCTGCTCCATTTCTAACCTGGGCCAGTTCACTCCTCCTTTGGTAACCTGATGGTCCTTTGTTCATGGCAGGTCACCATATTGATGCTGAATTTAGTGTGGACACCTGATCAGCATAATGCAGTACTGCCCAGAACTCCTGGGCTCAAGCAGTCCACCTCAGCCTCCCAAGTAGCTGTGACTACAGGCATGCTACCATTGTATCTTTTTTTATGTGAATTTTTTATTGAAATATAAATAATGAAAAATACATGAATCTTCAGTGTATAGCTAAATGAATTTTCACAAAGTGAATATGCCTGTGTAACCAGAAATAGCTAACAAGAAATAGCATTTCCGGCCCCCAAGAATCCCTCTTCCTGTCCTCTTCCAGTAACTGCTCCCTTCCTCTCTCAGGGGTAATCACTATCCCAACTTGTACCATCACAGATTACTTACAATTTTTTTCTTCTTAGATGTTTTTCTACTTTTTAATTGAAGTATGACTTAGTTTACTGCAAACATTTCAAGTGTGTACTTTGGTAGATTAAAAAAAATAGACTTCATGGCCGGGCACGGTGGCTCACACCTGTCATCCCAGTACTTTGGGAGGCCGAGGCAGGCAGATCACTTGAGGTCAGGAGTTAGAGACTAGCCTGGCCAACATAGTGAAACCTCGTCTCTACTAAAAAATACAAAAATTAGCTGGGCGTGGTGGCGAGCGTCTGTAGTCCCAGCTACCCGGGAGGCTGAGGCAGGAGAATCACTTGAACCTGGGAGGTGGAGGCTGCAGTGAGCCAAGATTGCGCCACTGCACTTCCAGCCTGGGCGACAGAGTGACACTGTCTCAAAAAAAAAAAAAAAAAAAGGACTTCATTTTTGAAAAGGAGTTTCAGGTTTACAACAAAATTTACTAGAAGGTAAAAAGAGAGAGTTCCCATATACCCTTTAACTGTCTACACACACAGCCTCCCCTACTATCGACATCTCACATTAGTGTGGAACATTTTATAGAATTGATGAACCTACAGTGACACATCATTATCACTCAAAGCCCATAGTTTGCAGTGGGATTCACTCTTGGTGGTGGTATATTCAGTGGATTTTGACAATGTGTAATGAATCTACCATTATAATGTCATATAGAACATTTCACTGCCGTAAAAACCCTCTCTGCTCTGCCTGTTCATCTCTCCCTTCTCTTCAACCTTTGGCAACAACTTTTCATTGTCTCCCTAATTTTGGCTTTTCCAAAATTTCATATTGTTGGAATCATACAGTATGTAGCCTTTTCAGATTGACTTCTTTTATATAGTAATAAGCATTTAAGTTCCTTCCATGTCTTTTCATGGCTTGCTAGCTCATTTTTAGTGCTGAATAATATTCCAGTGTCTGAATTATACTACAGTTTATCCACTTACCTACTGGAAGACATCTTGATTGCTTCCAAGTTTTGGCAATTATGAATAAGGCTGCTAGGAACATCTGTGTGCAGGTTTTTGTGTGGACATAAGTTTTCAGCTCATTTGGTTACATACCAAGGAACACAACTGCTGGATCATATGATAAGAGTATGTTTAGTTTTGTAAGAAACTGCGAAACTCTAACAAATGATTGTACCATTTTGCATTCCTATCAGCAGTGAATGAGAGTTCCTGTTGCTCCATATCCTTGTCAGCATTTGGTGGTGTTGAATGCTGACACTATATGATACATATGCATATATCATTATGTATATATAATGATATATGCTCATATGCATATATCATTATGCATATATAATGATATATGCTCATATATGCATATATCATGCATATATAATGATATATGCTCATATGCATATATCATTATGATATATGTGTGTATGCATGTATGTTTCAAAAAAAAAAACTAGATACTACCAGTTTTCAAAAATGATTATATCGGTTTACATTCATACCACCAGTATATGAGAGTTCCGGTTAGTCCACATTTTGTCAATAGTTGCTGTTGATGGTCACTTTCATTTTGGTTGTATAAAGTTATTGCATTTTTCTTTTAATTTATATTTCTCTGATGACTAACAAAATAGAGCATCTTTTTTCATTGGCCATTTGGCTAAACTTTGTTGTGAGGTGCCTGTTTAAGCATTTTGCTTACGTTTCTATTAGGTCATCTGCTTTTTTCTCATTCATTTGTAAGAGGTTTTTGTTTTGTTGTTGGAGATAGAGTCTCACCACTCTCTCCCAGGCTGGGGTGCGGTGACAGAGTCATGGCTCATTGCAGCCTCAGCCTATGGGCTCAAGTGATCTTCCTGCCTCAGCCTCCCATGTAGCTGGGACCCCAGGTGTGTGCCACCACACTCAGCTAACTTAAATTTTTTGTAGAGACAGGGTTTCACCATGTTGCCCAGGCTGGTCTTGAACTCCTGGGCTCCAGTGATCCTCCTGCCCCAGCCTCCCAAAGTGCTGGGATTACAGGCGTGAGCCACCATGCCTGGCCTGTAAGAGTTTTTTTTTTTTTTTTTTTAAATGTATTCTGGATGAGTCCTTTTTTAGATAGCATGTACATGTACTGTATGGTTTTGTATTATTTTAAATCCTTTTTTAAAAAAATTATAAAATGAGTGTATTTGTGTGGTAAAAAATTTAAACACATAAATGGGTATATTATGAAAAGGATGTCTCCCTCCTAGTTTTAGTCCCTTACTGGGAGACCATAGCCTTAGTCCCACTTAGTCATGGTTATGTTCTTTTGAGTATGTTTCCTATGCATGTACTGCATTTGTTCTTTTTTTTAACACAAATAGCATACGACACACTATTCCGGAACCACCTCAGTTTTTTCAGTTAACGTATCTTGGAATTCTTTCCAAATGAGCATATACATTTCTAGCATCCTGTATAATAAATGGCAGAACAGTATTCCAGTTAGGTGCATGTACCAGATTTTATGTAATCAGTTTATCTAGTTCCTTCTTGATGAGTATTATTATGCTACAAAAGTAGCATGAAATATGTTGAATTTTAGGGCTTATGGACAATCTAAGTGTGAAAATGCCTTAGGTGTCTGAATTAGGAGAGAGGATGAGCTAGGGCTTTATCATTTAGGGTGACATGAGTGTGTATTGTCATAACTGAAGCCAAGGGAGCAGGTAGAGTCACATAAGAAGTATTGTTAGATCAGTGATTCTCTGTGGGATAGAAATGGAGTTGTCAGAATCACTTCGGGAGTCTTTTCTAAAAAACACATTACTCATGCTTTCCCTAGCCCCAGTTTAGTGGGTCCACGATAAGGTTTGGATAGTTCATCCTTGACCTTTTTTCTTTCATCTCTTGAAAAAGTGTCACTTTCTTTTGAGACCCAGTGGTATAGAGTGAAAAGATAACTAAGGATGGAACCCTGAGGAACACAGGTAGAAAAAGATGAGTTTGGAAAGGAGTTGGATACACTGAGATAGGAGGTAAATCAGGTGAGTATAAGGTTAGTGAAACCAAAGGAGGTGATATTTCAATGAAGAAATGGCAGTAGGTTCATGCTGCAAAGAATGGTCAAGTTAAGATGATAATTGAGACATCTCTGCTCCTTGAAGGTCCTAGAAGAACTTGAGTAATGCTTTTAAAGTCATGTTAGTGCCTCTCAGCAGTATTCTGGCCCAGCATGGTACCAGGGTATGTTTTGTGAAAAATTGTTGTAATTACATCCTATGTGTACCAGAAATGAACATCTTTCATTAATCATTCATGAATCTAACCATCATGAATTGAAACTTCTCTTGAATCTATATTTTCACTTCTATTAACACTTCCAATAATATATATGTTTTTAGGGTAATTTTTTAAAAAACTCTTGAACTTCAACTTCTTAGTCTTCTAGGTTCTGGCAGACAAGATTGCGTTCACCTCATTTGTCTTGATATTTGACTTAATTTTATAGACCTAACCATCTCTCTCAGCTTTTGTTTTTCTAGGAAGAAGTCCCTTTTATTTAGTCTGGACTTCGATTCCTATAAATATTTAGATGTCTTTTCTGAAGTCTTTCCAATTGTATGTTATGTCTTTTTGAAGTGCATCTGTGTTGCTGAAAAGATACTAATACTCAGATTCCATGTCTCTCCCCCTCCCCCGTATAGGTTGAGATGTCATAGAAAGAAGGCGTTCATGTGGGAGATAATGAAATATATTTCTTAAGAAAAGCTCAGTATATATATAGGAAAAATTAGGTGAAGTATGAGGTAAGATGAGGGGACAGACTTCTTGGCTGATACTGGTTTATGCTATTTTATTCATGACATGTGCTGTATGTGTCAATATGACACAAGAAGAAAGGACATATTGGAATTATTAGAGGAGACAGTGTGAGGATTAAGGTCAAGTAGTTTTTTTCAGATATTCTAAAAATCTTATTTTGCTGTGTGTGATTTTCTGTAAACATTCTTCAGCGTATTTTGCTATATGTAACTGCTCTGTTGTTATTTTAGGGAATTTTAAGCATTTCAGCATTGGAACTGTGTAATCAGAGACAATGGGTCCTTTTAATGTATAGATAGTCCTTTTTTTTTTTTTTTGAGATAGAATTTTGCTCTTGTTGCCCAGGCTGGAGTGCAATGGTGCAATCTTGGCTCACTGCAACCTCTGCCTCCCAGGTTGAAGCGATTCTCCTGCGTCAGCCTCCCGAGCAGCTGGGATTACAGGCATGCGCCACCACACCCGGCTAACTTTTTTGTATTTTTAATAGAGACAGGGTTTCTCCATGTTGTCAGGCTGGTCTCGAACTCCCGACCTCAGTTGATCCGCCCACCTCAGCCTCCCAAAGTGCTGGGATTACAGGCATGAGCCATTACGCCCGGCCGATAGACTCTTATTAAAGAACAACATATATAGAGAACAGCGTGTATACCAATATGCTAAATATACACAAAAATACACTTTGTTTAAAATTATATTGATACAATTTAAATAGTGTCATAAATATTACGGCAACTTGATGTTACTTTATTTTAGAATATCCCTGGAGGCCTTCGAGGTTGAAGCTGTTTTGATTTCACACCCTTCTGTTTTAAAACATAGGGACTGACAGGGAGACCCAGGGCTGCAATCTGGGTGGTGCTACATTTGTAGACAAGGACAACTTGCTGTATTTTAACCCAGAAACATTAGAAAGTTTGTTCTTGAACTTCTGGCTCAGATTTAGATGCATCTTTGAAGTGCTGATATTTGGCTTATCTGAAGCTTTGGGATTATCATTTTCTAGTTATGAAGGGAATGAAAGTGTTCATAACATTTTTGCAGGTGGAAGGTAAAGTTGTTGTTTTGTTCCTCAAATTTTTTTTTGCTTAATTTAAAAAATATTGAGATATAATTCACCTACCATAAATTTCATCCTTTTGGAGTGTATAACTGTGTGTGGTTTTTAGTCTCTTCACAAAGTTATGCAACCATCACTACTGTCTTAATTCCAGACAATTTCATCACTTTGTAATTCAAGACAATTTCATCACTTCATAAAGAAATCTCATATCCAATAGCAGTCACTTCTCCCCTCAGCTCCTGCTAAACATGAATCTACTTTCTGGTTCTATGGATTTGCCAGTTCTGGACATTTCACATAAGTGGAATCATACCATATATGACCTTTTGTGTCCGGCTTCTTTGACTTAGCATAACGTTTTCAAGGTTCTTCCATGTTGTAGTGTACTTCATGTCTTTTTGTGGCTGTATAATACTCCATGTGGATATACCACATTTTGTTTATCTGTTCATCAGCTGATGGATAATGAGTTGTTTCAGGTTTTTGGCTATTATGAATAATACTGCTGTGAACATTTGTTTACAAGTTTTTGTGTGAACACCTGTTTTCACTTCTCTTATTTGAATACCTAGGAGGGGAATTTCGGGATGATATGGTAACTCTGTTTAACTTTTGAGTAAACTACCACCCTGTTTTCCAGAGCAACTACATTATTTTACATTCCCACCAGCAATGTATGAAGACTCCAGTTTCTTCACATCTTTGCCAATACTTGTCATTGCTGCTCTTTTTGATTATAGCCAACCCTGTGGCATCTCCATTGTGTTTTGATTTGCATTTCCTTAATGACTGATGATGTTGAGTATCATTAAATATGCCCATTGACCATTTGTGTATCTACTTTGGAACAATGTCTGTTTAAATATTTTGCATGTTTTAAAATTGAGTTGTATGCCTTTTTACTTGTAAGTTGTAAAATTTCTTTTTTTTTTTTGAGACAGAGTCTTACTCTGTCGCCCAGGCTGGAGTGCAGTGGCGCGATCTCAGCTCACTGCAACCTCCGCCTCCCAGGTTCAAGCGATTCTCCTGCCTCAGCTTCCCGGGTAGCTGGGACTACAGACGCGTGCCACCATGCCTAGCTAATTTTTTGTATTTTTAGTAGAGACGGGGTTTCACCGTGTTAGCTGGGATGGTCTCGATCTCCTGACCTCAAGTGATCTGCCTGCCTTGGCCTCCCAAAATGCTGGGATAACAGGCGTGAGCCACCGTGCCCGGCCAGTTATTTTTTTATTTTTTATTTTTTGTTGTTGTTGTTTTGTTTTTTTTTTTGAGATGGAGTCTCGCTCTGTCGCCAGGCTGGAGTGCAGTGGCGCGATCTCAGCTCTCTGCAAGCTCTGCCTCCCGGGTTCAAGTGATTCTCCTGCCTCAGCCTCCCGAGTAGCTGGGACTACAGGCGTGTGCCATTACACCTGGGTAATTTTTGTATTTTTAGTAGAGACGGGGTGTCACCATGCTGGCCAGGATGACCTCGATCTCTTGACCTCGTGATCCACCTGCCTCCGCCTCCCAAAGTGCTGGGATTACAGGCTTGAGCCACCGCACCCGGCCATAAGTTGTAAAATTTATGTATTCTGGTTACTAGTTATTTATCAGATACAGGATTTGCAAATTTTTTTCCCATTTTGTAGGTGGTGGTTTCACGTTTTTTGGGGATGTGTCCTTTAGAGCACAAAAGTTTTAATTTTGATGAATTCTTATTTATCTTTTTGTTGTTTTTGCTTGTGCTTTTGGTATATCTGAGAAAACTTTACCTAATTCAAGGTCACAAATATTTACACTATGTTTTCTCTAATAGTTTTACAGTTTTAGCTCTTATTTTACATTTAAGTTGGTTATCTATTTTTTTTTTTGAGATGGAGTTTCGCTCTTGTTGCCCAAGCTGGAGTGCAGTGGCGCGATCTCGGCTCAGTGCAACCTCTGCCTTCTGGGTTCAAGCGATTCTCCTGCCTCAGCCCCCAAAATAGCTGGGCCTACAGGGACCCACCACCTTGCCTGGCTAATTTTTTGTATTTTTGGTAGAGATGGGGTTTCACCATGTTGCTCAGGCTGGTCTTGAACTCTTGAGCTCAAGCAATCCGCCTGCTTCAGGCTCCCAAAGTGCTGGGATTACAGACATGCGCCACCGCGCCTGGCCAATTTTATTTCATTAATTTCTGTCTTTATGCCAATGTCACACTGTCTTGAGTACTTCCTTTGTAATAGGTTTTGAAACCAGGAATTGTGTGACTTCTACAATTTCATTCTTCTTTATCAAGCATGTTTTGGCTGTTTTGGGTCCTTTGAAATTACATATGAATTTCATCAGCTTGTCAGCTTGTCAGCTTGATCAGCTTGTCAGCTTCTGCAAAAAAGCCAGCTTGGAGTTTGGTAGGGGTTGCATTGCATCTCCAGATGAATTTGGGGAATGTCTCCATATTAACAATATTTAGTCTTCCTATCCTTGAACATGGGATATATTTTCATTTATCTGTCTTCAGTTCTTTCAACAACATTTTGTAGTTTTCACTGTACAATGATCTGGTCTTTTGCTTTCCAAAACCAGAAACTCTTTTTTAAGTTGAAGGTTTCTTAAGACTTTTGGGGAGGCAGTTCTGCTAAACAAACAGAAAAGAGAACATTTGGTTAGAAAAAACAGAGATAACAGGAAGATTAATTATTTTAATAATAAAGCAAGGAACCAATTTATTAAAATTTTTTAGAATATGCTTTGTAACCATAATGCTTGAATCTGTTATACATTTGTCTCAGACTGGAAGTTCCCCTTTGTGACTTCAAGATACTTGAGAAACAATCAGTAATCAGTTAATGGGTTGCTGGGTTATAGAAAAATCAACACAGAGGAAATTTAGAGATCTTGAGTAAATATTTCACTTTAGTTATGAAAGAGGGTAATGAATGAAAGAGGGTATTTTAAGAAGGGTTTCCGAATAAGTTTCAGTTCTTTGAGTAATAACTTTATGGAAAGAGAGACTATTTCTCTAGTGTCTGATTTTCTCCTCCCCCATAACATTTTATCATGAGAAATCAAGAATTGTACATCCATTTATTTACTACCTAGATTCTGTAATATTTTGCTTTATTTGCTTTCCATCCTTCTATCCATCTATTAATCTTATTTTTTATTTTCCAAGTAAATTGTAGACTCAATACATTTACCCTTCTGTACTTCAGCATGCATATCATTAACTAGAGTTTAACATTTGTTTTTAAGTTTTTGTTTTGTTTTGTTTTGTTTTTGAGATGGAGCCTGGCTCTGTTGCCCAGGCTGGAGTGCGGTGGCGCGAACTTGGCTCACTGCAAGCTCTGCCTCCCGGGTTCACGCCATTCCCCTGCCTCAGCCTCCCGAGTAGCTGGGGCTACAGGGCCTGCCACCATGCCCGGCTAATTTTTTTGTATTTTTATTAGAGACGGGGTTTCACTGTGTTAGCCAGGATGGTCTCGATCTCCTCACCTTGTGATCCACCAGCCTCGGCCCCCCAAAGCGCTGGGATTACAGGCGTGAGCCACCGTGCCCAGCCTGTTTTTAAGTTTTGAAGTACAATTTATATACAGTGAAAAATACATCTCTCAAGCATAGTATTCAGTGAGTTTTGACAAATGCACATACCTGTATGTCTTAGTTTGGGCTACTATAACAAAATACTTGGGTAATTTATAAACAGTGTAAATTTATTGCTCATAGTTCTGGAGGGCAAGGTCAAGGTACTGGCAGATTCAGTGTCCGATGAGGGCCCATTCCTTATAGGCGGCACCTTGTTGCTGTGTCCTTATGTGGCGGAAGGGTCTAAGGTGCTCCCTTCATCCTCTTTTATAAAGGTACTAATTCCATTGATGAGGGCGATGCCTTAATAACTTAGTTACCTCCCAGAAGCCCCACTTCTTTATACTATCACATTCGGTATTCGGTTCCAACAAATGAATTTTGGGGAGGACACCGACATTGAGACTGTGGTACTCTGTAACCCAAACCTTTACCAGGAGATATACTATGTAATGCTACTCTCGCTCCAGAAAGGTTCCTCATGTCCCTTCCTAGTCAGGCTGGTCCCTTCTGCTGTTTCTCGTACCCTATCAGGCAGCCATGGTCCTGATTTTTTTCCCCATCATAGATTAGTTTTGCCTGTTTTGAAAGTCGTATAAATGGAGTCATATGCTGTGTACATTATATACTCTTTGACACAGTGTAATGTTTTTGATATTTATCAGTGTTGTATGAATAAGTTTGTTCATCTTTATTATTGCATACTTTATATAGTATTATTTCATTGTATAACTATACAACCAGTTTCTCTATTCTCCTGTTTATATATACCCTAATTTGCTTTTTAAATAATAATAATAGTACTATAAAAATCACTTATCAGCAAACACCCTTACTTGACATCAAGAAAAGGACTAGAATAGATTGGAATTTACTTAGATAACTTTATATTCCATCCTTGCTCTTTTAGTTGCCTTAATTTTATTTTTAGAGTTTGGGAGATACCCTGGCCCTATGAGCATCCCAATGTTAAATAATCTCATTCATTATGTTGTGATTTCTGCTACAGGATGATCTTTTAAATCTTAATTTCTTTCTGGGTGTGGTGGCTCACGCCTGTAATCCCAGCACATTGGGAGGCCGAGGTGGGTGGGTCACTTGAGGTCTGGAGTTTGATACCAGCCTGGCCAACATAGCAAAACCCCGTGTCTACTAAAAATACAAAAATTAGCCAGGCGTGGTGGTGTGTGCCTGTAATCCCAGCTGCTCAGGAGGTTGAGGCACAAGAATTGCTTGAACCCAGGAGGCGGAGGTTCCAGTGAGCTGAGATTGTGCCACTGCACTCCAGCCTGAGCAACAGAGTGAAACTGTTTCACAAAAAAAAAAAAAAAAAATCTTAATTTCTTAAGCCCACTGTGCCTTGACTATTCAGGTGATTTTGTTTCTTTAAGTGTTCCTGGCTGAGTGTGGTAGCTCATGCCTGTAATCCCAGCACTTTGGGAGGCTGAGGCAGGTGGATCACGAGGTAAGGAGATTGAGACCATCCTGGCTAACACGGTGAAACCCCATCTCTACTAAAAAATACAAAAAAATTAGCTGGGTGTGGTGGCGGGCACCTGTAGTCCCAGCTACTTGGGAGGCTGAGGCGGGAGAATGGCTTGAACCCGGGAGGCGGAGCTTGCAGAGAACCGAGATCGTGCCACTGCACTCCAGCCTGGGTGACAGAGTGAGACTCCGTCTCAAAAAAAAAAAAAAATGTGTTCCTGTCTTTGCTTGTTATACAGTTTTGTAAAATCCTATCTGTTTCTGTTTCTCTGAAGCTGAAATCAGATCTGAGAGCTAATAGGAGAATTTTGTTTTGAGAACTATGCGGTCCACATTATTCCTGTTTAGAGACCAGTGTTTGCTTAATGGCTTGGGCCTGTTTTTGCAATTACTCAGCATTTTCCTCACTAAAAAACCTTTAATATACTCAACAATCATTGGTAAATGAGACCTCTTTTTCTTTTCTAGCTGAGACATTGCATATTCTTTTAACATTTCCAACACTGATAGTTTTCTGTCCTTGTGTATCCTTGTAGTTTCTAAAAAAAAAAAAAGCTAATTTGAACATATTCTCAAAGTTAATAAATACTAACAAATGCTGAATACAATAAGATTATTTTTTTTCTATTGTTTTCTTTTTTTGGGGGGACAGAGTCTCACTTTGTTGCCCAGGCTGGAGTGCAATGGTGTGATCTTGGCTCACTGTCACCTCCACCCCTTGGGCTCAATTGATCCTCCCACCTCAGCTTCCTGAGCAGCTGGGACCACAAGACCACCACGCCTGGCTTTTTTTCTTTTTTTCTTTTCTTTTTTTTGTGAAGACAGGGTTTTGCCAGTTGCCCAGGCTGGTCTTGAACTCTTGGGCTCCAGTGATCTGCCCGCCTCGACCTCCTAAAGTGTTGGGATTATAGGCGTGAGCCACTGCACCTGGCCAAGATTGATTGATTCTTTGTCTGTCTGTCTTTCTGTCTTTCCTTGTCTTTCTTTCCTTCTCTGTCTTTCTTGTCTTTCTTTCTTGTCTTGCCCTGTCGCCCAGGCTGGAGTGCAGTGGCGCAATCTTGGCTCACTGCAAGCTCCACCTCCCAGGTTCATGCCATTCTCCTGCCTCAGGCTCCCGAGTAGCTGGGACTACAGGCGCCCGCCACCACACCCGGCTAATTTTTTGTATTCTTAGTAGCGATGGGGTTTCACCATGTTAGCCAGGATGGTCTTGACCTCCTGACCTCATGATCTGCCCGCCTTGGCCTCCCAAAGGGCTGAGATAACAGGCGTGAGCCACTGCGCCCGGCCAGTTTTTTTCTTTTCTAAGTGAAACAGTGTTTAGGCTATTGGTGTGGTGAAAGGCCTGAAAACTGGAGCTGTGGTCTGCTGGCTGAGGTTCTGCTTACTTGTTGCTTCTGAACAAACCACTTTAACACTTAGGGTCTTAAAAAGCAATTATCGGCTGGGCGCGGTGGCTTACTCCTGTAATCCCAGCACTTTGGGAGGCCGACGTGGGCGGATCACGAAGTCAGGAGATCGAGACCAGCCTGGCTAACACGGTGAAACTCCGTCTCTACTAAAAAAAAAAAAAAATACAAAAAATTAGCCAGGCGTTGTGGCGGGCGCCTATAGTCCCAGCTACATGGGAGGCTGAGGCAAGAGAATGGCATGAACCCAGAAGGTGGAGCTTGCAGTGAGCCGAGATCACGCTACTGCACTCCAGCCTGGGCGACAGAGCAAGACTCCGTCTCAAAAAAAAAAAAAAAAGCAATTATCATCTCTCACAGTTGATGGGCTCAGTTGGAGACTGGCATAGCATCACTTCTACCATATTCCGTGGTCAAAGCAGTTATGGAGCCTGCCCAGATTCAAGAGAAGGAGAACTGGACTCCATTTCTCAATGAGAGGAGTAGCACAGAGCTTGGGGCCATCTTTAATCTTCTACTGATGGTGTGACTGGCAAGTGGCAATCTTGGGAGGCAGACGTAACTGAATTACAGACAGCAGTCATTTTTAGGTGTTATAATGTGTTATATACACCCTCCTTATCACTCACATTTTTTTTTTGTTTTTTAATTTTCTTCTGGGTTAAAATTTACCATGCCTAGGCACAGCTCCAAAGTAAACCTGTTTCGTTGTCTTTGTTGGCAGAAGGGTAAACATAAATGAAATTTGGTTAGGGGAAAGGTTTTTAATGATACAGATAAGAAAATAAACTGTAGAAAAATGTCAGATTTCCTAGCCCCTTTTCCTCAAAGGAAGCATGTATAGCTTAATCTTCCAAGAACTAACTTGTTTTATTGCTTTTTCGTACTGTGAGCTGTGGTAACTTGCAGCATTTAGGAAAATGGTTTTTGAAGCAGGTTGCATGTATCATCAGTAGAGCAGCGTATGCCAGTCTCTACTCCCTCAGAGACTTGCTAGGCTGGACTTGTCCCTTCCTTGTACTCAGCGTCCTTGGAACATACTCTCTTAGATAAAATGTTTGTAAAGTGCTTTGGGAAATAATGATGAAATGGGTTGAAACCAGCATTGTTCATAATTTTCCTAACTTCTGAGCTTAAAGTGAGCCTTAGCTTATCCTTCATGATGTTTACCTTTTAGAGGTCTAAAGACTAATGGTACAGTTTTTCTTTTCCTGGTTAGATTTTTAAAATGAAACATTATTTTTGGAATTTTAGAACTTGCACTGCCCTGCATCCTGGAATTTGTGAAGTGAAGTGTTCTCTCATCTCTACCTCAGCTCTTAGAATTGCTCTGTGACCCAGGCCCTGATTAAATACCTGTACAGCTTTTCCTGATCCCATAGGACACTCATGTTGGCTTTTGCCTGTTCCTGTTATAGCCCTGATTCATCATTTGTATATGTCTGAGTTCATTTTAAGCTGTTTGAGGGTTGAGGCCATCTCAGTCATCTTTAGTTCCACCACAGTGCCTTACATTATGCTTTGCTTAAATGTATTCAATGAAATATACTTCTAGGTGCACAATATTCCACTAAGAACCCAAGCCTTAGCAGAAACTAGCAAGTGCTATTAAAAAGTGTGGAAAATTGAGCCAGGTGCAGCTGTTTGGAAGGCTTAGTTAGGCAAGAGGATCCCTTGAGCACAGGAGTTTAAGTCCAACCTGGAGAACATAGCAAGACCCTTGTCCCTTTAAAATAAAAGGGAAAATTATAGTATTAAAGTTATGAAGAAAGCCATCGAGCACCTAATAATGGCAGCTGATATTTCTGTAGCACTATGTAGTATACAGACCCTTTCACATAAGTTGAATTGCACGCTTTGACTACTCTTGGACGTTGCAGATATTTACTCCTTAACAGTAAAGAGTCTGGAACTTGCCGAAGCTCACTCATCTAGAAAGAGGTGGAGCTGGAACTCAAATCTAGTTTGTTAGTATCTGAGGCAATCCTATAATTTATACTTGTGATTTTTTTTTTTTTGTTTTTTTTTTTGGAATGGAGTCTCGCTCTGTCGCCCAGGCTGAAGTACAGTGGCGTGATCTCGGCTCACTGCAACCTCCGCCGCCCAGGTTCAAGCAATTCTCCTGCCTTAGCCTCCCGAGTAGCTGGGACTACAGGCGCATGCCACCATGCCTGGCTAATTTTTTGTAGTTTTAATAGAGATGGGGTTTCACCATGTTAGCCAGGATGGTCTTAATTTCCTGACCTCGTGATCTGCCTGCCTCAGCCTCCCAAAGTGCTGGGATTACAGGCTTGAGCCACTGTGCCTGGCGTATACTTGTGATTTTTATTCAGGTAGGTTTTGCATTTGAAGTTACAAAATAGATTGAAAGATGATAGTTGAATTATTGGCTTTACTAAAAGAATGTTTATTTCTGGTGATATATTAACCAGAGATTTAATTTGCACCAGTTTGATTTATATCACCCGTTGGCAATATACTACATGTGAAAGTTACTTTTTATGTTTTTTATATTTTGAGAATTATTTTAAAATATTAGCTCATGTAAGGTTATTTGCTCAAGTTAACAAGTGCCCCCAAAAACCTCATCAATCGGCCGGGTGTGGTTGCTCCCGCCTGTAATCCCAGCACTATGGGAGGCTGAGGGGGGCGGATCACGAGGTCAGGAGATCGAGACCATCCTGGCCAGCATGGTGAAACCCTGTCTCTACTAAAAATACAAAAATTAGCTGGGTGTGGTGGCATTTGCCTGTAATCCCAGCTACTTGGGAGGCTGAGACATGAGAATCGCTTGAACCCAGGAGGTAGAGGTTGCAGTGAGCCGAGATCGCGCCACTGCACTCCAGCTTGGCGACAGAGTGAGACTCTGCAGAATATTAGACAATCAGAGTACTATTGATACACAGAAAGTGTTATGGGTGATTATTTTCTCTATTCTCCATAATATGATACATAATTGGTACCATTCTAGATACATAGGAAAGAAGTTAATCTGTTACATGTAAAGGATGCCTTGGGAATAGGTCAGTAAACTGCCTAGAGCCAGATCTGGCCAGTGAATTCAGAATTTTTTTATAAGAATGATGTTACGTTTTTAAAGCCTTGGAAAAGTATTTTTGTGTGAAAATTACATGAAATTCAATTCAGTATGTTCATAAATAAAGTTTTATTGGAACACGGTCATGCTCATTTACTTATCATTGGTGGTTAATTTTGTGCTACAGTGACAGAATTGAGTAGTTGTGACAGAGATGTAGTGGCCTAAAAGCGTAAAATACTTACAGAAAGGTTTGTTAATTTTTCTGCCCTAGGGCATTAGTGCCTAATTCTGCCTTGTGGAACCTCAACTGAGAAAGGGCTAAGATTACCAGTGATGATCCCTTTTAGATTGCTGCAGTCTTCTTTATATTTAGTAGGAAAGTACAGATATCATTACTGTTTTGAGAACTTTATCCTTTCTTTACTCTTTGTCACTTGGCTTTGACAGTTGCAACCTGGATTGGGCACTCAAGTTTTATTTTGTTCTAACATGCTGAGTTTGACTAGTCCATTGTATTTGGCACTTTGAAAAGTACTTTTTAAAAATAGCTTACATTGAGATTTGCTTTTGAGAAGCTACTAATTGGCAGTTCCAAACTGGACAGATTGAGGCCAGGTAAAGCCTGTAGGTGCCTGTCAGGCAGCGGTGAAGTTAAAAATCACCTGCTGTCAACACCAGGGAATTCTGTAATCATTTTCATTTTTGAATAAATGGAGAATCATTAGATTCCTGGAGCTGCAGCACTGAATGGGGAAAATGGTTATTCTGCCTATGTGCACTATTTCCTTTGTCTCTGTAGCCTCATCATAAGTTACTCTTTGCTAACCTCTTTCTGGCTTTGGTTAAAAATTATTTTTCTGGTAAGTTTTTAATTAGGAAATGCAGAAATAGAGCTGCTTGAGTTGTCGTAACTTAAACTAGCCATGAAACTTACAAACTGGAGAGAGAGCTGTCTCGCTTAGAATGTAACTGAGTTTATTGTTGAAGTTATGTTTAAAAAGAAAAAACTTGGGAGGGTTGTGTTTGCGTCTTTATGTTTTTTTCTTCCTCAAAATTTTTTTTTAACAATGTTTGGTGTCTCGATGCTGGTAGTCTGGTATTATAATGATGCTGAAGACAATTATAGACAGGCATAAGAGAATTGTTGAGAGAGCTGTCAGCTTCTCCTTTAAACTTCTATTTTGTATGGAACTTTTTAAACTTTGATCTAGTTTGACAAGTGAAGTTCTTTAAACATCATGTTTTTCTGTGGAAGGGGAATTTGAAATAAAAAATCAACTCTAAGATTTGACAGAAGTCTTAAGGCTTATAAGCCAATAGTGTCTTCTATTATTCTGGTAATTATGATAAACTGCTTTGCAAGTTGAGATGAATTAGTTTGGATTCTATATTCCTGCTGCTCATCAACGGGGGCTGCAGGGGGCCAGAAGGTTGGAGTGAAGATGGAGGAGAATGGGAGAGACGGGGGAGGACCATAGACACACTGCATTCTCAAGCGAGAGCTCCCCTTTTAGAGTTGCATTGTTCTATTCAATTTTTCTTTTTGACTTTTTCCCCTCTCTTCTTCTTTGGGCTATGGGGAGGTAAGTAATTCATAAACACCTGTCTTCCCCAGATGAATTGCGTCATATAATAGTTTGTGCTTGTGCCATTAGTATTTTTATTATTTTTCTTCTTATTATTTTTGAGACGGAGTTTTGCTTTTATTGCCCAGGCTGGAGTGCAGTGGCGTGATCTTGGCTCACTGCAACCTCTGCCTCCTGGGTTCAAGTGATTCTCCTGCGTCAGCCTCCTGAGTAGCTGGGATTACAGGCACCCACCACTATGCCTGGCTAATTTTTTGTATTTTTAGTAGAGACGGGGTTTCACCATATTGACCAGGCTGGTCTGGAACTCCTGACGTCAGGTGATCCACCTGCCTCAGCCTCCCAAAGTGCTGGGATTACAGGCGTGAGCCACAGCGCCTGGCCTTGATTTTTGTTTAAAACTTCACTCCTTTTAAAATGATATAGAGTTGTGATAATAGATGGAAAATGTCCTAAAGGGCAGCAGATGGACTTCCTAGAACTTGATTTAAGAGCCCTTTTGGGAAGGAATGTTACGGTCCTGAGTAAGGGATGAGTGAGGCTCTGTGGGTTCTGCCACCATCTCCCATCCTTTCCTTTAGTTTCACCTAAATGTGATTGCTTTCTCTGCTGTACTCCTTCCTCTGTGCTTCCTTCTGTCTATCCTTGCTGCTGCCACCACTGCTTGCTGCGGGTACCTATAAAATGGCTATGTGGTATCTCAACAGCAAGTTGAGCAGTGGACCATTAGTGAGAACATTCCATTCATCCTGGGCACAGCCCTAGTAGGTTTATTACTATAGTAGGAGGTCTGTCTTGTAGCCCTTGAGTATCTTATCTGAATTGGAAGCTAGAGAAGAATAAAACGTAGATGACTGAAACATAACCAGAAGCAGGATGGTTTTATTTCAGTTGAAGCTCTTTAGAGCCAGTCAGGAGAGGCATTTTGGAAGAGATGAGGTTTTTCTATCTGAGGAGGGTTAGAATGGGATTAATAGACCTTTAAAAACTGGAATTGGGAGTGAGAATCAGTTAGTCAACAAATATTCTGCTGTTTACTTTGTGCCAGAAATGACTCTAGGCACTGGGCATACGGAGAATAAGTCACTGCCCTCATGTATCCTGCATGAGGATGACACGTCTAATGGGTAATAGTCATGTCAGTCAGTGACAGACCACAAATACGAAGGTGGTCCTATAAGATTATACTACTGTATTTCTACTGTACCATTGCTATGTTTAGATACACAAATACCACTGTGTCACAGTGGCCAACAGAATTCAGTACAGTAACGTGCTGGTTTGTAGCCTAGCAGTGATAGGCCATACCACATAGCCTAGTTGTGTAGTAGGATATATCATCAAGGTTTTTCTAAGTACACTGTATGGTGTTTGCACAACAATGAAATTACCTAATGACATGTTTTTCAGAACATATTCCCATTGTTAAGCGATGCATGACTATAGTTAACGGAGGCAGCGATGGGTCTTGCTATGTTGCCAAGGCTGGTCTCTGACTCCTGGCTTGAAAGCAGTCCTTCTGCCTCAGCCTCCTGAGTAGCTGGGATTACAGGTGTGAGCCACTGCACCTGGCCCTTTGACTCTTTATACCCACTCTGTTTCCCACCCCATTAGTCACCAAATTGATTTTCTTGGTTTTATCTGTCTTGTCTCTCCCTCCTTGCCATCACTGTCACCCTAATTCAGTGAGCCTCTGCTTCCTGCTTGGCCTCTTGCCTCTTTTTTTTTTTTTTCTTTTTTGAGACAGTGTCTCGCACTGTCACCCAGGCTGGAGTGCAGCGGTGTGACAGGCACATGCCACCATGCCTGACTAATTTTATCGTTTTCTTTTTTTTTTTTCAGGTAGAGATGGGGTTTCACCTTGTTGTCCAGGCTGGTCTCGAACTCCTGACCTCAGGTGATCCACCTGCCTTGGCCTCCTTACGTGCTGGGATTACAGGTGTGAGTCACCACGCCCAGCCATTGATCTGTTGCCTCTTACTAGAGCTTCTTGTTGGATTCCAGTTTTTTCCCACTCTATTTTATTCATTTGTGGCCTTTGGAAAATAGATCTGTTCATTTCATTTACCCACCAAAAAAGGATAAGTTCTTACTCTTTGAAATAAAAATCAAACTCCTTAGTCTGCCTCCTGAAATAAAAATCAAATTCCTTAGTCTGCCTCCAAACTATCTTGTTTAGCCCAGTCTCCCACCCTTTCCCACATATACTGTATTTGAGCTACGTAAAACTAATTGTTGTTCCCTACTTACAGTATTCTCTGAAGATCTCAAAGTGTTGTTGCACAGTTATGAATGGATTTCATAATGACCCTGAATCCTAAAATAGAATTATTTTTAAAATTTTTGTTCAAGAATGAAAGGCAGTATATGTATAGAAGTAAAGATTTCTGTCCAAGAGAGTTAAAATTGGAAAAAAATACCTTATATCTAAGGGGACAGATTTTCAGCCATTAGGAAAAATTGGCTACTTAGAGAAGATACTCAGGTGCACAGAAATTTGACCAGCTATTATAGTGTAAGTTGCACATTGCCTGTTTGAGCTCCCTCAGTAGCTCAATTTCTGTTGTTGTTTTTGTTAATTAAAGATTGATTCTTTAAAGGCACAGAAACAATAGCTGATACATTGCAGTAAAGTGTTCATCTTAGGCATATAAAAATAATTTTGATCTAACTTCTAAAGAATTGTTGTTAGCCATTCTAATTATAATGTAGGAATATCACAGAGCCTACTGTGACCAGTGCTTTTGGGCTTAGTTTATATTCTAGCTGTAACAAAACCCAAACTAGGCTGTGCGACTGTAGCAAGTTATGTGACTTACCAGGAAATCAGTTTATTTATCTCATAAAGGGAGTTGGACTAGGTAAGTGGTTCTCCATGGGGGTGAGGAGGATGGATTTGTCTTCCAAGGGAGCATGTGACAATGTCTGGAGATATTTTTGCTTGTCACTACTTGGTGGGAAGTGGTGCTAATGGCATCTATTCAGTAGAGGCCAAGGATACTGCTAAACATCCTACAGTGTACAGGACATCCTCCACAACAAAGAATTACCTGGCAGTGACTCAGTTTTTTTGTCTATTCAAATCTAACCTGTACTTGTTTGCTTGAAGATTTTTCTTTTTCTGCCTGGCTCCATAAGTCTACCTAATCAAAACCATGCTTCTGTCCTACTTTATCCATTGTGGTGTCTCTATCACCTCATGCACATATCTTGCCGTTTCCAAACTCCATGCCTTCTTATTTCTTCTCTTTTTGGAATGTATTTCTGCCACCTCTTATATTTACAACTTCTCCAGACATAATTTTTGTGTTCCCTTAGCATTTTGTGTTAATTTAGACTAATCATAGTTCTTTAGTTTCACACATTCTTATGTGTATTTCCTTTTTCTTTTCTTTTTTTTTTTTTTTAAAGACAGAGTCTTGTTCTGTTGCCCAGGCTGCAGTGCAGTGGCATGATCTCGGCTCACTGCAATCTCCACCTCCTGGGTTCAAGCAGTTCTCATGCCTCAGCCTCCCAAGAAGCTGAGATCACAGGCGTGAGCCACCATGCCCAGCCTTTATGTATATTTCTTAAATTTTAAGTTTCTCAAAGGGTGTCCATTCCCTGCTGCTAATATTTTCTTCACTATAGATGTCTTTGTGAGAAGGTTTGGTACTTTTCAAAACCTGTTGGTCTTAGAAAGAAGAAGGTAAGAATTGTGAAAAGCTGATTGCGACTGGTGCCCTTGTAGGTCAATAATGTCTATTTTGATGTGGCCTGAATATTTCACTTCATTTTATATGGTCGGATGCTCCATGTTAGGATTAAGGGGTAATTAATAGTAATGTATGTGGAATTCAGTGTGAGTTGATTCATTCATCTGATTCTGTATTTAATATCTAAATGGGATCAGTGACACTGGTAGGATGGGTGAGAGAAGAAAATTGGCTAAAATTGCATCATGGAAGATCAGGCTTGGATGGGGTGCCATAGGTGGGCCTGAGGGGCAACATGAGATCCCAGGAGCACAAACTTAGAGGGGTGTTGAAAGATACCAAGACAAACTGTCTGCTTTAACATTTTGCCAACAGCCCTTCTGAGCCTCAAGAAAAAAAAAAAAAAAAAAAAAAGAAGGTGGACTCATTCTTGCTCTTTGGTGGCATGACCCTGGATTTCAGAATCTGGACCAGTAACTCTTACTACTAGAATTCAGTAATACTATAAATATTTTTGGGGGGTTAACTTAGGAATTTTAATCATACTCACAACATTGTTTTTAAGGGAAAATGAATTCTGAGTTCCAAACAGTTGAATTACAAATGGATTATATTCTAAAAGGGAACTGCTGATATATAAAATATAATATGGTTTTAGTAAATGCATTTTGTTTGCAAGCCTTTGCTCATGAGCAATGTAATAGGTACAGAAGTAGGAAGAAAATACTAAAACCCCTAAGAATCTAAACTATTTTATTAGGCACCTGAATAAATAAGTAGATTGTATAATAATTCTTGATTACCAGTAAACTATTTCGGGGGGAAAACACTAATCTTACAATGTCTATTGTATTTTCTGATTATAATAAGAATGTATTTTTAGTACAGAAAACTGAAACACATAAAAATAGGGCTTTTGCCTTTTTAAAAAATTTTTTTTTTATTTTTTAGATGGAGTTTCACTCTTGTTGCCCAGGCTGGAGTGCAATGGTGCTATCTTGGCTCATTGCAACCTCCGCCTCCTGGGTTCAAGCGATTCTCCTGCCTCAGCCTCCCGAGTAGCTGGGATTATAGGCATGCACCACCACACCTAGCTAATTTTGTATTTTTAGTAGAGATGGGGTTTTTCCATGTTGGTCAGGCTGGTCTCGAACTCCTGACCTCAGGTGATCCGCCTGCCTCAGCCTCCCAAAGTGCTGGGATTACAAGCGTGATCCACTGCGCCCGGCTTGCCTTTCTTTTTAGTGGACTAACCCACTCTAGGTCTACAAGGTAGGAGGAAAACAACAGATAAAACATTTTCATGAATGTCCCATCTTTAGGGGAGACATGAATTCAGGTGAAAAGCATATTATTGATTTAATTTCACATGTTTTGGACATTTAAAGACAAAGTTACAGAACTTTATAGCTCAAGTCCCTTTACTCTTTAGAGATTGTTGGAGGTGGTGATGGATCCAGGTCCCCAGGTTATTATAATGTATTTTAAAGCCTAGAGAAATGTTACTAATGATTAAAACATTTATTGAGCATTTTCTGTTTGCCCGGCACTGTTCTAAGAGTGTTATGTGTATTAATTATTTCCTTTCTTCCTTAAGAACTCTATGAGACAGGTATTAGTAATATCTTTATTTTATAGATGAGGAAACAAGTACCTTATCTGAAATCAGGCAACCATGTTTTGATTCTAGAACTCTCTCTTAACTGTATTATATTTTATTAATGAGACTACATAGGCTAAAATGCCCCCCCCCCCCTTTTTTTTTAAGAAGTAGGCTGACCTGAAATTGAGTCACTTAATTATGGTTGTTTCATGCTTAACAGAAGCTCTGCAGTTATATATGTCTTTGGTCTGAAAAGCTAAAGCTAATAAGTTAGTAATGAGTACAGTCTAGGAAGCAAAATTATTACCAGTTGAAAGGTTACAGGAGAAAAATAATAGGTGTTTTTTTTTTTTTTTTTTTTTTGGTGAGGCATTTGGGATCTTGCTGGATTATGGTATGGTTGCTCACTAATTACCTCTTCTTTTTAATCTCTGGGTGATCCCCTCTGATATCAACAAATCTTTGCTTTCTAAAAAGCAAGGTAGCGCTAAGGGAGTCATTTTGGATTTTGTGGCAATTTAATTTTTTTTTTTTTTTTTGAGACAGAGTCTCACTCTGTTGCCCAGGCTGGAGTACAGTAGTGCCGTCTCGTCTCACGGCAGCCTCCACCTCCCAGGTTCAGGCAATTCTCCTGCCTTAGCCTCCCGAGTAGCTGGGATGACAAGAGTGTGCCACCATGCCTGGCTAACTCTTTTTTTTTTTTTTTTAAGTAGAGATAGCGTTTCACCATGTTGGCCAGGCTAGTCTCGAACTCCTGACCTCAGGTGATCCACTTGCCTTGGCCTCCCAAAGTGCTGGGATTACAAGCATGAGCCACTGCGCCTGGCAGCAATTGAAATTTGTGTCCATAATTTAGTTCAGGGCAACACCTCCCCGCCCCATATTCTTTGGCAGAGGTTTGAACCCCATATTCTTTGACAGAGGTTTGAACCTAATGAAAGAGGGAAGGAATTTAGTTTTGATGTTAGAGACTTTTTTCTTACCAGGGACACTTGAATCAATATGTTAAAATTTGAAGAGAGGAGTGAGTACTCTCTCTAGTATCTTTTCTTTTTGGGGGGCAGGTGGTGGGACTGCATTGATTTAACCATTGTGAAATCTAGGTTCCATTTTGAAAAAGAAGAGCATATGTAGACCTTCATGTACTTTGCATATACACAGTGTACTTCGTTGGTGCCTCAGTCTTTAAGGATTAACTAGGAAGAATTTTCTTTCTGCATAGAAACTTTATAAAATAACGACATTGTTAATAATTCAGGCATAATATTACATTATACCTTTCTTGAATGCTGACGTTGCATACAAGGGTGATCTGTAAACCTCCATCATTTCCTTGCTCTCACTTTTAGACCTATTTCCTGACATAAAACCTTGGTGGTAGTTCTGGTTTTTTTTTTTTCTTCTTCTTTTTTTATTTTTGAGACAGGGTCTCACTGTGTCGCCCAGGCTGGCTGGCATGCAGTGGTGCTCAAGTGATCCTCCAGCCTGTGCCTCCTGAGTAGCTGGGACAACAAGCACAAGCCACCAGGTCTGGCTAATTTTTATATTTTTGGTAGAGACCCAGTTTCGCCATGTTGCCCGGCCGGTCTCAAACTCCTGAGCTCAAAGTGATCTGCCCCACTCGGCCTCCCAGATTGCTGGGATTACAGGCATGAGCCACTGTGCCTGGCTGGTTCTGTTTCTTCTCTAGTCTTACTTCTGTCAGGCTCACTTACCTGACTTCATGTAGAAGCATTCTTCCTGGATCCATGTTATTCTCTTTTCTGCTAACCTGATATTCTCTTTCTAGCAGTGCTAGTTACTTGTTTCTTTCAGTATTCAGCATATATAGCTTTTCGTGACTGCTTCAGATTACACTCAAAATTCCACCTGCACAATGAAGCAGATACCACCTACGGACTTCCACCTTCCCTTATTTCCCCTTCCATTTAGTCAGGGGCACCCTCCACTCCACCTGTGTATGGTTTGTATTTACTTTAGGTTGTCTTTAAGTTCTAAACTCCTCAAGGCACAATTTGATTTTGTTCTCTTGATACTGTGCCTAATACCTTTGTATTTCATAAATAATAAAATATACATATTTCTTATTTTTTATATACAATAATTTTGTGAGGATGTATTTAATAATGCTAATTAACAAAGCAAATACTGTACCTAAAACAAAATGCATGGTTATAATTGTCCGTTTGGTTTTTTATTTTTATTTTTTTTGAGAGTGAAAGTTTATTACAAATGAAAGATTTGACAAATTATTAAAAAAGCTGACAACCCACATAAACATCGCAAAATCTAGATGATTAATATTATTTATTGTTTAACTCTTGACCTTTTTTTTTTTGAGACAAGATCTCACTCTGTTACCCAGACTGGAGTGCAGTGCCGTGATCAAAGCTCACTGCAGCCTGACCTCTTGGGCTCAAGCAATCCTCCCACTTCAGCCTCCCCAATAGCTGGGACCACTGACAAACGCCACCATGTCTGGCCTTTTTACTTTTTGTAGAGATGGGGTTTCACCATGTATAGCTGTCCTTTTTATGTGTTTGTGCAACTATATTAGAAAATCCAGAATAATGGAATCATAAAAATAGCCCACGTTCAGATATGCTTTATAATAATCTGATTAGGATAAATATTATGTTTATCAACACAATTGTTTATTTGTTAAGAATGAAACACTGTGCTAAGGCTCTGCAGAAACATATAACATGATAAATACCTTGTATTGGGGAGACAAATGAAGCGAATACAAGTGAGTCTGAAAAACATGGTACTGTGGAAACAATGGTAAGTAAACATACCAGGCAAACTGTGTGGGAATAAAAGTATCTATTTTTAAAGAAAAAAAAAATTAGAGGCCCAGCAAATTTCAAATACTATTTAGCATGGGGCAGTTTTTTTGGATTTATAAATTGGATTGAATCTCAAAAATTCATTGAAATGATGTGTGATTTATGGAACAAACTAAACATATGGAGGGTTTGTAGAGTAAAGGAGTTTCATTTTCAGCAGTTGTAGAAGTCTTGCTGAGGAGGCGACTTGTCGAGCAGCTTGAGATTATTATGGATTTTTACAGTAAGAGAAAATTGTAGGTAATAGCCTAATATGGTCTAATCTCAACTTTACCAGTCCCTGCCTCCATAAGAGTATAATAGTTTATGTGATGGCTTGAATGCCAGATGACCAGGTCCAGTGTGTGTGAGGGTGTGGTGAGTGAACTTGTTGGTATGTCTAGAGAACTTGGTCAGTTGTATCAGATAGACCTTTTAGGGTTATGAGGAAGAGATGTTAACTTCAGGAATGGGCCTTTGAGTGTACAATAGTGTAGGATAGTGTCTGTTTATTAATTGTGCATTCACTCTGGGTCCTCTTCCTTCCTAGACTAGGAGTTAGAGTACTCTTGGTGGAGAGAGCTTAGAATCACTTGGAAAACTGTGTAAACTCTAGTGACCTGCCCTCTCTGTGCCATAGTGTTTGTGAGAGGGTCTTTTTGGATAGTTTGCTAACATTCCTGTGTAGTTGCCCTTGTTGAGCCAAGTTTGACCCTAGGTGTCCAGTCAGTCTATGGCATCCTTTGCTGGGACACCAATAGCTGGTTCAGCCTGGCACAATCAGAATATTAGGGTTGTCTTCACTGATAGACACTGGCAACTTTATGCTGGAAGAACTTCTTGGGACACTTTTCCTGGGGAGGGGATGGTAGATTGTAGGTGGTTTGTAGCAGGTACTAAGGACCTTCAAGACTTCACCAGAATGCCAACATGTGGTTGTAAGAAGGGTTATGCTTGACGTGCCGAAAGGTTAGAATAAGATTGAAAACTAGCATTGGAGTAGGCTGTGGAGTAATAGAGCTTTGAAATCCTTTTTGAGGCTTTATGTGCTTTCAAAGAGGATGGCTTCTGGCAGTGGAGAGTAGTTTTTTCCATAAAACATTTACTTTGCAAATATATAACAAAAGACTGTTTCCACCTATATGACTGAAAAATGGAGCATTGACTATAAAACACATCCTGTTATATTTTCCTGATTTGAACACAAAAGACATGTATTGCTCATCTAACACTGTGTATTTAATATTTCCTGCGTATGAGTGAAACCTGTTAAACAAGGTGAAGAAAATCTATAAAAGGTTAAGATGTTTTTAAAAACAATTTTTGGGGCAGCGTTTTGAAGACCAGTGTGTTTACTCCTTGAGGATTTATTAATGTTTAATTGGCTCTTTCGTGTTTATAGTGCTCTGCTGCAAACACCTTTTTTGATTTTACCAGTAGCTGCACTGCCATTTCTTTATACTAGAAGAGCTAGAAGATTTGCTGCCAGGGCCAGCATTGTGCATGTCGTACTTTCATGCATGTATTATTATTTTAAAAAATCCTGTGTCTGTGGGAGCAGGTCAGCTACATTTCTGATACACGTATGTTTTAGCCCTGGCTTCAACAAGGAGCAGCATGTTGTGATGTAAAGAACTTTGATTTTGGAGCCAGAAAGCCCAAGTTAGCATTTTGGCTCCACCACTTGTTAGCTTTGTTGCCTTGAATAAGACAACCTCTCTTTATTTCAATTCCATTACCTGCTTTACAGGATTGTTGAAAGGATCAAGTATGTTAATGTATATACTAGTACTTTTTAGCTGAACAGAGAAAATTTATGTTTAGATTCTATCCATCTCATTGATTCTTTCTATTAAAGACAGATGATCCTGGCACACTTTTGCTTAAATTTTATTTCAGTGTTCTGTGTTTGGCAATTTGGACTTGGCCTGTAATATCTTCTGTTGCTGAACCCTTTCTTCTCTTCATCGCTCTTCCATACCATCTGTAGCTATGATTGTCTGTAGTTGTCACCAGAGACTTTGTTGCTCTTTAAATAGTATATTGTATGTTACAAAATACATAATTTCTACCTACCAATTTTCTGATCTTATGGTCTATTTTCATATCTTATGGTCATGAGCTAAAAATTAATGTTTGCTTATTGGGGAGGGGCATGATAGCAGCAGGCTGGAGACCTTCAGGTGAGGCTTTGATTTCAGTGATAGGTGAGGATTGAATTCATGAATGGCTTGCAAATATTGTGGGACTGGCCTTGTACCTCAATCAGTTTGTGTAACATTTTAGAATGTAGTAGCTTTTCTCCATTGTCATTTGAATTTTGATGAATAATGATTTATTTTTCTGTCTTTAAAAAGGGTTTTTTTTTTTCCTGAGATAGAGTCTAGCTCTGTTGCCCAGGCTGGAGTGGGTTTTTTTTTTTTTTCTTTCTTTTTTTGAGATAGACTCTTGCTCTTGTCACCCAGGCTGGAGTGCAGTGGCGTGATCTCGGCTCACTGCAACCACCACCTCCTGGGTTTGAGTGATTCTCCTGCCTCAGCCTCCTAAGTGGCTGGGATTACAGGAGCCTGCCACTACGCCCAGCTAATTTTTTTTTTTTTTTTGTATTTTTTAGTAGACGTGGGGTTTCACCAGGTCTCGAACTCCTGACCTCAGGTGATCCACCCGCCTCGGCCTCCCAAAGTGCTGGGATTACAGGCGTGAACCACCGTGCCAGGCCAAAAAGAGTTTTTTTTTTTTTTTTTTGGAATGTACCTGTAAACCCAAAAGGACCTGAGGTAAGAAGTGGCAGTTTTATGGAGTACTTACATAGTAAAGAGGAATAATATTATAAAATATTATGGTTTTAAAATGCATGGCCTCCAGTAGTTTTTGTGGCTTATATTCAGAAGTTTGACTTAAAAAGAAATTCCAGAATTTCAAAAATTTGTTAGCCATAAGTATTTTGTGACTATGATGTTAATGAATTTGCACTCCCCCTGCTGGCTGACTTTTTAGGAAGACAGTGAGTTAGGAAAAGCAGAATCCTAATTCAGACCTGAGAATATCTGTCAAATTTTTTATTCTCTGTAGAAGTGGCTAAAGTTATAGGGGGTATCATTTTGAGTAAGAAATTGATTGCATTATGTCTTTCCTCATTTGGACTTGTTTGCAGTGATGTTTAGTGCCAAGGGGATATTCACTTAGTTTTTTTTTTTTTTTTTTTTAAGTAGGTTTAGATTTTAGTTAACACTATATACCATATATTTACTCTTCTCTGTTTGTGACGGCCACATCAGGTACCTTTTTCACCCAGTTTTTTTTTTTCAAACAGAACAACTTGTAATTTCTGTGCCTTTATTTGATCATTTATTCATTTATGGGATGTGGCTTAGTTTCTGTAAAGCACTGATAGGTGTTGAGGTGGATGTAGAAGGATGAGATATGGTACTCCATGAAGCCTTAAAGCTTCTCTGCTGGAAATCTGTACCATATGCCAGTGAAATGTTAAATAAAAATGAGAGCAATGTCTAGTTAAATAGCATAAGGCCGGGCGTGGTGGCTCACACTTGTAATCCTAGCACTTGGGAGTCCCAGGCGGGCAAATCACTTGGCAAGGAGTTCAAGACCAGCCTGGCCAACATGGTGAAACCCTGTTTTTACTAAAAATAAAAAAATTAGCCAGGCATGGTGGCACACTCTTATAATCTAAGCTACTTGGGAGGCTGAGGCATGAGAATTGCTTGAGCCTGGGAGGTGGAGGTTGCAGTGAGCCAAGATCGTGCCACTGCACTCCTGCCTGGGCGACAGAGCTAGGCTGTGTCTCAAAAAATAAAAATAAAAAAATAGCATGATGAAAGTAAACAGTTTGATTTCAAAGATGAGAAAGGCTATCATAGTGTTGTAGATAAAGTGGGTATCAAGAGTGACTAGAAAAGGACACTGAAGAAATGATGTGGTCTAGGTAGACAGGAGCGGGGAGGAAAAGGACAGGCATTCCAGGCTGAGGGGACAACATGATAAAAAAGACGAGTAGGAAATTAGTGTAATTTATTAAGGGTACAGTGAAAAAAGAACTGTTTCAGGGGCTTTACGTACTTACTTGATTTGATCCCAGCATTAATCTTCTGGTGTGGTATGAGTGTCTACATTTCACAGGTGAAGAAAGTAAGACTTACAGGGGTTAAAACTATTATGAAATATTATGAAAGAATTATGAAACTTCTAGGTTTTCATCCTCCATATATCTGGCTGCAAATAAGTCTGTGCTCCTCTAGCAATAACTTCAGAGAGAGTTGGTTAGTACCACAGAGCCTTATGTATTATGATGTGTGGTTTTCACACTCCAAAATTTACTTAGAAATACTTCTTTTTAAGCATTACATATGGATAACTGGAGCTTTATTCTAATATTTCACTGTTTTTAGAGCCTTGTAAGCTTATTGAACTATTTCAAGTAGAAATAGAAAATATGTTGTATGTGTTTTGCTGCTCTGCATCATAAGCATTTTCTTATAATCTTTCCCAGTGTTGTCACTGATGCAAATGGAATAATTGATTCATAACATTCTTTCTTATTAAGTTGGGCTATGACTTCAGAATTATTTTTTAAAAATGTGCTCAAAGAGGAAATAGCCTAAGAAAATTTTATTTTTTAAGTTATGTTTTGATTTCTGTTTACTTTTTTATATGTTTACTTTTTATTGAATTTTTTAATGTTAAAAAATTTAATTTTTAAGTTATATTTTGATTTTTGTTGTTTTTTAACCATATGTTTACTTTTTATTGAATTTATTAATATTGCAAAGTTCTTGCACTGCCAAACCATGCCTAAGAATTCAAAGAAAGAAATGGTACAGTAGACGGCCTCATTCACCCATCATACAGTATCTTAAAACTTGATTCATGTACATTTTGATATTTTCATAGTCTTTTAAGAAGTTATAACGAGTTGGAATTTAAATCTGCTGCAGGGGCTGAGCACAGTGGCTCATGGCTATAATCCCAGCACCTTGGGAGGCTGAGGCTGGAGGATTGCTTGAGCCCAGGAGTTGAGACCTGGGTGACATAGTGAGACCCTATCTTTCCAAAAAAAAAAAAAAGAAAAAGCAGGCATGGTGGTGCTTGCCTATAGGCTCAGCTACTCAGGAGGTTGAGGTGGGCGGGCTCACTTGAGCTCACTCAGGAGGCTTGAGCTGGGGAGGTCAAGGCTGCAATGAGCTGTGATCGTGCCACAACACTCCAGCCTGGGTGACAGAGCGAGATCCTGTCTCTAAAAAAAACAAAACAAAACAAAAAAAAAACAAAGTGCCCTGGGCCTTCAGATGTCTAGCATAGTATGGTATTACAGAACATCTCCACGTATTCATGTCAGTTCATTCCTCAATAACATAACCCCTAACAAAATTTTGCTGGGAAAAAAAAATGGGTATTTTCCAGGGAAAATATTTGGGCCAACTTCCAACTGATTATTTGTTAACGTTTTTTTTTTTCTCAGATGAAGCCTTGTCTAACTAAAAATCCCCTATTTCTTATTTAATCACCCAGCCTCCCCTTGGCTTGCTCAGCTACTCACCCAAATCCATCAGAAGGCAGGCATCGAGTAATGGCAACACTATTGCTGTGGTTGGCAGGTCTTGTCAGGAGATACTGTAACCTTCCTAGGAGTCTGATTCCTGCGCTGACACTTTGATCAAGACTGAACTCCAATAGGAGAATGCTCCCACATCAGGATAAGTTTATTCACCTATTTGCTTTATTTACTCTTGCCAGAGGCAAGTCTGCAACTCCCTGCATTTGGCAAAGGGATTTATTAGAAGGAAACCCACATTCCACATCAAGTGGTCACATACCACTTTGAAATATTTCTATTGAATCAGATACAAAACTAGTAAATTGCCAGACTGTCTCATTAGGTGGAAAGAAACTTCTGTAATCCTGGGTAGGTTCCTCAAGTCCCTTTTAAGGACCAAAAACCGCAATTACTTTTGCACCAACCTACAGGTAGTTTAAACTGTAATTATTAAAAACAGAAGTGCTACATCACTTGTCTTTCACCCTGACTCTTCAAATGACAATAAAGACACACCAAAAGGTTGATAATAGAACTAGTGATTTCTTTGATTTTTAATGATGACCTGTTTTAGTGTTATTGCTTAACAGTTTTAGGTTTCACAGGTTTTTTTTTTTTTCTTTTTCAGTTTAACCAAAATGGTTTCTGAAACATATTTTCAAATGGGTAAGCAGTCATGGCTTTGATTATAGTATCCACTTAATTAGGACCAGGCAGTCAGTCATCTGTTCTGGGAGACAAACCAGTCCAGGACAAGTAGCGTTTGGACAATATGCCAAATCCTGTCACATCACATTGTTGCTCTAAAATGGGTGGATGGATTGGGTTGATGGCATACGCTAAGCTCCATGAGGGCAGGGATTGTGGCTGGACTAAGTCTAGTGGCAATTAAATAGAGCTCAAATTAAATAGAGCTTTTGCTTTGAGGTCTGAATCCATCTCCATGATTTGTCACTAGACTAGTGACAAACAGTGGCTGGGATAGCATATGTTGTTTAGACAGCTTTTGCTTGTTCTAAAAGTTTGAATGTGAATTGGGGTTTGCAACTCAAAATTTGTGTTTAATATTTGCACCTTATGTTTAATGAACATAAAGTTTGTGTAGGCCATGTGAAAATCAGAGACTGTATATTTGGCTGAATTGCTCTGTAATACATATATTTTATTTGGGAGCTCTCTGTATTACCGAGGACCAGGATAGAGACTCTTACTGTTTCTGACCTGATCATTTAAGGGCAGGTTTTTGCCAGGTTATGAGACTGATGCATCATGCCTTGACCAGTTAAGATTAGTGACAATTTAAATTTTCTGCTTTTGATTTAAGTAAAAATTCAAATTAAATAGAGCTTTTGCTTTGAGGGCTGAATCCATCTCCATAATTTCTTTCTACATGCACATGTGTAGACAATTTCCCTTTATCTGTTCTTACAGATAAACTTCTCCATAATTGCACACTTATCTGGGGATCTGAGATAAGCAAAATGATGGTTTCTTAATTAAATATGAGTACTGTGCAGTAGTAACCATAATTCTAAATGAGGATTATGGATTTTTCTGGAAGATTCTTTTTTCCTGTGGAACATGATGAGAAATGTTTAGGAGAGGGGACATAGCCATTTTTGTATGAAGACCAATTCAAGAAAAAAATATATGTATGTGTGTGGGTGTATATGTGTGTATATATGTATATATGTGTGTATGTTCATATGTTTATGTATGTTTATATATGTGGTTATACACACACACACACACACACACACACACACACATGCACACATACACGCACACTCTCACTCTATATTTATTCTTTGGTATTCCTGGGGGATTGATTCCAGAACCTCCTGTAGATACCAAATCCGAGGATGCTCAAGTCCCTGATGTAAATAGCTTAATATGGCTGGGCGTGGTGGCTCACATCTGTAATCCCAGCACTTTGGGAGGCCAAGGCGGGCAGATCACTTGAGGTCAGGAGTTTGAGACCAGCCTGGCCAATATGGTGAAACCATGTCTTTACTAAAACTACAAAATAGCTGGGCATGGTGGCGGGCACCTATAATCTCAGCTACTCAGGAGGCTGAGGCACGAGAATTGCTTGAACCTGGGAGGTGGAGGTTTCAGTGCGCCGATAGCGTGCCACTGCACTCCAGCCTGGGAGACTGGGTGACACTTCGTCTCAAAAAAAATAAAAAATAAAAACTTTAGTATTTCCATAAACTTGCGTACATCATCCTGTACGCTTTAAATCATCTCTAGATTGCTTATAATACCTCATACAATGTAAATGTTGTATAAATAGTTGTTGTATTGTTTTGTTTAGGGAATAATGACAAGAAAAAAGATCTGTACACGCTCAGTACAGGTGCAATTTCTTTTTCCGAATATTTTCAATCTACAGTTGGTTGAATCCATGGATGCAGAACCCACATTAAACAGAGAGCTGACTGTATGTAAAATATGGCACACACAGATACACACGCACACACTTGTCTCTTGAAATTATGCCTTTTAAACTCAGATCAAACAATATCTGTCATTGTACTTAAGCCTTATCTCTGAAGAATTTCCCTTTTTTGATGAAAAGTTAGAAACTACATATTTTACATGCATTGCAACATCTGTGACTTTGGGTTGGGGATGTGGTTTGAACAGTTTGGGTGGACAAAATAAATTGACTTCAGAGTTAAGTTGTAGACTCAGGACACGAAGGACAGTTGTGTTATAGCGTCACAGGTGCAGAGGAAGTCAGAGGCAAGGGAGTTGCCATTTGGAATGGAGAGCTGGGTTAAATAGGAGTAGGTCACAAAGAGTGTGGTCCGTAGGTAGGTTGCAAGTCGAACGGTAGGTGCAAAAGTGCAAAAACTTCTCTTTTCCAACTATGAAACTAGGAGTGGGGCTTTCACCCTTCAGTCTTCCTGCATCTTTAGCTGCTTTACTTAATTTCTGGTCTGTGTGCCCTAATGCCATATCTCTGGTGGCAACTCCTATCTTTTTGCCCCTCACTGCTGTAGAGATGGAGGTCTCACTATATTGTCCCGGCTGGTCTCAAATTCTTGGCCTTAAACTATCCTTCTGCCTCCTCCTCCGCCTCCCAAACTGCTAGATGTGAGCTGCCCCAGGCTCTGTAGTGGCAACTCCTACCTTAACCTGGAGATAGTAGGAGCTCTGTTTGTCCCAGGTGGATAGTAGGAGAGTTGATTGGAATTGTTCAGCTAAAGGGAAGCTTTTTAAAAAAAGTATGTTAGAATGGGATTAGGTGAGATTATCATTCTTTTATTTTCCAGTCTTTTTTGTTTCTTCCTGAAATTAGATTTGAGGGTGGTATTGTGAAGTTAGGTGGTTTGGTCTATATATAGTTTGCCCAATGTTGTTATATGATGTGGTATTTGAGAGAACTCTAAATTATCTTGATAACCCCCACTTCTTTTTTTCTTAGATGATTAATAAGAATAGAATTAAATTAAAAGACAGCTTTTTAATTTTAAAGACATTATTAGACTGTCCAAACATGTCTGAATTCTTAGAATTAAAGGGAAGTTTGAAATTAAAATATTGGCTTATCCAGAAAGTAGTCATGTTAAGGCTGTTTTGTTGACTGCTTGATTAAAAATTAGGTTACCCAGTGGTTTTCACAGGACACTCCCAAAGATTGTTGAAAAAGACATTTTGAGTGTAGAAGTATCTGAGATACTGGTGCACTGTACTTGGTGTAGTGTATTATCCAGTGACCTTTGAATTTTCTGTGTCACTTAAAGAAAAGAGGTTCTTATTTTTACTTCAATCACTGTAAATGTCAGTGAGAGATAGCTCTGTGGTCACTGACTTTCAACAGTGGTAAGGTCAGGTAAGAACTTCACGAAGCCTTTTAGGAATTTGTCTGTAAAGGGCACTGTGTTGTCATGAAACATACGGACTGCTTTACTAAGGACCTGGGATGCTCACACAGAAGGCAACTCCATTTGTGGAGAAGGCTTATTTTGTCTGAATTGTTTAATGTCTTGTCTCAGACAGATGATGACTCAAAGTCAAATGTTCACCTTTAGGGGACCCAAAAGGATACAAAAGAGAATGCATAGTAATGATTGGCCTATAGGCGGTTGAGTGGCAAAGCTAGTTTAAAGAAGAAAAATCCTTCCTATCTTTTTTTGTAGTTCTGTAAGCATTATTTGAAGAAACTTGGATTTCCCTGTGTGCTTTAAAGTGAAGTGCATGTTGTGCAGTAAAGAAGCAGATCTAACCTCATTGTGGAACTTGCTTGCTGTGGTGAATCACAGAAGGAATGATGTGAAGGCAACATTTATATTTTCGTGCGTGAAAAATTCATATGAATCACAGACAGAAACTCAGAAGTGGCCATGTCACTCTGGTTTCTCTGTTAAGGAGCTGTGGTCCTAAGCTTGCTGCTGACAGGTAGCGAATTAGAAATACATCTTCAAATTACCAATTTTTCTGCTGCATCTGCTGCATTTTAGACTAGTAAAGGGAAGGAGCAGACCAATGATTATGCCCTTTCCTCTCTGTGGCACCCCTATTTAAGGAAAGGGGATTTGAGGTTGTTGTATGGGTCCTTAATGTGGGTTTAAAAATTTTTCATTCCACATTAGTGGTACTTGTCCAATTTTTTTTGATCAGCTAATGAAATATAATAACTGTTTGCATATTTTACTGCCTATTCGCCATAGTTACCTAAACTAGTGGCATTGCTAGAAAATGTTGAGAATTGTCACAATAAGAACCAGTACTCAGTCTTTGATAAAGTTCCCAAAGTATGCTTTGTAGGAGGGACTAATTGTCCATTGTGACATGAACCTGAATATTAGAGATAGTGTACTATAGTGAAAAAGTACTTTGGGTGAAAGACTGGATTCTTGCCTTGGCTTTCTTACTTGAGTATATGATTTAATATTTTTGACCGAGAGTTGCTATTATACCAGGGGACAATAACTTCCTCCTTTTTTCTTTTTGTTTCACATTTAAACAGGGTGGTTGTTAAGACCAGTGAGAGATAAATAAGCTAATGTAAATGTTGACACCTGCTACTTGAAAGTTAAGAATGATGTTAATTGTTAAATTTTTCTTAGATGTCTTTACTAGATTGAAATTTCCTTTAATTCTTAATTTGATGAGTTTTTTCCTTCATAAATGTGTATTGACATGTGTCAAATGCTTTTACTGCATCTTTTGAAATGATGATATGGTTTTTCTTCTTTATTCTGTTAATGGGGCATTCCCTGCCCTGTAGGAGTGATAGTTGAATAGAAAGAAAAACAAAGAAATGGTAATATCTGTTGTGATTGAGGGTTACAAAAGATGCAGTGGGAGTGTAGAGAGAGGAGTAATGAAATCAACCTGATAAAGTTAGGAAAACTTTCAGAGAAACTGGAACAAGATGGAGCTTTGGCATTTGTGATAGAGGGAGGGAGGGGAGTGGTATATCTTGGGCAGAGGACATGGCCATTGTAGTGGGAATATGGGGTACATAGTGGAGGGTACTACCTAGAGATGTGACTGTAGCGCGGGGCTGGGGTTGTGAAAGGAGCATTACATGCTGTGTTAAGGTTTCTGTCTTGTATGTGGTTATAGGAAGCCAAAAACCAAGCCAAAGAGTTTTGAGAAAGTGAGGAATGTGATGAGATTTTTGTGAAAGATCTCTCCTGCAGTATTATGGTGTGGGTGTTGATGAGTTGTTTTAACAACCTTACATTCCTGTGATAAACGTCACTTGGTCATGATGAATCATTTTTAAATATATTACTAGACTCCATTTGTTAGTGCAGTATTTTGTTAAAGATTTTTGCATACGTGCTCATGTTTTCTTTGTCACAATTTGATATGAGGTGTTATGCTTGCCTCAAAATCAGTTGTTAAATATTCGTCTATTTTTCTGGAAGTGTTCAATTGATGTTAGTTATTCCTTAAATGTTTGAGAGAATTTGCCATTTGAACCTGTGGTTTGGTTTGTGTGAATATTCGCATTTGATAACAAATTCAGTTAGTAGAGTTAGGGCTATTAGGATTTTTTAGTCTATAGTATGTCAATTTTGATAAGTTATATTTCTCATGGAATATGTCCATTTTGCCTAAGTTGTCAGATTTTTTTGGCATAAAGTTCATTGTATCGTTCATTTAATAATATATGTATGGTCTGTAGTGATTTTGTCTTTATTTATTTATTTTTTGAGATGGAGTCTCGCTCTATCATCCAGGCTGGAGTGCAGTGGCACGATCTTGGCTCACTGCTGCAACCTCCACCTCCCGAGTTCAAGTGATTCTCCTACCTCAGCCTCCCGAGTAGCTGGGATTACAGGCGCACCACGCCTGGCTAGTTTCTGTATTTTTAGTAGAGATGGGGTTTCACCATGTTGGCCAGGCTGGTCTCGAACTCCTGACCTCAGGTGATCCACGTACCTGGGCCCCCAAAGTGCTGGGATTACAGGCGTCAGCCACCGTGCCTGGCCGTTATTTTGTCTTTCATTCATGATATTGGTTAATCTGTATTTATCAAGTTTGTTAATTTTTTTTTTTTTTTGAGATAGGGTCTTGCTGTCACCCAGGCTTAAGTGCAGTGATGTGGTCATAGCTCACTGTAACCTCCAACTCCTGGGCTCAGGCAATCCTCACACCTCACACTCCTGAGTAGCTGGGACTACAGGCGCACACCATTGTGCCTGGCTATTAAAAAAATTTTTTTTTGTAGAGTTGGGGGTCTCACTTTGTTGCCCAGGCTGGCCTCGAACTCCTGGCCTCTAGTGATTCTCCTGCCTTGCCTCACAAAGTGCTGGTATTATAGATGTGAGCTACTGCACCCAGTCTTGATTTTGTTAATCTTAAAAAAAAAAAAAATTAACTCTTGCCTTTGTTCATTTTCTCTATTGTTTTTGTTTGCCCTGATGTTTGCTTTTATTTTTCTTTCTTTCCTTCTATGTTGGGTTTAATTTGGTCTTTTTCTAGTGTCTTGAGCCAGAATCTTGGGAGATTTTATAACTTTCTTCTTTTCAGATATTGGCATTTAAAGCTATACATTTTTCTCTCAGTACTGCTTTAGTTGAATTCCACAAATTTCGGTACGTTGTGTTTTTATTTTGATTAAATTCAAAGCATTTTCTGATTTCATTTGTGATTTTTTTCTTTGAAGTGTGTTGTTATTTAGAAGTGTGTTGTTAGCTGGGTGTGGTGGCACACGCCTGTAGTCCCAGCTGTTTGTGAGCCCGATGTGGGAGGATTGCTTGAGCCTACAGTGAGCTGTGATTGTGCCATTGTACCCCAGCCTGGGCGACAGAGCGAGACTGTCTCAAAAAAAAAAAAAAAAAAAAAAAAAAAGGGCGGGCACAGTGGTTCATGCCTGTAATCCCAGCACTTTGGGAGGCCGAGGCAGGTGGATCACCTAAGGTCAGAAGTTCGAGACCAGCCTGGCCAACGTGGTGAAACCCCGCCTCTACTAAAAATACAAAAATTAGCCAGGCATGGTGGCACGCGCCAATCCCAGCTACTTGGGAAGCTGAGGCAGGAGAATTGCTTGAACATGGGAGGTGGAGGTTGCAGTGAGCCAAGATAGCACCATTGCACTCCAGCCTTGGCGACAGAGCAAGGCTCTGTCTCAGAAAAAAAAAAAAAAAAAAGAGCACTTAACATGACCTTCCACTGTCTTTTGGCCTTAGTTATTTTTTTAACTAAGAAATTAGTAATTCTTTTGTGAATGAATGAGACAGGGTCTTGTTCTATTGCTCAGGCTAGAGGGCAGTGGTGCGATTATAGCTCACTGCAGCCTCAAACCCCTGGGCTTCAGTGATCTGCTTCAGCCTCACAAATAGCTGGGATTACAGGTGTGCACCACCACTCCTCGCTATAAATCAGTAATTCTTATGATTGTTTTCTTATATGATTTGTCATTTTTCTCTGTTTTAGCAGTTTTGTCTTTTTCGTTGTTGACCATTTGACTATGATGTGCTTAAGTGTTTTTCCTTGTATTTTGTCCTGCTTATGTTTCATTGATCTCCTAGAACCTGTAAATTTCCATCTTGTACTCCGTTTGGGAAAATTTTGGTCATTATTTCTCCAAATATTTTTCTCTGCCCCATTCTCTCTTAGTTCTGATTATAGAATTCCAATTATACCTATTACATGTAGGTTTAGACCTTTGATGTTGTAATACACAGTACTCTTCAGTTTTCTTATTTTTTCCCTCTGTGTTGTTCAGATTGAATAGTATCTATTCTAAGTTTACTGACTCTTCCTGTCATCTTTATTTTGTATCCAGTGAATGTTCTTATTTTGGTTATTGTAATTTTTGGTCCAGAATTTGTGTTCTTTTATGGTTTCTGTTTCTTTGCTGAAATTTCCTATTCATTTATTAAGAGACTATTTTACTCTTTAATCCTTGAGCATAGTTATAGTAGCTGCTTTAAAATTCTTGTCTACAAAGAAAGACTGGGGAACTGTCTCAGACTGGTGGAGACTGAGAATATGTAGCAACTAAATGCAGTGTGGCATCTTGGATTGGATCCTGGGCCAGAATAAAGATATTGGTGGATTGATTGGCAGAATTTACATAAGGTTTATAAATTCCTTGATAGTATTGTATCAACATTAATTTCTTGGTTTCTATAGCCATATTAGGGTTATTTAAGATACTAACATTAGAGAAAACCAAGTGAAGGTAGCTTAAAAAAATCCTTCTCTAATTACACATTCAGGTTATCATAGTGTTGGTCTGCATAGATCACCTTTTCTCTTTGAGTATGGGTCATGTTTTCCTGTTTCTTTAAATGTCTAGTAATTTTGAAATGCATCCTAGACATTGTGGACAATTTATTATAGAAATACTGGTTTCTGTTGTATACCTCCAAATAATATTAATTTTTGTTTTAGCAGGCATTTCACTTGAATGGTCTCAAAATTGAAACCATCTTTCCCACCACCATCAGCAGCTAAATTCTTTATTCAGTTTTTAGTCTTACCTGGGCTGCTGTAGTCTATCCCATGCATGTATATTTCATGGATCAGCTGGAGATTTGGGCCAAGTTTATAGGTAGATTTGAACCTCTCCATTTCTGGCTTTCTCCTTTTCTTGATTTCCCCCTCCACTTTCCACCTGATAGAATCACTCTGAACTCTGTCATCTGGTTCTTCATCTCAGTAAGACAGTAGTTTCTATCTGGATTCTATTACCTAACGTGGCTTACGTAGGCCTTCCCTCAGGCAAAAAGCCATTTAGAAAAACAAAAGGAAACTTTCTCAATGCAATTCCCATTTTCCGGTGCAGACTCACAGTTTCTGCCTGGTTTTGATTGCTGTTCAGCGCCTTCAGGTAGTTACTTTTTATGTTTTGTCCAGAGTTTATGGTTTTTACGTATGGAACAGTGGGGCCAGTAGGAACATATTCAGTTCCACTTCTAGTAATCTTAGGAAGTATCTCCTGGAAGTGGAACTTGTTTTTTGTTAACCTTTTTTTGTTGAAATATATCATACACACCCGCAGTAGGGAAATAGAATATTACCAAAACCTCAGAAACCCCTTTCATTTCTCTTCATGTCCCTTCTCAGTCATTACTCCCACTTGCCTCTCCAGAGTACCACTCTCCTACTCTGGCACCATAGATTAGTTTTGCTTGTTACTGAAATTTACGTAAATGATATCATTCATAGGTTTTGCTTTTTGTTTGGCTTTCATCTTTGTGTTTATGAGGTTATTCTATGTTGCATGTAATTTGTTCATTCTCATTGCTGGGAAGTATTTCATTGTGTGAATTTACTGTGATTAGTTTATCCCTTCTACTGTTGATGGGCATTTGGATTACTTTCAGTCTGGAGCTATTCCACAAAGTACTGCTTAAACATTCTTTTACGTGTCTTTTGGTATACATGTGTATGCATTTCTGCAACCTTAGTACATGCTGCCAAACAGTTGGCTAATGTGGCAGAACTTAATTGTTTCATTGCATTAACAAACATTGAGTTTTTAGCTTTTAGAAAATTGGGGCCAGGTGTGGTGGCTCACGCCTGTAATCCCAGCACTTTGGGAGGCCGAGGTGGGTGGATCACGAGGTCAGGAGATCGAGACCATCTTGGCTAACACGGTGAAACACCTTCTCTACTTAAAAACAAAAAAAACCCCCCAAAAAATTAGCCAGGCGCGGTGGCGGGTGCCTGTAGTACCAGCTACTTGGGAGGCTGAGGCAGGAGAATGGTGTGAACCCGGGAGGCGAAGCTTGCGGTGAGCCGAGATCACGCCACTGCATTCAGCCTGGGTGACAGAGCGAGACTCCGTCTCAAAAAAAAAGAAAGAAAATTGGAACCTAAGGAGTTAATGCAGACACAATTAATCATTCTTTCTGTGTGCTACCCCCTAGGGTTTGGTCAATAAATCGGTATTTTTATAATAGAAGGTAAACACAGCCCTAATTCATACATAATCACTTGTTTGCTTGCTTGCTAGAGCCTGTCGAATTTTATTGGGATCATTTATGCGGTTGTGATTCTTGGATCTATCGTTGAGAGTTGTATGAGGTATTTTATATAGTTTTATCCGTCACATAAGTTCTTGCTGACAGTAGTGGACTTAACAGATTGATGGTCCAGGGATATGTAAATTGTCTGTTGACCTAATTTTTAGAAGAAAAGCAGAATAGTGAAGGTCAGCTGGAAGATGGAAAATGATAACAAATTGATCTTCTTAGGGAGCATGTACAATATAAGGTGTGATGTTTTGTAACACAGTAGTTTTTCTCAGATTGGCACACTTTTCTGGAAAGTGCTATATTTTAGCCTTTGTGGGCCACAAGCTCTCTGTTGCAGCTACTCACCCCTACATTGTGAACACAAAAGCAGTTTGTCATAGGTAATACATAAACGAATAAGGAATAAATGTGACTGTGTCCCAGAAAAACTTTACACTGAAATTCGAATTTCGTATAATTTTCACGTCTCAGAATAACATATTTTTTTTAACCACTTGAAAATGTGGAAACCATTTGTATTCATCTGCCAGGGCTACTGTAACAAAGTGTTGCAAACTAGATGTCTTAAGCAACAGAAATTTATTGTCTCATGATTCTTTCTGAAGGCTGTAAGTCTGAAATCAAGGTTTGTTGGCAGGGTTTGTTCCTCTTCAGGCAGTGAAGGAAGGATGTTTTCCAGGACCTTCTTCTTGGTTTGTAGATGGCCATCTTCTCCCTGTGTGTTCACATCATCTTTCCTCTGTATGTATCTGTCTCTGTGTACTAATTTCCCTTTTTGGCCGGACGTGGTGGCTCACGCCTGTAATCCCAGCACTTTGGGAGGCCAAAGCAGGCGGATCACCTGAGGTCGGGAGTTCGAGAACAGCCTGATCAACACGGAGAAACCTCGCGTCTATTAAAACTACAAAATTAGCTGGGTGTGGTGGCGCATGCCTGTAATCCCAGCTACTCAGGAGGCTGAGGCAGGAGAATCACTTGAACCCGGGAGGTGAGGTTGCAGTGAGCCGAGATCGTGCCATTGCACTCCAGCCTGGGCAACAAGAGTGAAACTCCGTCTCAAAAAAAAAAAAAAAAAAAAAAATTCCCTTTTTTACAAGGACACCAGTCATATTGGATTAGGGCCCACCCTAATGATCTCATTTTAACTTGATTGCCTCTGTAAGACCCCATGTCCAAATAAGGTCACATCTGAAGTATTGCAGGTTAGGTCTCCAACATATCTTGTTTTTGTTGCCAGGGGTTTAGGGTAGGGGAGGGACACAATTCAACCCATAATACCATTCTTTCTTTTTCGTTTTTGTAGAGATGAAGGTCTCGTTTTGTTGCCCAGGCTGGTCTCAAACTCTGGACTCAAGCAGTCCTCTCGCCTCAGCCTCCCAAAGTGCTGGTATTACAGGTGTGAGCTACTGTGCCTGGCTCTGTAACACCATTCTTAGCTGTGGGGCTGAAAAATATGGCTAAAGGGCTAGACTTTATCAGCTGGCTGCACTTTGTCAGCCCTTGGCTTATCTGATTGTAGGAGAGATGATACCTGTAAATCTTACAAAGGCCTGTGTAGATGTATCTTTGAATGAGATGGCTAATCTTGTGTACCTTTCAAATACACCAGAAGAACAATAATCATTTTCATTTTTGAATGTGAAGGACAGCAGTTTATACTGATGTACCTGAGTATAGGATTATGTCTTCTCAGACATTTAGAATTCAGGTTCAAATACCATTTTTGTGTTATTTTTAATTTTAAAAATAATAGACTCACCCTGGCCCCCCAATTGGAGATATTTTTGGGAGTGGATTGGAGTTGCAATGTAATAAAAGAAGGCTTGGAAAGTGATTTGAAATAGTTGTCCAGCATTTTGTAGAGATGCTTTTAAGGATTTTATAAACATTTGATGAAAGTGTTATTTTAGATGTTATTCAAAAAATAAACTTAATTTTAGTACATGATTACCAATAATGCATTAGTTGTTGCTGTTCTGTTAATTCATTTTTGTGAAGATCTTAAAAGTAAATGATTTTTTTTTTTGGCCTGCTCTACTTAAAGAGCATCCCAGAACTCTGAGGTGAACTGTTTAAAATAAAGATAAATCTGTTATCAGCAACTTATGTTCATGAACAAGATTTTCTTCGTTGTCATCTATATATTAGTTCTTGTTTATGTAATAGTTAATTTCTGTATTTTTTTTTTTTTTTAAATAGAGATGAAGTCTCATTGTGTTGTCAGGCTGGTCTTGCTATGTTGCCCAGGCTGGAGTGCAGTGGGGCAATCACAGTTCACTGCAGCCTTGACCTCTTTCGCTCAAGTGATCCTCCCGCCTCAGCCTCACAGGTAGCTGGGACTTCAGGCATGCACAACCATGCCTGGTTAATTTTTGATTTTTTTTTTTTTTTATTGGTAAAGATGAAATCTTACTATGTTGCCCAGGCTGGTCTCAAACTTCTGGGCTCAAGTGATTTTCTCTCCTTGGCCTCCCAAAGTGTGGAGATTACAGGCCCAGCAGTAATTTGCTTTATAATATGTGAATGTTTTATATTTGAACTTAGGAGATATATTTACCCTAAAATCACTTTTTTTTCTATTTTATATTCACGTTCTTTGCAAGGTTTAATTTGAAAGAAAGTTTTACTGTTTGAAAATTTGGAAAATTGCTGATTCAGTATATGTAACAAATTGGAAAAGGTGAAGCAGGAAATAAAGGAAATTGGTTATTTTAAATTGAGTTAATATTCTGATGGGGAGGGCACAGCAGAAATGAAATCAGTTCAAATTTCTGTTCCAAGTTTTGTTTTCATTTCTTTGACAACTTTTAGAATCCCGTAGGCATTGATTTGTTTCTGCCTTCAACTTCAGTAGATACAACTTAATTATTTCCTGTTAAGTAGAGTTACTGGTAGCTCCTGAAAAGGTGAGAGAACTTCTTACCTACGTGTTAGTGGTAAGTGAAGTCATCTCAGTCAGCATTACGGCAAAGCAGGTAAGTCTAAAAAGGCTTTAAAGTAAAGGTACTGCTTGACTGCCAATAAAATATAGAAGAAAATAGAGAAAAGAAAGAGCCCCTACTGTTGTAAAGGCTGTATATTTGGAATATGTTCTCATTGTAGGAGTTCTTGTATATATTCATGTAGTTGAAATGATCAGAGGTAATGAGATAGTTAATTTTATCTCTGGTCAGTCTTTCATATCAATTCGTACTCTAAGAATTTGTAAAGAATGGCTGACATGGTGTGTGTCTTAGTCTGTTTGAAAGGCAGGGGACATTTTGGAGTGTGGTTGAAAGAGCAGTAAGCCTCTTTTGCATATATTGATAGGAAAATAATGTTTATAACCATGACCCTTTTGGCTTGGGACACTCATCTCATGATCTTTTTGCCTGTGAGATTAAAATACACGTACATATACCTTGGCTAATTGAGGTTATTTTCGATGTTTAGTTGTTTTTATGCTATTAAATTCCTTTGCTTTGAAGATATTCTTTGTCCACTGTGGAGACTCTGGAAATGCATCAATTAGTTCTATGCCTGCAACAATCATTTCCTTGAGTGACACACAGATCCTAGGTTTTAATCTTTGTGTATTTATGCAAGTACTTTATGTATATGAAAGGAGGGCTGGAGGGTTTTGTATAGGTCTTTAATTACACACACGTGCATGCGACATTTTTAAAATTTATTTCACCAGTGGGAATCAATAAAGTGGGTGATTTATTGTTTATCCTGATTATGGACAAATCATACCACTTCTTTCTTGGGAGCATTGTTTTGTTGGTATTTCTTCCACACTTGTGAGGGAAAAAAAGTCCTTAGTGCAGCATTGTCATTTCTTATCCTGTACATATTTAATATGAACCTCAGATTATCATGGAAATTGATTGTTTCCTTGGTAGCTGGTTGTGGAGTGTTTTTGTTTTTGTTTTTGTTTTTTAATTTTTCCCTGTAAAGAATTGAAGGGTATCAGAGAAAAAAGCAGGAGTCCAGACGAGATAATGGTGGCTTGGATTACAGTAGTAATAGAGGAGATGGTGAGAAGTAGTCAGTTTGGGGCTATGTTTTTGCAAGCCTTGTGATAGACTGGATGTGAGGTGAAAGAAGAGGAGTCAGAGATAATGCTTAGGTTTCTAGTTTAGCACTGAGCAATCCAGTGGATGATGGTTTCACTTACTGAGGTGGGAGGATCTACTGTGTAAACATAATTTGTTAAGAACTTTACATGCTTGATATTGCTTACTTGTGGCAGGGCTGGGATTCAAACCCAGGGAGGCTCACAACAAAGCTAGTGTTCCAAACACTACAAAGTACTATGTATTAATAGCTTCTTCTGGGAACTACTGATATTGAGAGGAGATGCGGAGAGAGAATGAAGCAAGAGCCAAACCAGACAAAGTCTTGGTCAAGCTAAGAAGTCCGAGTTTTATTTTAAGTGAAGCAGACGCTGGAAGGTTTTAAGCAGGGAATGACTTAATCAGACTTACACAATGCAAAAAGATCAATCTGGCTGCTTTCGTGGAGAACAGATTTTAGAAATGAGGTAGGAACAACAGCTGTATCAGTCCAGGCAGGAGATGATGGTGGCTAGATGGTTGGTGACAGCAGTAGTTGGAGAGAAGTAGGCAGATTGGAAACAAATTTGCAATACAGTGAGAGTTGTGTGGGAACTCGTACAAATGTGGACAGCCTGTGACACTGGAGGGAAAGTATGATCCGATCCAATCCAATCCCTATTTGATTTATGGAGGTTCTCCACACAGTCATTAGCTCAGCTTGAGTCACTCCAGGAGCTCACTGCCATTACTATCCGTGGGACAGTGGGAGAGACAGATTGAGGGCAGATCACTGGAGTGATGAAGGGGGCTTGATGCAGCACTATGTGTGAGCCCTATCCTGAATGAGTTTGGACAGACAGAGGCAAGCCGAGGTCAGGCCTTGAACGCCCTGCTGAGTAGAGGGTTGTGTTGTAGGCTCCCCAGCGCTTGATGTAGCTCTGAGAGGTGAGGCAGGGCTTGATGTAGCTCTGAGAGGTGAGGCAGGGCTTGATGTAGCTCTGAGAGGTGAGGCAGGGCCTAGATCCCTCCCGCTTGGCATAGCCCTGCCCCTGTGACCTGAACACCCCACAGCAGCACCCTGGGGCTGAGCAGCTGGGGAGTCCCACCACTGGCAGCTACAGCCTCCTCCTCTGCTGGCCGAGGCAGTTTGTCCTGCTGGTTGTGTAGTTTCTTGAAACTAGGAGAAGTGAAACAACTTCAAGCTGTTAGATTTGGGAATTAGTTTAGTTTCTGGAAAGGATTTGTCCTAGCCTAGTCTGGTTGATCAGATTTTTTAGTGGCAAGGAAGAGACACTTAGTAATCACAGGGATGGAATGAGAGGTAAACATTTTGTGTCATTTATTATATAGGCACCCAATCTCCGTGTTCCTGGTGAAGTTCTTAAGAAGCTAGGAAAGTGTCTGTTTCTCCAGGACAGGTCAGCTGCTCCAGGTAACCTTTCCCAGCCCTGTGAGTTAATTCTAGAGCTGGATTGGATTGATTTTAGCATTCTTGTGCCAGGGTCAAATATCCTTCTTGGTCACAACTGGAGTCAGGAATCTCAGAGGAAGAGCCCCTTATCCCCAACCCGTATGTAGTTGAGTATTAGCCAAAGTAAATTGATTTTTCTTCATCCAAACCCCTGTGACATGTGTAACTGTTGGTTTTATGTTCCTTACAAAGTATACCTTGGAGAAATCACTGAAGAGTGGGATAGGGTGAGAGAATAGGTTGGGACCACCATGCTCAGAACTATCTTTGTATGTGATGGGATGCTTAATATCACTTCTTTGGTCCAGCAAGAACAGGTTTCTGCTTTACCTCTAATTCCAAATGCAGAAGTTTTTTTTGTTTTTTGTTTTGTTTTTTTTTTGTGGGGGAGCGGGTGGTGGTGGTGCAGGGAGTAGGTAGGGGAAGATTGGTGTTAGAAATGGGGGGAATTGCATGGAACCATCTTTATTATTCTTGATACCCACATGGACTTGCATACTTGGGTTAGTTATTTCTTGTGGCTGTGAAATGGAGTTTTCTCTCTGTGTAACTGACAAATATATAGGTATATCTGTGTACTAGAACCCAATTAAATGAGTTAACTGTAATTAAAGGTACTTAAAAATGTGTGTTTCTTAAACTTTATTTTGCCTGTATTTGGTGAATATTTTAAAAGAGTATTCAAGTAACTGGGATGAATGAGCATGCTTTTTCTCAATCTGGATGATAGTAAATTCATTATTGGTAGAAGATATTATCCTGCCTGTTATAGAACTTTCAGAATGTGAGTTAGGGTATGAAATACTGAATAACACTTGAAACCAGATATATCTGGTACTTAATTCTTTTGAACTGAATACTGCATTATTTTCAGGATAGCATGAAGATGTTGGCTTGGAACTTTTGAAGGGGCTGCGTTATAGACTCTGCATGGAGACAAACCATTAGTACTAACCACCTGGCTGTATTCTAAGGCTTAAAAGCAAAATCTTTATGTGTGATGTTTTGTATATTTGGCTTAAAAAATTCACCAGCTTTTAGAGGTTGTGAGATATGGGTCATTTTTGTTCAGATAAGAGAGGTCAATAAAGCATTTACTAACATGAAATGTTTTTCTTTTCTCCTTTCTCAGTATTAAAAGAAAGGTGAATGGACAAAAAGCCAATAAAGGGCTTAATTTTAAAAATGTAGCAACAAAAACTCACACTCTGGCTGTCATGGTACTTGAAGCTTCATATTTCAAAACTGTATTAACAGCTTTAGAAATAAACTTTACAGTAGCTGCATGGTGTCAACCAGTGCTTTTCTCCTTTGCTTTATCCTATTGTGTCAGCAGGGATGTTGCAGCAATTCTTTTTGATCTAAAAATTACTTTGTTCTGGAGCTGAAAAAGAAAAATGTTCTAATCTCCCACTAAAATTTTACCTGACAGTGAGGTCAGTCAAACAATGGAATAACTTGCTAAGGGAGTTCAGTGAGAATCTTTCACCAGAGATGTCCTGAAGTTGACTAGAATGAGCCAGTTGGAATCTGAAGATCAAGTTGGAAAAGTCCTCCAGGATGAGATACCCCCTCTGAACCAAATTTTTAAAAAGGAGTTAAAAAGTGTGTATTACAAGGTTTGAGAAAACAGTGCCTATTTATTCAGAACTTAGTTTCAGGTCTGTTTTGTACTTTACAAAACATCTTTCATGAAGGATATATTTGATAATGGAAAGTATTTTTTTTTTAAAGCTGTATAGTTCTGAATCACAAATGATTGTGCTATCGTGTATATTCTGAAAAGTTCGTGATTAAATCACCTACTGTTGTGTGCTAGCACCTCATAAAAAATACTCTTCAATGAGATCACATGGACACAGGAAGGGGAATATCACACTCTGGGGACTGTGGTGGGGTCGGGGGAGGGGGGAGGGATAGCATTGGGAGATATACCTAATGATAGATGACACGTTGGTGGGTGCAGCGCACCAGCATGGCACATGTATACATATGTAACTAACCTGCACAATGTGCACATGTACCCTAAAACTTAGAGTATAAAAAAAAAAAAAAATACTCTTCAAGGGAAGGCTGATTATGATAGTCTTTATTTTTATTTATTTATGTTTTTTGTTTTTTTGAGATGGAGTCTTGCTCTATTGCCCAGGCTGGAGTGCAGTGGTGCAATCTATACTTACTGCAGCCTCCACCTCCCGGGTTCAAGAGATTCTCCTGCCTCAGTCTCCCAAGTAGCTGGGACCACAGCTGCACGCCACGATGCCCAGCTAATTTTTTATTTAATCTTTTTGTATTTTTAGTAGAGATGGGGTTTCCGTATGTTGACCAGCCTGGTCTCGAACTCCTGGCCTCCAGTGATCTGCCCACCTTGGCCTCCCAAAGTGTTGGGATTACAGGCGTGAGCCACTGTGCCCAGCCTATGATAGTCTTTAAATTAAAGACCTAGTTGGGTGGCTGGCAAGACTGTCAGTCATTATTAATGCCAGAGATCTGGATTTGATGGTCTGTTCTGTCTTTCTGCTTAGGCCAGCAGGAGGTAGGATTGCTGCTGGAGGGGAAGCTGTTAGCTCTGGGGCAGGCTAAATCTTTAATCTCTCCACAGGTTCCTCTTTCACTAATTAGAAAAGAAAACAGCTGGGCTGCAGGAGCTTTGCTGTTTTCAGATCTCCTTAGCCAAAAAGTACGAGCTATATAGGGTTTTGAACATAACAATAGAGCACTAAAAATACGAATTTTTAGTCTTTGGGACCTTCATAGAGATTTTTGTTCCTTGCTCCTTAGGGTTTGAAAGAAAAGTTCAGTGTTGAGAGCTGGACTTCAGGGATAGGGGTAGGCAAGAGTAGAGTTGAATGCTGTTTGTATTTAGAATTTCAACAATTTTAGTTAAAAAAAAAAACATTCCTTTGGATGCTAGTATATGGTAAGAAGTACAACGAATTCAAAAACATTCCTGTATAATCACATGAAGACTATAGGTCAGTGGTGCAGAGCTCAGCATGTCGTCTGTGTCATGACAATTTTGTTCTTTTCACTTCTTAATAGCCAATTTAATTTTGCAGCAAAATGTGTCCAATGTTGAATTTTCCAGGTTCTCTAAAGTATGTCTCGTGCAAAGATAGCTCTGACATTAGGGTCCTTTTCAGTGGTCCAGTTGGGTGGCCATGTTGCTGGAGTGGGAGGGGAGTGGGATTTAACTTTAGGCCTTGTGTTAGCAAAAGTATTACTCTTTGTTTGTTTGCCATGTAGGCAGTCCAACCTCCCCTGAAATAGAAATGACTAGTAATGATTTGTTTCTTGTCAGTATGAGGTAGACCACACGAAGCCCCTCCCCGTAGGCTCTTCAGATTCTGTTTATTTTGGGGGCAGTAGTCAAATCAGAAGCATGATATAGCCGCCCCCCCAATTCTCTTCCTCCTTCCCTTTGCCCAAGGATAGGATACTTGTTAAGGTTAGGGCTCCCAGGCCTAGGGTCCCTTTGATGCTTGAAAGGATTGCATGGCAAGCTATGTTTTTCTGGATTAGTCCTAGGGTTTAGTCCCTGCTACACACACTGCTGCTATACTTCCCCCTTGGAGAAGGAAATGAATGTAATTCCCATATAATTGGGAAATGCCAACCTCACTGGTCTGTGCCCCTCCCAATCCCCACCACCCCCATTTGTTTGGTTTGGAGTGTTTGTGCCCCCCACCCTTCCACCCTTTTGGATATTAGAGATGTGGGCCATGGCCAGACTAGGTTAGCCCACTACCTGGTCTGGGCTGCATACAAAGATAATGAACAGGGAGTAGCTGGCCACTTCTTTTGGCATTTCTTTACAGAAATCCTCTTTGTTTCTATGTCTGTTCACTGTGGGACTTTGGAATTTCTTTGTGTTTATCCCATAAACATTTTCTCTTGCTCAGGACATTCCAGTGGTTGCTTAATGTTTCTCTAGTACCATCCAGTGTATGGCTATATTTAAAACATGTAGCCTGGGTGCATTGTCTCATGCCTATAATCCTAGCACTTTGAGAGGCCAAGGCAGAAGAATCATTTGAGGCCAGGAGTTCAAGACCAGCCTGGGCAACATAGTGAGACCCCTTCTCTACAAAAAAATTTAAAAACAATTAGCTCGGTATAGAGTTGTGCACCTGTAGTCCTAGCCACTTGGGAGGCTACATTGGGAAGATCCCTTGAGCCCAGGAGTTTGAGGTTGCAGTGAACTATGATCACGCCACTGCTCTACAGCCTGGGTGACAGAATGAGACTCTTTTTGTACAAAAACACAAACAAAACTAAAGCATCTTACAGTCCTAGTTAATAAAGTCAATAAAGTGAGTCACACATAGTACAAGCAGTGTACAAAGCACATCCAGAGAGTAAGTTTAGCATCCTAAGATAGTTTTATCTTACTGTACCAGCAATATTGTCACAGTAAAGAGAATTAACATTGGATGGCCCCCACCCCCTACCCTTCGCTGTTGAACGTATAGAAAGTACCCAGACTACAAATGAGTTTTGTTTGCAGATATTTTAAATAATGAAGACTGTAGAAATCTACCCCATATTTAAATGATGTATACCTTTTCTTTTCTTTCTTTCTTTTTTTTTTTTGAGACGGAGTCTCGCTCTGTTGCCCAGGCTGGAGTGCAGCGGCACAATCTTGGCTCACTGCAACCTCTGCCTCCTGGGTTCAAGCAATTCTCTGCCTCAGCCTCCTGAGTAGCTGGGATTACAGGTGCCCGCCACCATGCCTGGCTAATTTTTGTATTTTTAGTAGAGACAAGGTTTCACCATCTTGGTCAGGCTGGTCTTGAACTCCTGACCTCATGATCCACCTGTCTCGGCCTCCCAAAGTGCTGGGATTACAGGCGTGAGCCGCCGTGCCCGGCTTGATGGATACCTTTTCATTATCTATTTCCCTTTCTCCCGTCCACCTAACTAGTTCATAATGTATGTTCAGGAGATTCGCCAGGCCTGGGAACCTTTAGCCAGAGTTTCTGAAGGTTATAGTCATCCTTGGTGGAGAAAACTTGGATGACCAAGAGCTTTACAAGGGCCCTAGAGCTCCTGGGTAGGGAAAGATGTCTAGAGTTCTGATGTATGTGTAGCTCTTATAATAGAGATTGATTTTTAACTTGATCACATGGAAGTGGGAGATTAGAATGGTTTTGATATTGTTTGAGTCTAATCAGGGCTTTACAAGTGATTGAAAATGAAATATACCTTGATTCAGGAAAGTGAGAATTGAGAATTACGTCAGGTGGCTGGATGCGGTGGCTCACGCCTGTAATCCCAGCACTTTGGGCGGCTGAGGTGGGTGGATCACCTGAGGTCGAGAGTTTGAGACCAGCCTGGCCAACACAGAGAAACCTTATCTTTACTAAAAAATACAAAATTAGCCAGGCGTGGTGGCGCATGCCTGTAATCCCAGCTACTTGGGAGGCTGAGGCAGGAGAACCACTTGAACCTGGGAGGCGGAGATTGCGGTGAGCCAAGATCGCGCCATTGCACTCCAGCCTGGGCAAAAAGAGCGAAACTCTAGCTCAAAAAAAAAAAAAAAAAAAAAAAAAGAATTACATCAGGTAAGTTTGCATGTCTTTTGAGAGATTGTTAGGCTGTAATTCCAGTGTGGCTTCAAGCTCCAGACCAAAATACCAATGAAATACTCTAGACCAAAAGGCCAAATGAAAATCATTTGTCATTTATCTGCTACTCTAAATATCAAGTGGCAGGGCAAGATTACCAACAAGTACATTAGATTGTAGGGTCATTCCAGGTATGCAGTGATGTCACTCAGAACGCTTTTCTGAGAGATGTGAATGAAGAAGAAAAATTATCAGTGGATTCCTCAAGTTGCTGTTGCATAGAGAACATTTATCATACTTCAGTCACTCTAGCCCTTGCCAGATAGGACTAGTTTCCAAATCCACATGTGAATTTTGGGTTGGAATTTTGAATTCATCTATATTTTCCCTCCACCTTCAAATTCCATTTCTGATGGAAATGAGATGAGTAAATCTAACAAGGCTCTTGTAACAGACATCCACATGATTGTTTTCAGAAATCTAGTTTTCGAGCCTCTTTCTTCCAACAGTACCATCATTGCTCAGAATGTCTTGGGGGCCTCTTGAATCTGTACTCAGGTACTGAAGAGCATCTCTGGTGGCCAATCATCTTTTGGAGCTTGTATTTGTCTTTGGGTGGGAGAAATGATTAACATGTTTTTTAGAGACAAGATTGGGAAAAAAGGGGTGGGTAATTGTCAAGTTGAAGGATACTAAAGGTCTCTATTGAGGTGACTATAAAGAGCAATGAAAAGAATATTTCCAGAGATTTGGAGTCACAAGACTTGTGTGACCTTGGTTTCCTCATCCCTAGGAATACATTTATATGGTTTATAAATGAAGATCTGGGCTAGACGCGGTGGCTCACGTCTGTAATCCCAGCACTCTGGGGGGCTGTGGAGGGCAGATTAACTGAGGTCAGGAGTTAGAGACCAGCCTGGCCAACATGGTGAAACCCCGTTTCTTCTAAAAATACAAAAATTAGCCAGGTGTGGTGGCATACGCCTGTAATCCCAGCTACTTGAGAGACTGAGGCAGGAGAATTGCTTGAGCCTGGGAGGCGGAGGTTGCAGTGAGCTGAGATCGTGCCACTGCACTCTAGCCTGGCTGACAGAGCAAGACTCTGTCTCAAAATAAATAAATAAAAATAGATGTAGAGCTGAAGACAGTTCTGAAGAATTTCAACCTTATTTGAGTAATGGTGTTGATGTCCAAAATTATTTCCTTGAGATTACTCCTTTAAAAGACAGCACTTAATTGGGCATAGAATTTGTTTGCTTGGGGAGAGGGGCAGAAAAAGTCAGTATACTTTGCCAACTCCTAGGCTCAAGTGATCCTCCTGCCTCAGCCTCCCAAAGTGCTGGGATTACACGTGTGAGCCCAGCCAGAAGTCAGTATACTTCTGAGCGGAAGCAACTGAACAACTATTTTAAGTTCGAACAGGCCAGGTGCGGTGGCTTATGCCAGTAATCCCAGCACTTTGGGAAGCTGAGGTGGGTGGATCACTTGAGGTCAGGAGTTCGAGACCAGCCTGGCCAAAATGGTGAAACCCCATCTCTATTAAAAATACAAAAACCAGCCGGGCGTGGAGGCAGGTGCCTGTAGTCCCAGCTATTCAGGAGGCTGTGGCAGGAGAATTGCTTGAACCCAGGAGGTGGAGGTTGCAGTGAGCTGAGATTGCGCCACTGCACTCCAGCCTAGGCTACAGAGCGAGACTCTGTCTCAAAAAAAAAAAAAAAAAAAAAAAAAAAAAAAAAAAAAAAAAAAAGTTCAAAGAATATGCTGTTACTCAACCTTGATTACTACAACCAACCTTAATGACAAAGAAACCAATGGTAGGTTTAAATTCAGTAATGTGATCTTAGGTAAATCACTTGTGCATCTCTGGGCCTCAGTTTTCTGTCTGTACAATTAGGAATTTAGATTTGATTTGTTAGAACACAAGCCTTGTTGGTTTGAAAGGCTGAATCCTAAAATAGTACAAGTTGTTTGGGTCAGAAGTAGTGGTTTCTAATCACAGGAGATTTTCTGCAGTCATATCATGGAAAGGACCCTTGATTCCACATTGGTCTCTTCAGCACTGTTGCTCAGTAAAGCTATTAAGAAGGTGGTACTGAGGTACATGTGCATGAGTATCCATGCATATGCTACAAGTGAGAATTCCATGTTTTGGATTTTATAATTAAGAAGCTATTAGTTGTCTGGACGTGGTGGTTCACGCCTGTAATCCTGATACTTTGGGAGGCCAAGGTGGGCGCATCACTTGAGGCCAGGGGTTCAAGACCAGGTTGGCCAACATGGCAAAACCCAGTCTCTACTAAAAAAACAAAAAACCCCAAAATTAGCCAGGTGTGGTGGCACATGCCTGTAATTCCAGCTACTCAGGAGGCTTAGGCACATGAATTGCTTGACCTTGGGAGGCAGAGGCTGCAGTGAGCTGACATCACATACACTTCACCCCAGCCTGGGTGACAGAGTGAGACCCTGTCTCAAAAAAAGAACCAAAAACTGTTAGTTGTATATCATTGTATATCATACTCCTATTCCTTAATCTGGTAATGTATTATCAATCTGAAAATTATCAAGCATAAAGAATGTTTTAATGAAGTAAGAAGTGTTGTGATATAATGAATAAAAGCCCGTTTGGCTTTCCTTTTAAATGTCATTCTAAGTATGAATTTTGCTCTTGGATTTGAAAGCAGTGAAATTACAGAGAAATGGAAGTAATTCTCTTGTAAAAACACATCAGAGTTACTTCTCAGTTTAAAAGAAATGCATTTATTGTTCTTGGCATATGTAAGAATTTGTATTAAATATGTAATAATCTTGACTTTCTTTTTAAAAATCAAAATCATGAGTACTTTGTACCAACTAAAGCATTTGTTTTATATCAAAATTATTAAAAGAAATATATTTTAAACAAGTTAGGTAACCTTAATGTATATTATGAGGAAAGTCATAATCAAATCAGAACTTACTATGTTGGAAATTAACTTGTGATAAAAAGAAAAAAATCCACCCTAAATTGTATTCCCTGATGGGAAGAATCTTATCTAGGCTAAGGCTGATAAAAGTATGAAATTGTATTTAAGTTTTGCTTCTATTTAGATTGGGGAACTTTGGTTTGGTGCTAGATGCAACTGTCGTAAATATACCATGTATGCATCTTCTCTGTTAAATGATTATTTTATGTAGTGTTAGGCATTTAGCCAACAAGAGTTAATCTAATTAAGCTGTGAAGATGTTTGTTAACTACCATATATGTAATTTCTGGCCAAGTTCTCTTAGCCATTGATTGTAGAAGGAGGAATATGGTTTATTCTTTGAGATATTAATGTATAGCCTTTTGGAAAACAAGTGGCCTTGGCAAACACATTTACAAAGTCATGCTATCTCAAGTGCAGTTGGGCTTTTCATTGTGTTGAGATTTTTGACTTGTATGTTCTCATCTATCCGTCATTCTTGACTATACTAAGAAGGCATTCATAGACTCTTCTTCCTGAGCATTTTCCTAATTTACTAAGTAGAAAAAACAAAACAAAACTGTAAGGTGGAACTGGAAGTTAAGGATTTTTTTTCTTAATTGTGTTACATCTTTCTGGTAAGTACCTACGTCTACAGCTATAAATTTTTTTATGTGTATGTTTCAGCTTCCATATATTAGAGTATGGTTAAAATTTTTGCAGGTTTGATTAGAAAAATAAATTTTAATGTATGAGTAAAAAGTTTCTCATTGTGCATCGTTTGAATGTCATTAAAACCAGACTTGCAAGTTTGAATGTCACATAGCTCAGTCTCTGATACTGTAATAGATCAGCTTGACTTAGCTCTGAAGTAGTTTAATGAAGTCAGATAATTTTCTAAAGAGAATTAACATCTGAAATGTAGTTGCATAATTATGGCATTATCAATAGGAATACATAATGGTTCAATCATTTATGCTTTATTCTTTTAGAGCTTAATTTTTTCACTTAATTTGGATTGTATGTGCAATCCAAATTATGTGAAATTATATATGCATTGGCTTGTATATCCCTTTTCTTTTTTTCCACGGTGCTCTGGAATCCTTGGAAATATGATTAGACAGGAGACCGAAATCCCATTTTCCAGATCACATTAGTTTATATTTTTGTTTAATTTCCCTGGATATGTTTTACTATTTGCGGAAAGGTTACCCTTAAAATGGGTGAGGATATAAGAAGACTTGTATAGATCTCTTTCTCTTTGATGTTGCTGAGACCTTGGACTTTTTGGCTGCAAGAGACTTAATACCCAACTGAAAGTGGCCTAAAAAATGCTATTTCTACTATATGGTAATTGACCTTTTTAAACAAAATTCAATTAAGTGCAAACTTATATTTTGTAAATACAATAAAAATGCTGCAGCAGTATAAAATTACTATGAAGTTTCTAAATGTTTGCTCTCTGTTCCTGTATTTATCCCACTGTGGATTGGAAGCAAACCTTTTTTGCAGACTAGCAGTAGCACATGGACCATCTTTTGAGTAACACAAGCATAAACTACACAATTATTATTTCACTTAACAAGAAGTCTGGATTTGGTGGTTCCAGGTTGGGTTCAGCAGCTCTGCAATTTGCTTGTCTTTCTCCATTACGTAGTTAAAAAATGACTACAGCACCTCTGAGCATGCCCTCCTCAAATGAGGACATCCAAAGCTAGAGGAAGACGGAGGAAAAAAAGGAAGCTTTCCTTCGTCTCTATTTTCTATATTAATGGGGAATAAAACTTTCCCCAGTGATTCATCTGCCACTTTGCCAACTTCCGACTCCCAGAAAACTTCCCTTTACATGTTATTTGCCAGATCTGGGTCACATAGCCACATCATCAATTGTGTGCCAAAAGGAATAATGGATTGCTATACTGGCTTAGACCAATTTTGATTTCTCCCCTGGCACTGTGTCTAGGGCCACCAGAAGTAAATGGGGATTTTATTAGTGAGAAGGATGGAGTAATAGCTAGGTATGTTACCAAGTATTAACTGCCACACTGACAAGAGAGGTCAGAGTGTCTTAGACATTGAATTTAATAACTTGTTTCTTTGTGTTATAGTTAAGAAAGGCATACAAAGTTGATAAGAAAATGGTAAATGCATTAGCCTGTGAGACCCAGTGTGCTTGATACTGAACTATGACTCCTCTTGGTGAGTCCTGGAATGTGCCATGGGGCATTGCTGTACTTGGCTGCTAGCTGGAATATCTGATTTGAACCATAGTTTAATAACTGGCCAGGTAGTTTGAAACAATAGAACATTATTATTGTTATTGATAGAATCTTTATTGTGTAATGTATATTATTAGGACTTTCAAATGTGTTTCATTTTTAGAAGCTACATAATACATATTTTAAGCAGCGATTTATTTCTGATTATTTTTGCAGTATGTTAGAAAAGTAAAATAATTTGACATGTTAAGACGTGTTCCATCCATCTTCAGGGTACTTCTCATGACATTTCATTTGAGCAACTAGGCTTTGTATTTTGTTACTGCTTGCATTTAGCACTCAATTCTTACTTTTAGATAATAAGAAAAAACAGGTATTTTAAAAAAGGACATGTAGCTGCTAATAATAGCATGAGTCCTATGGTTCCTTCTCTGTTCATATCCTAGCTGACAACACATACAAGCATTGCTTTGCTGGAATATTCTGAAATTAACAATTTTGAATAAGTTTATACATGTATGTTTATAAATCCTTTCCCAGTTAACATTTTTTAATTTTGTGTTTTTAAGTAAATAGCACTTCAGTTTGAGTCCCTATAGGTTGACTATTATCAAATTTGAGATGCTTACATGAGTGATCCCCGATTGCTGATATTTGGACATTTGGGTCTCAATAGAGAGATTGCAGGTTGAATGGAAAGACCATGAACCTGAGAGCCAGAAGCCCTCAGCTCTCTTGTTCTGACACTGTTACTATCTGAATGGCTGCGAAGAAGCCCTTTATTTCTTTGAGATGTGGTTGCCTTTTCTGTAACATGTGATCTGTATTGTTCTACCTCATTGGGTTGTGTAGATAGAGTTAATACTCTAAACAATTTCACAAATATATAGTGGATATTATTATTAATAGTAAGTTTTATGGAGTAAACATATTAAAAGGTACTCAAAGTGTCGGAAGTATGGCCAGACTAACACTATCACATTAGTTATAATTGTTGCTAATTCACAAAACCAGATTGCTTTATCAGTTTATTTCAAGATAAGCACACAGTTCTGGTATTGTAGAGTTCTTGATAATCTGAGATTTGAATATCAACATATAGAACAGCAGTAGTTATTCTAAATTCAATTTTTATTTTGAAACAATTTAAACTATCTTGACAATTCATCCTAGTTTTCAGTATGTTAAAAGTGACTCTAGCCAAATGGCAGAGCAGGCAGCTCCAAACACACTAATCTCTTTACAGAAACATCGGAAGATGAGCAGAAACTGTCAGAAACAACTTTATCGAAACTCTCAAAATAGTCAAAGCGTTATAGTAACTAAATGTTTTCATCACCACACACACACAACAACCCTGTATGTTTTAGCTATCACTTCTCTATCCCCCAAACCCGGAGTCCTCATATCCACTTGCTGTCTAAAATTTCCTTCTTTGGGACATTTCATATAAATGGAATCATACAATACGTGGTCTTTTGTGACTGGCTTCTTTAACTTAGTATAATGTTTTCTAAGTTCATCTGTGTTGTAGCCTGCATCATATCAGTGCTGCTCTCCCTTTGATGACTGAGCATAATTCCATTATATGGTTGTTACCATTTTTTGTTTAGTCATTCATTAGTTGATGGGCATTTTGGTTGTTTCAACGTAGAGCACCAAAATACATGAAGCAAAACTGACAGAAATGGATAATTTGACAAATAGTTGGAGATTTCAGTCCCCCCCCCCGCCTTTAAAATACAAAAATTAGCCGGGTGTGGCAGTGCATGCCATGCCTGTAATCCTAGCTACTTGGGAGGCTGAGGCAGGAGAATCACTTGAACCTGGGAGATGGAGGTTGCAGTGAGCCGAGATCACACCACTGCTGCACTCCAGCCTGGGCTAAATAAATAAATAATAAATAAATAAATAAATCATAGAACAACTAGACAGAAGATAAACAAGGAAATAGAAGACTTGCATAACACTGTTTAAGCAGCTAGAGCTAATACATTTATAGCACATTTCACTTAACAACAAAGTATACATTATTCTTTTTTGTTGTTGTTGAGACTGAGTCTCGCTCTGTCGCTTAGGCTGGAGTGCAGTGGTGGATCTCGGCTCACTGCAACCTCTGGCCTCCCAGATTCAAGCGATTCTCCTATCTCAGCCTCCCGAGTAGTTGGGATTACAGGTGCATGCTGCCATACCCTGCTAATTTTTTGTATTTTAGTAGAGATGGGGTTTCACTGTGTTGCCCAGGTTAGTCTCGAACCCCTGAACTCAGGCAATCCACTCGCCTCGCCCTCCCAAAGTGCTGAGATTACAGGCGTGAGCCATAGTGCCCGGCCAAAGTATACATTATTCTTAAGGGCACATGGGACAGTCTCCAGTATAGACAACGTAGTAGGCCATAACATAAACCTCAATAAATTTAAAAGGATGGAAATAATACAAATCATTTTCTCTGACCATATGGGATGAAATTAGAAATCAATAGCAGAAAGAAATTTGGAAACTCTAATACGTGGAAATTACAGCATACTCTTAAACAATTAGCTGGTCAAAGAAATCAGAAAATACTTTCAGATGAATTCAAATGAAGACATAGCATGTGAAAATGTATAGGATGAGCAGGGTGTGGTAGCACGTGCCTGTAGTCCCAGCTACTTGGGAAACTGAGGTGGAAGGATCCCTTGAGCCCAGGAATTTGAGGCCAGCCTGGGGAAGCAACATAGTGAGATGCTCTTAAACATTTTTTAAAAAATGTATTGGATGGAGCTTAAGTAGTGCTTACAGAGAAATTTACAGCTGTCAATGCCTATGTTAAGAGGGAAGAAAGATCTCAAATCAATACCCTGTCCTTCTACCTTCACTAGAAAAAGAAGAGCAAGTGAAATCTGAAGCAAACAGAAAGAAGAACAAAAATAAAGATTAGAGCAGAAATTAATAGAGAATAGAAAAATAACAGTAAATCAATGAAATCAAAAGCTGGTTCTTAGGAAAGAGCAACAAAATTGACAAACATTTATATAGATTGAACAAGATACAAAGCGAGACTCAATTAGCAGAATTAAAAATGAAAGAGGAGACACTACTGTTGACCTTACAGAAATACAAAGGATTATAAAAGAATACTGTGAACAAATTGTACACCAGCAGATTATATAACTTAGAGGAAATGCATCAGTTCTTAGACTCTGAACTTCTGAAACAGACTCAGAAAGTAGAAGAAAATTAGAATAGGCCTGTAACAAGTGCAGAGATTGATTCAGTAATTAAAAAGCTACCTCTTAAGAAAAACTTAGCTCTAGATGGAATTCTGAGGGATTCTACCAAACATTTAAAGAATTAATACCAGTTCTACACACACACACACGCATGCACACACACACGTTTAGGAGGAAGCACTTCCCAACTCATGAGGCCATTAATACCCAAATACCAAGACCAAAAGTAAAGTATCATAATCACATTCCAATATCTCTTATGAATATGTATGCCAAAATCCTTAACAAAATGCTAGTAAACCAAATCAGAGATGCATAAAAAGAATTGTATCCCATGACTAAGTGAGATAATCTCAGGAGTATAAGGTTGGTTTAACATCTGAAAATCAATTAATGTAATACATCAACAGAATGAAAAACAAATTATATCATCATCTCAATAGAGGCAGAAAAAGCATTTTATGAAACAACACTTTTGATAAAAACATTCAACAAACTATGAATCGAGTGGAACTTCCTCAATCTGATAAAAGGCTTCTAGCTATTACTTTTTAACTGTGTTATTTTAGTGGTTACTTTTATCTTTAACGTATGACAGTCTGCCTTCAAGTGATACTATACAATTTCAGGATCTTCTGTTTTTGTTTGTTTGTTTGTTTTTTTGAAGGTGGAGTCTTGCTCTGTTGCCCAGGCTGGAGTGCAGTGGCACAATCTCGGCTCACTGCAACCTCTGCCTCCCAGGTGCTAGCGATTCTCCTGCCTCAGCCTCCTGAGTAGCTGGGATTACAGGCGCATGCCACAATGCCCAGCTGATTTTTGTATTTTTAGTAGAGACGTGGTTTTACCATGTTGGCCAGGCTGGTCTCGAACTCCTGAACTCAGGTGATCCACCTGCCTTGGCTTCCCAAAGTGCTGGGATTACAGGGGTGAGCCACCGCGCCCGGCCCAGGACCTTTGTTTCTATCTCTTCAACTTTGTGTTATTGTTGTCATGCACTTTCACTTCTCCATATGTTATAAAACCCGTACTACACTGTTACTAATTTTGCTTTACACATTTGTCTTAGGCTGGGTGCCGTGGCTGACACCTGTAATCCCAGCACTTTGGGAGGCCGAGGTGAGTGGATCCCTTGAGTCCAGGAGTTCAAGAGCAGCCTGGGCAACATGGTGAAACCTCATTTCTACAAAAATACAGAAAATTAGCTGGGCGTGGTGGCTGGTGCCTGTAGTTCCAGCTACTCAGGAGGCTGAAGTGGGAGGACTGCTTGAGCCCAGGAGGTGGAGGTTGCAGTGAGCTGAGATAGTACCACTGCATTCCAGCCTGGGCAACAGACTGTGCCTCAGAAAAATAAAGCAGTTGTCTTTTAAGGAGATACGAATAATTAGAAAAGTCTGTTTACTTGTGCTCATTTCTTTGTGTAGGTTCATATTTTCATTTGGTATAATTCTCCTGCTCCTTGAAATCCTTCCTTTCCTTTCCCTTTTTTTTTTTAAGTCTGTTGCCCAGGTTGGAGTGCAGCCGTGTGATCATAGCTTATTGTAAACCTGGAACTCCTGGTCTCCAGTGATCTTCCCACCTCAACCTCCAGAGTAGCTAGGACTTAACCGGTGTGTGCCTTACTAATTTTTTTATGTTTAAATTTTTTGTAGAGACAGAATCTCTCTATGTTGTCCAGGCTGGTCTCAAACTCCTGGCCTTAAGCAGTCCTCCTGGCTTAGCCTCCCAAAATGCTGGGATTATAGGCAGGAGCCACCACACCCGGCTTTAATATTTCTTGTGGTGCAGATCTGCTCGTGAGGAATTCCTTTAGCTTTTATGTTTGGAAATGTCTTTGTTTCTTCGTTTTTGAAATATATTTTTGCTGAGTATAGAATTCTAAGTTGATAGATTTTTCTGTCAGTATCCTAAAGATGTTGCTCTACTGTCTTTTAGCATGCAACATCTCTAATGAGAAATCTGTCACTGTCCTTATCTTCTTTCGTTTATATATAATGTGATTTTCCTGGCTGCTTTTAATAATTTGTCTTTATCACTGGTTTTAATTAAGCAGCTTTATTATGTGATGTGCGTTGGTGTAGTTTTCTTTGTATTTTTTGTGTTTAGTTTTGTAGAGATTTTTGGATCAAAGGGCTTATTATGTTTCCAATCAGTTTTTAAACATTTCTGCCATTATTTCTTCAAAAAATTTTTTGCCTCCCTTCTACCTCTTCATAGACTTCAGTTATACATATATTAAGCCTTTTAAAGTTTCCTCACTCATAGATCCTTTTTATTTTCTTCATTTTTTACTGTTTTGTTTTATTGTGACTATTTACTGCTAGGTCTTCAGGTTCCTTTTTTCTTCATTGCTTAATCTGCTCTTAATTTCATCCAGTGTTTTTATCATCTCAATATAGTTTACATCTGTAAGAGTTCTATTACGTTCTTTTTCTCTTTTTTTCTTTGAGACGGAGTTTCGCTCTTGTTGCCCAGGCTGGAGTGCAGTGACGTGATCTCCGCTCACTGCAACTTCGGCCTTCTGGGTTCAAGTGATTCTCCTGCCTCAGAGGTTCTTTTTTTTTTTTTTTTTTTTTTTATCTTATATGTCTAGACTTAACTTTTTGAATTTTCTTTTTTTTTTTTGATTTAGTACAAAAAACATGAACATACGGAATACAGTTATATTTATTGGTTTAATGTCTTTGGTTACTATTCTATCATCTGTTTCAATTCTGGATCACTTTTGATTGAGTTGATTTTTCTTGTCACTGTGGGTCATATTTTCCTGCTTCTTTGCATGCTAGTTAAAAGTTTAAATTGTATACCAGAGATTGTGAACTTTACCTTGTTTTCATAGATATTTTTGTATTCTTGTAAATATTCCTGACTTTATTTTGGCATGCTGTTAAGTTTCTTGGGCAGAGTTCAGTCATTTCTTGTCTTTCTAAGTTTTGTTAGGCTGTGGTGTACCAAATCAACATTTAATCTAGGGTTCATTTACTCCACTACTGAGGCAAAACCCTTTTGAGCACTCTACCCTGTGTCCTATGAATTGTGAGGTTTTCCATTCTTACTGATGGGAACACGCACTATTCTAGGCCCTGTGTAAGCTATGGCATTTGTTCCCTCTAGTTATTTTCAGAAGTCTTTGTCCTTCCTTACATTGAGTAGATTTACAGATGTCATCATAATGGTTATGGTTATACTGATTTTGTTTCTTATTTGAAACAGAAAGCTCAGCTTTTCACTGTTAGGTTTGATGTTCCATTTTGGCTTTATTTAAACCTTTTTTCTTTTTCTTTTACAGTATCCTTTTTTTCTGAAAGAAAGTTTCCTTCTGTTGCCTTTGATTTTTTTTGTTTTACAAAAAACCGTGGATGAATATTAATTTTTATCCAGTTATTTTTCTCTGTCCATTGGATGCTCAAGTTTTTTTCTCCTTTATTTTGTTAATGTGGCCTATTACATAAATGTTTGAGTATTAAATCAGCCTTGGACTCCCATGAAAAAACCCAACTTTATTGTACCATGGTATTTTATTGCCCATTTTGGTTTGCTAAATTTTGTTTACATTCTTTGTATCTGTGTTCATGAATGAGGCTGGTGTCTTAATTTTTTTCCTCTTTCTTTTCTTTCTTTCTTTCTTTCTTTCTTTCTTTCTTTCTTTCTTTCTTTCTTTCTTTCTCTCTTTCTCTCTCTTTCTCTTTTTCTTTCTCTCTCTCTTTCTTTCTTTTCTTTCTTTCTTGCCTTCCTGCCTTCCTGCCTGCCTGCCTTCTGTTTTGTGTGTGTGTGTGTCTGTGTGTGTGTGTGTGTTTTAAATACCTATAATGCCCTTATTGAGTTTTGGCATCAAGGTTATGCTGGTCTCATCAGGTGAGTGGATGAGTGCTCCTTCTCTTGCCCTGCTGTGTTTAAGATGGATTTATTTCTTAACTCTTTGTAGAAATTGCCAGTAAAGCCAACCGAGACTGAGATTTTCTTCATTTCTAATGAAGTTCTAAATTTTGGATTTATTTTCTTCTTCACTGTAGGATTGGTTAGATTTTGTTTATTCTTTTTGGTTTTGGTAAGTTTTTTTTCCCTAGAAGTTTAAAATTTATAATTTATTAACATGATATTGTTGATAATATCCTCTTTTTAAATTTAGATATGACTTACATATAATAACAAGTATGATGTTAAATTTACAACGTAATGAATTTTCATACATGTATATTTCTATCTATATATGTCTATATTTGTGTAATCAACAGCTAGAGCAAGGTAAAGAATATTTCCTTCATACCTGTAGGCTCCTTCTTGCCCTCTTCTACTTAAAGCCTTGTCTGTACGTAACTATTATTTTGATCTCTATCACTGTAGTTTTAGTTTTATCTGTTTTAAACATCATGTAACTAGAATCATAGGCACTTCTTCATGTCTGGTGTGTTTTGCTCAACATTATGTCTGTAAGGTTCATCTTTGTTGTTGCTTATGGTAGTAATTCTCATCCCATTGTGTGAATACAGAACAGTTTATGGATTTATTCACTTGTGGGTAGACATTGGCTTATCTTCCGTCTTTGTTAGGTGTAATGCTGCTGTGAATGTTGCTTTATATGTCTCTTGGAAGAAATTCAGCTTCGTATTTCAAGAGTATATAGATGAGAGGGAATCGGTGAGTCATAGGTTATCAATGCTAAGCTTTTGCGGTAGTGGCTATACCAGTTTACTCTCCCAGCATCAGCGGATTAGTATTTCAGTGTTCCACACCTTTGCCAGAATTTGGATATTTTCAGTCTTCTAGCCTCTGGTGGAGTTATATTGGTGTGGCATTTTAATTTTAATTTGCATTGTCTGATGTCTACTGATGTTGAACTGTTTTCCATTTTTTTATTGACCGCATAGATGTCTGCATTTTTGAAGTGCCTGTTCAAGTCTTTTGTCCAATTTAAATTGGGAATCAACAGTCAGCAAGTAGTCAGAAAAGAATAGCAAAAACACACAAAATAAATAAATTGGGAGTCAGTCTTCTTATTGATTTATAGTTCTTTTTATAGTTTACGCACATACCCACACACACACCCCATGTATGTGTATTGCAGCTATCTTCTCCCAATCTGTGGTTGACTTTTTTATTCCCTTAGTGTTATCTTTTGATGAACAGAAGTTCTCAATTTTAATGCAGTGTTATCTATCATTGTTTTATGTGGTCAGGACTCTTTGTGTTTTAAGATATCTTTTCCTATTACAGAGTTAAAAAAGACATTCGAGTTCATTCTTCTAGTTTTATTGTTTTATATTTCGCATTTGGGTCTACTGTACACATTTACATGTGATGTAAAGTAATGGTGAAAGTTCATTTTTTTTTCACACTGATATCAAGTTGACCCAGCTCCGTTTATTGAAAAGACCATTTTCCCTAGTGCTTGCTGTGGTAGTGTTAAGCCACATGCAGGTCTGTTTCTGGACTTTTAATTCTGTTCCATTGGTCTGTTTGTCTGTTTCTACATCAGTGACATGCTGTCTCTATTGCTGTAGCTTTCAGATAGGTTTTCATATCTGGTAGTGTAAGTCCTTCAGGTTTTTTATTATTCTTCATGATTGTCTTAGCTATTCCACAGCCTTTGAATTTTCATATAAATTTTAGAGTCAGACTGTCAATTTCAGTTAAAAAGAAATGCTGTGGTTTTGATTGAAATTCTATTGAATCTAAGCATAGTATATATATTTCCATTTATGTAAGTCTTTAATTTCCCTCAGAAGTGTTTTATAATTTTCAGTGTAGCAACCCTGTACATCTTTTAGATTTATTTCTTGGTATTTGATATCTTTTGATATAAGTACTATGATTTAAATTTCACTTTTTAACTTGTTTATTGTTTTAAATGAGGAAATAAAATTAATTTTTGTATGTTGACCTTATTCAGTGACCTTGCTAAATTCATTAGTTAATTCTAATATTTTACAGATTTCTTTCCATGATACCCAGTCATGTTATGTATGAATAATGACAGGTTTACATATTCATTTCTTATTTATTTATTTTGAGACGGAGTCTCACTCTGTTGCCCAGGCTGGAGTTTAGTGGCGCGATCTCGGCTCGCTGCAAGCTCTGCCTCCCGGGTTCACGCCATTCTCCTACCTCAGCCTCGCAAGTAGCCGGTACTACAGGCGCCCGCCACCACGCCTGGCTAATTTTGTTTTTGTATTTTTAGTAGAGACGGGGTTTCACCGTGTTAGTCAGTGTGGTCTCGATCTCCTGACCTCGTGATCCACCCGCCTCGGCCTCCCAAAGTGCTGGGATTTACAGGCATGAGCCACCACACCTGGCCATTCGTTTCTGATTTTTAAGATTCCTTTTTCTTTTGATGATGTTGGCACCACTAATCTTTTTGATTCTTATTTGACTTTCCTTGCTTAATTCCACTTGCTAGAATCTCTACTATAATGTTGAGTAGTTGTGGTGATAGTGTACCTTCTTACTTTTTTCCTGCATCGGGGAAAAGCGTGCAATATTTCACCATTTAATGTGATATTAACCTATTATTGTTAGCCTTTAACAATAGTGGCTGAGTAGCCACTATTATTGTTAAAATGTGCCCAGCCTGTTCATTTTTGTGTTGTGACTTTTTCTGAGGTTTCATGAATGCTTTAATGATCCGAAGTTATTGTTCATTTGTCCAATTTAGATGTATATTTGTATTTAAATTGTAGATGTAAACTAATACTTGAAATAAGCACTGTTTAAATAGGATTGATCTAATTTTAGCCCTTATGTTTTAGACGTTAGAGATGCCCGTTATTATCTTTGCATATTTCAAATAAAATTTCTTTACAATTCTTTAATTGCCCTGTTTTGAAGAAATAATACAACTAATGCACATGGTAAAAATTTAAACAGTTCAAAATGGTTTACAGTGAAAAGTAAATATTTTTACTTCCGTTCACAGTTCCATTACCCCGAGGGCAACCTATGTAACCATGGTGTTTTTTGATGGGGAGTATCCTTCTACTTTGTACTGTGCTTAACCATTATACATTTAAACAGTATATGTTTGGGCATGTACTATACATACTATTCAGCTTCTTATGATGTGTTTTATTGATTGTTTTATAACAGTGTATGTAGAATTACGTCATTCTTTTGGGTAAGATTGTTTTATATCAGTATATGTAGAATTATTCTTTTGGGTAGTGTCATATTATACTCAATAGATTCAGCATACTTTAGTCTCTTTTTATGGACATTTAGGTTATTACCAATCTTGTTTTAACTGTTTAACTGTGATTTAGTTATGTAACTATTTTAAACAATACTGCAGAAACCCTTGCAATACAAGTTTTTCTGCGTATGTGTGGGAATTTCTTCCCATATTATCTTAATGTTTTTATTTATAACTTCTTTTATACTGTGTTCTGAGAACATTACATAGCAAAGTACTCTTTCAGTACTCTTGAGAATTAGAAATTACTATTCAAAATTTTACTCTCTTGGAATAGGCTTGCAGAAGACATCTCTTTTTCAAGAGGAGAAACTCATCTTACAAATGGTGTTTGAGCAAACTTCCTTTTGTGTAGAAATTCAGTGTAAAATTTTAATATCAAATAATGGGCAATATTGAGTTGTTGCAATTTTCATTACTTTTAAACTGATTTAGTTTTCTAAGTAGAGTGCACTAGTTCTGTAGATTTTTTTCCCCTCTTTTTGGAAAAGCACTAGTATTTTGTAAAGAATACATTACTTGCTTGTTGTTAGTATTTGTAGTAACAAGGTTATTAACTCATTCAACAAATACTTGTCACAGGTCTGTTATGTTCCAGGTAGCGGAAATTCCATGCTATGGAAATATATCAGTAAAGAGTTCGTCATGGAGCTTTTATGGAGTTGCAGAATCGGGTGGGGCAAGAATAAAATAATTGATTTAATTGTAAATAATAAAAATATGTTGGCAGGCTAATTGGTGATCAATACTAGGAGAAAAATAAAGCATGCAGGCAGAATATGGAGTGCCGAGATTCAGAGTTTAAAATAGGATATACCTTAGGGAAGGACCTACAAGAAACTGGTGGTTGCTTTTAATAGAGGGGAACTGAGTGTGTGAAAGACAGGAGTGGGAATGAGACATACGTTTCACTAGTACTTTTTTTGTGCCTACTGAATTTTTTTTTAACATGCAGTATGTTTATTGGAATAAATTCAATTTTATTGAAAGATAGGCTACTGTGGTGTTAGAGGTGAGGGAGCAAGGGAGCAAGCCGTCCAATTTTTGGCAATTCATTCTGGTGCTTTCACTGTGGCCAGGCCTTCTTACTCAGAAATGAGTAGTAAGTGGTTCTATAATCGTATATTCCTACCGATAGCATATTAAGGAAGGAAAAGGGCATCCTGAGAAAGCAAGGGAGATTTGAGTGGTAAATGGGTAAGAGATGAAAAGTTATCAAATCCAGAAAAACCTTTTACTGTTATTTTAAATCATGAACAAGGCTGTGTTGGCCAGGTGTGGTGGCTCCCGCTTGTAATCCCGACACTTGAACTGAAGTTCGAGACCAGCCTGGGCAACATGGTGAAAACCCTTCTCTTGAAAAATACAAAAATTAGCGAGACGTGGTGGCACACACCTGTAGTCCTAGTTACTCATCAGGAGGCTGAGGTAGGAGGAGGATTGCTTGAGCCCAGGAGATTGAGGCTGCAGTGAGCCGACATTGTGCCACTGTGCTCCAGCCTGGGTGACAGAGTGAGACCATGTTTCAATAACAACAAAAAAAGGATGTGTTTGTCTTTCTAATATGGAAATGAAATCATCAATTACTAACTTCCAGTATGTTTCAGTTAAGCCTTTTAGAGGGGCTTCAGCCTTTTGAATGAAAGCAGTGAGGTTGAGTGAAGGTTTGATACTCACTTCCATGTTCTGTTTGCTGCATCTGAACCACTAGCAGACTGACTTGAGGTTTCTCTCACAAAAGCTGAAGGGATTCACAGGTGCTTAGGTTAAGTACTGGAGAGACCTTCTTGCTGAGGCCTTTAACAAAATTGCAAAAGACAAAAGTAATTTAATTCCTTACTTGGTTCTCTGGTGCTGTATATAAAACCAATTGACATGTAACACTTGTAGCTGTTGAGGGTTAATTTTAAATATTCTGTTAGTTTGTTGAGTGTCCTCTGGTAATTCTGTTTTTAAATTCAGCGTTTGTATTTGTATATTTGGAAAGTATAGATACTGCCTGCAAAGGGTAAAGGTGGGGTTAATTTGGAATCTGAATATAAAATATTTGTTATAAAATGAATATAATAGCATTATGGCCAGGTACAGTGGCTTACTCTTGTAATCCCAGGACATTGGGAGGCCAAGCCAGGAGGATTGCTTGAGCCTAGGAGTTCAAGACCAGCCGAGGCAACATGGTGAAACAAAAAATACAAAATTATTGTATTTTGTATTTTTAATACAAAAATTAGCTGGGCATAGTGGCACATCCCTGTAGTCCCAGGCACTCGGGGGGCTGAGGAAGGAGGATTGCTTGAGCCCAAGAGGTTGAGGCTGCGGCTGTGGTGAGCTGAGATGATACCACTGCACTCTAGCCTGCCATGCACTCTAGCCTGAGTGGCAGAGTGAGACCCTGTCTCAAAACACCACCACCACCACCAAACAAACAAAACAAATATAACGTTAGTAAAAATTATAAAAGAAAATGTTGTTCATATCTTTTCAGGTGTGTTAGACCCTTCTAGTTCTTGTCTGTTGCTTCCACATCTGTTTCCAATAGCTGTAATCATGAATTAGATCCCATTTCCTTTTTTAAAAAAGTAATTTTAATTGAATGTAGACTTTTTCTTTTCAGATAGAGATGCAGCAGCAAGCTTCTTTTACTTACTTTTTTTTTTTTTTTTTTTTTTTAAGAGATGATGTCTCACTATATTGTCCAGGCTGGACTTGAATTCCTGGGCTCAGGTGATTCTCCTGCTTCGGCTTCCCAGGTAGCTGGGACTATATATAGGCATGAGCAACTGCACTGGCCATGTCCCATTTACTTAACATTTTACAAACATTACCCTATGTTGTTACTTAGTTTGGAAGTAGTTTCATAGATGATTTTAAATAGTAATAATTTCAGAGTAACATAAAGCTGGAAAATTGGCAAAGCATGTCAAGCTGTGTGCAGTAATTTAGGATGGATCCTTACACTTCTCTAAAAAGTATTCATTTTTAAAAGGTTGCTTTGATCACCAGTCTTGAAAGTTTTGAGAGTCTTTATTGGTACATAATGAGAATTTTTAAGCTTAGAAAACCAATTTTGTGTTAAAACTTCTTTATTTATTGGGTAGACTTGTATCAGAATTATAATTACCTGTATAATTGAAAAATCCTATAATTTAAGGTGTAAATATTTAAGCTTTCTAGTTAGAGTCACCAACAAAATATATAGGAATATTTAATTTCTTCTTTGACACGTGAAATATTCTGGCAAGCTTTCAGACTAGTAGAACAGTTTCCAGAGATTGAATAAAATTGTTTATCACTAATTTACTGGTCATCTAGATTACCACATTGGTTTTCTGGGAACTTCATCATTCAGGGGCTAATCATCCATTTTCTGAATTTTCTAAATTACTGTCAAAGCGTCTCCTATCTACTGTATCACCTTTCTTGCTACCAAGCTTTTACTTACAGCGCATATTCCGTTTAGTAGAGTAAGATGGAATAGCAAGAGTATGTAACATTGACCCTAGGTCAGTGGTCTGTGGTTCTTGGGTGGGAGAGATAAAGGAGGTTTAACAATTGAGAATTTCAAAGTCATCAGTGGCAGAGCACGCGCTCTAATAGCATGAATAATTTAATCATAACTAAGGTAGGACTGATGAAAATTTTAAACGTGCAATTCATAAAAATGTGCTTGCTTTTTAAAAATTGTTTTCCATAAATAAGTTGGAATCTATCCTCTGTACCTTGTAAGTTGCTAGCTGCTATTCTAAACAATAGTCCCTTTATGAGGTGAGAGGTTTTTGTTCTGTGGATATTCTCAAAGGGCAATATGACGAAATTCTGAAATAAAGGGACAGATTTTCTTTAAAAAGAAACAAACTACTTGGCCTGCTTGGAAAGGAATAAATAACTATAGCCTACAGTTTTTGCTTTTCTGGAATGCCAAATTTCAGCTCAGAGCAGATTCTTCAGCTGAGCAATAAACCTTTGAAAATTGCTTTATAATGGAAATGCTGACAGACCATTAACTATAGTGGTGCAAATGTGCTGCTCTGACATACATAAGGTTGTCCCAAGTTGCTAAATAGAATAAACCATGTTGGGCAGTGTACATCCTGTGGAAGCCTATGTGGGTGTATACAGTTTGTCATGTTATGCCACCTGATTATTAATGGGCGAAGTTCCATCATATCACCTTTGACATGCAGCAGAAGTACCGTTTTAGAAGGAAGGAGTGGTTTAGGCTCTGCTGATGCTGATAGCTCATTTTATATTTGCTATACTGGAAAAGGCCCAGGGTAAATTTAACATGATGCATTTAATCACCATTCCAATCACAGTGCCACTGAAGCAAATCAATGTTTTCTTACTACCAATTCATTGGAACTTCCAGGTCATAAAGTATCATTATTAGGCATATTGGAAAGTCTCAGCCCAATGAAAATGTGGATTCTGGGATTTTCCAGTTGCTTTGAAATAGTGACAGAGGCTGCCTGGCTGTACATTTTCCCCATGTATAATGAAAACTGGAATTTAAAGGGATTGATACGACAAAGCAAGAATTATATAATGACCTAGGGAAGGATGAAGCAGAATGTTCACTTCTAAAAGCAAAATAAGGAAAATGATGAAGAGGGGTGATTATTTCCATAGTAGCCTGCTTAGTGACTCATGTCCCTGCTAATAATAAGTATTGTGAGAATGTGTCTTATTCTTGGCTATATTCACAGCGCCTAGAACAGTGCCTGGCACATAATGTGGATGTCAGTCAATGTTGGATTTACTTGTGCTTGTTTATTTAAAAACTATTTGGGGTTAGATTGTCAGGAACCCTGCTACATGTTGTGTAAGGCTTCTAGTGTGTACGTGTGTGTATTTCATATAATACATTTATGTGTATGAGCAGTTGGAATTGATCACTAAAATATTTCTTAAAGGTAATATAAGTACAATTTGGTATGTTGAGTATCATGAATGAATCAATGCAAAGATTCAAGTATCTTTGGGTAGAATCATGTCCTTTGAAATGTCAGTGTACAGTAAAAAGGTCTGACATCATAACTAGATTATAAATCCTATACTCTTGTACTCCAAAGTCAGTATAGTTGGACTGGCTTGTATGTCCTGTTTGACAAAATATAAATTTTACTTTCCTGTGGCAATTCCCAAACTGGGCTGACCACTTGGACTTTTAAGAAAATGTAAGCACTCTTGGGCATTGACCCAACGATTTTCATTCACTAGATCCTGGGGTGGGGCCTAGGAATCTGTGTTTTTTAATAATTTCCTTTCTGTAGGTGTTTACATATAGTCAGTTTCTCTGCTACCCACCTTTCATGATATACTTTGAAATTTGGTGACAATCACCTTGGACCTTTTGGGTTCTCTGGAAATGGTAACCAGTAAGGTAATTAATAATTAATATCTTATACTGGTAGAGGGAAAGAAATGCTAACATGTGTCATACTAAAGATCTTTTAGGACTAGTGCTGACTTTCTGTTCATATATTTCACTGGAAAGCTATTGTCAGGACATTTTGCGGAAGGTGTTTTTTAAAATGTGGCATATTCATAGAGTTGTATTGCTGGAAGTTACCTTAGAAATCATTTAGCTTATTCCCTTTTATATTTGAGTTAATCTTAAAAATGTTAGGGTTAGGGTGTACCACTTATTAGTTAAGTTGCCTCATTTCTCTTAGCCATGGTTTCTTAAGCATAAGATGGGAATGATAATACCTACCTACCTTATAGTTTTTTTTAAGGATTTAACTGAAATTCAAAAAAAGTTGCTAGCATACATCTTGTTTGTAGCAGTGTAGCAAGTGTTCAGTAAATGTTTAATATTTTGACATACCTATAATATGATCTATGGTATACATAAAAGCCAAAAGAGGTAGAAAAAGTTATAGTAATTAAGTTCAAGTTAAAAATGTTGTACACCCACAGGCAGAGTTTTATTTTTAAATTATGGTATAATACTTACACAATACACCATTTTAAACCATTTTAACCATTTTTAAGTAAATCATTCAGTGGTGTTTAGTACAGTCAGTGTTATGCAGTCATCACTGTCTAGTTTGAGAACATTCTTATTACCCCAAAAGGAAACCTGTACCCATTGAGGAGCCACTTCCTATTCTTTTCTCTGTATCCGCTTGCAGCCACTAATCTATTTTTTGTCTTTATGGATTTGTTTATTCAGTCTCTTTCATATGAGTGAAATAATAAAAAATGACTTTTCACTGTATAATGTTTTCAGGGCTTATCCGTGTTGTTGTGTGTATCTTACTGCATAACTTCCATTTTTTTTAAATGACCGAATAACATTCCATTGTATGGATATAACAGCCTTGTTTATCCAGTAATCAGTTGATAGACATTTAGGTCCCTTCCACCTTTTGGCTGTGTGAGTGGAGCTGCCACGAACATGCATGTATAAGTTTTTGTTTGAACACCTATTTTCACTTTTTGGGTATACACGTGGGTGTGGAATTGCTAGGTCTTGTGGTAATTCTATGTTTAACTTACTGAGGAAGTCCAAACTGTTTTCCACAGTGGCTGCACCATTTTACACTCCATTAGCAATGTATGAGGGTTCCAGTTTCTCCACATACTGGCCAACACTTACTTTCTGTTTTTTTTTTTTTTAATTAAATTTTATAGCCACCCTAGTGTATCTTATTGTGGTTTTGATTTGCATTTTGCTGATGGCTAATGACAGGCATCTTTACCTGTGATTTTTGACCATTCGTATATCTTCTTTGAAGAAATGGCTGTTCAAGTGCTTTGCCCACTGTTTAATTGGGTTGTCTTTTTGTTGTTGAAAGCAGTCTTTTGATTATGAAATTAATTTATGTATTCTTCTCTAGGGAGCTTATTTGGAAATATATACTTGGTAATATAAAAATTTATTTCGGAATATAAAATAAAGGACTGGACTTCATTACTTTTTAAGTAAACTTTTATTGGATGCTTCCTTTTAATGTATTTTTTTTTGTAGAAATGAAATTGTTTTAATTTTATAGCTTAGCCTGATGCCTGATTCCATGCTTGCACTGACTCTCTGTCTGCACTAACAAATTATCAGATTTATTCCTTTCCAAAATATCATTGATTTTTTTTCAGATCATAGAATATTCCTCTCCCAACTTTTTTGTTGACAGCTTTACTGAGGTGTAATTTACATGCCATAAAATACACCCATTCTAACTGTACGTAGTTCAGTGATTTTTAGTCAACTTAACAGCATTGTACCACAGTTAACACAATGCAATATTATAGCATTTCTATCATTCTGAAAAGTTTTCCTCAGACCTTTTGGAAGTCATTTTCTGTTCGCGCCCCTTGGTGAACACTGATGCTTTCTGTTACTCTTGATTTGCCTTTTCTGAGTATTTCACATAAATGGAATCATAATGTATAGTCTTTTGTGACTAGCTTCTCTCACTGAACGTGTTTTTGTGGTTCATCTGTGTTGTCGCATGTATCTGTAGTTCTATTTTTTATTACTGAGTAGTATTTCATTCTGTGGATAATACCACATTGTGTTTATTCATTCACTAGTTGATGGGGATTTGGATCATTTCTAGTTTTTGACTATTATGCATAATGAACATTCAAGTACAAGTCTTTGTGAGGACATCCTCTTTCAACTTTTTATTTTGAAAAATTTAAACCCCACAGAAAGATTGAAGTAAGTAGTATAGCAAACACCTATTTACTCTTCACCTAGATTGACTATTAACATTTGCCTGCTGTTCTTTGCCTTTTTCTATAAATATACCTTTTCCAGAACCATTTGTAGATATTATACTTTATCTCTTATGTATTTCAGCATGAATTTCCTAAGAATGAGAACATTCACATACATAACCACGATTTTATCACACTTAAGAAAATTAGCAGTAATCTCATGTCAGCTACTTTATAGTCCATATTGAAACTTGTCCCAAAAATGTCTTCTGTAGTTCCCACCCCGCCGTTTCTAATGTAACATCCCCAAATGATTTATGAATCGCAGTTGGTTTGATATTTCTCTTAGTCTGTCTTAATCTAGAATGGTTCCCCTTCTTTTTGTTTGTCCTGTCAGTGAGGTTTGGAAGAATACAAGCCTTCCACATTTTAGATCTGTCTCATTGTTTTTAATGATTTGTTTTAGGTTAAACATTTTGACAAGGATTCTTAATTTTAAGGTGAAGTTGTGTACATTTTAGCACACCAGTGATAAAGTGAAAAAGTGAGTTATAGCACAGATCTAAAAATACCTTAAATGCTTTATTTTAATGTAAAACGTAAATGTACATTGCCATTAGTGTGAACATAATGTCAAGTTCTCCCCTTGTGTAGAAAAGTTTGATCACATGTGCCATGCTGGTGCGCTGCACCCACTAACGTGTCATCTAGCATTAGGTATATACTAACCTGCACAATGTGCACATGTACCCTAAAACTTAAAGTATAATTAAAAAAAAAAATTAAAAAAAAAAAAAAAAAGAAAAAAAAGAAAATAATTAGGGAGCTTCCTGATAGCTTAACACATGGAGGTTCCTGGAGAGTGGCCCACTCAGGAAGGCTTGGAAGCTCCCAGCACCTTCCCCACTACCTTGCCCTACACATCTCTTCATCTGTATCCTTTGCAATATCCTTTATAATAAACAAGTAAACTTAATTTTCAAAGAAAAAAAAAAAAAAAAAGAAAAGTTTGATCACTTGCTTAGAGGTACTGAATGCCAGATTCTAAAGGAATGACTTTCTCTTTGTATTAAGTAATTTGTAGGATGAAACTTTGAAACCGTATGGGATCTTGTTTGTCAGTAACCTTTTACCTGATTGTTTCAGGGTCCTTGAAATAATTATTACATTGGGAGAATGCTTTAAAAAATAATTTCATAAGTTGTGTATTAGTTGAAGACATTTGACATTGTCTCCTTAGGTTTCTGTACTTGGGTAAATATACCCCAGATGTCTCATTGACTTGTTACATTGTATTTTATGCTTAACTCTTTCAGAGAGAAATTTACTTATGAATTTGTTATGGTAGTAAGTGTGGAGATGGATTTTGTTTTAGAAGTTGCTTTTGATTTTACATTGATAACTCGATTGCACTTTAGCACTCAGCAAGATGATAGAGAAATTAATGGAATCCATTAAGAGGGAAGACTTTCTAAATAGATGTTCACCTGACAAAACGAGATTTTTTTTCTTTTTTTCTTTTTTTTTTTTTTCTTTTTTGAGACGGAGTCTTGCTCTGTCGCACAGGCTGGAGTGCAGTGGTACGATCTTAGCTCACTGCATCCTCCGCCTCCCAGGTTCAAGTGAGTCTCCTGCCTCAGCCTCCCTAGTAGCTGGGACTACAGATGTGCGCCACCATGCCCAGCTAATTTTTGTATTTTTAGTAGAGTCGGGGTTTTGCCATGTTGGCTAGGCTCCTCTTGAACTCCTTACCTCAGGTGATCCACCTGCCCTTGGCCTCTCAAAGTGCTGGGATTACAGGCAGGAGCCACTGCGCTCAGCCTAGGTTTATTTCTGAATGTTAAGAATTTTGTTCAGAATTCTTTTTTTTTTTTTTTTTTTGATGTTTTGCTAAAGCTTTTGGTGGAGTTTCCTGTTTTGTCCTCTGCATTTCTGAAATTGCTTATACTATAGTTGTGCTGATTAATCATGGGTAGAATCTCAAAATGTTACATTCAAGCCTGTAAATACTTCCATTTCTTTTCCTGGGAAAAGAGAATACAGCATGTCAATAATATCAGTAATTAATGTGAAGCTCTTTGCTCTATCATTGATTTGTGACTGGCTTACACCAGAACATGGGAAATGTACATCAGAAGTCTCTTATTCAAATTGATAAAACTGATAGGTAAGTAAAAAAATGTGTTAAAGCATGGAATCTTAAAAAGCAACTTGAATGTTTAGTTTAATTTAAAACATAAATTTACATGATTTGCGTTTTTAAATGTAGGTCTAAGGCTTGTTCTTTGCATGTCATCAACTGATTTGAGAGCCATACACTTGTTTCTGCATAAGCCACACAAATAATACATAGTCTGTGATAATTTAGCATAGTAGAATGTGGCCTCTGAGACCAGGCCTCCTGGGCTGCAACCCTTATTCTCTTTTCTTACTAGCATATGAACCAAGGCAAGTTACTTGACAGTTCCTTGCCTCAGTTTCCCCATTTGTAAAATGCAGATAATACCAGTGAGTCAGTAATTGTCAAACACATACTAGTTTAAAATGATTAACTCATTTAATCCTGTTGGTAACTGGCATGTAAGTGCCTAAGTAATTGTTAATTAAGTAATGTCCAGTTTTGGTTTCATTAAGTGACATGAGAGTCTAAATACATTTGTGAAGCAATCTGAAGGTACTCTTTCTAGATTTAAAAAAAATATTTTAATTAAGACTTTTTAAATCTTGCAAATATAAATTGTGTATGTTTATGGTGTACAGCTTGGTGTTTTGATATATGTATACATTGTAATGGCTAAATCAAGCTAATTAACACCTCACACACCTATCATTTTTGGGGGGTGGGAACATTTAAAATCTCTTAGCAATTTTCAAGTATACAATAAATTGTTACTAAGTATAATCACCATACAATTGATTTATTCCTCCTAACTGAAATTTTATGTCCTTTGATGAACATATCCCCAACCCCCCATTCTACTCTCTGCTTCTGTGAGTTGGACTCTTTTACATTCTGCACATAAATGAGATCATGTGGTATTTGTCATTCGGTGTCTGGCTTATTTCACTTAACATGATGTCCTCCAGGTTCATCCAGGTTTTTACAAATGAAAGAATTTCCTTCTCTTTTAAGGCTTAATAGTATTCCGTTGTGTTTATATGTCACATTTTATCCATGCATCCATTAATGGGCACTTAGGTTGATTTCATGTCTTGGCTATTGTGAATAATGCTGCAGTTGAACATGGGAGTGTAGATATCTCTTCAGCATCCTGATTCCATTCCTTTGGATATATACGCAGAAGTGGAATTGCTGGCTCAATTCCACTGGTAGTTCTATTTTTAATTTTAATATACTGTTTTCCATATTGGATGTACTAATTCCAATGAGTAGTATACAAGGGTTCCCTTTTTCCCCCACGTCCTTGCCAACACTTGTTGTTATCTCTTGTCTTTTTGGATCATGGCCATCTAACAGGAGTGAGGTGATAACTATTCCACTGCAGTTTTAATTTGCATTTCTCTGGTGATTATTAATGTTGAATACTTTTTTGTGTACCTGTTAGCTATTTGTATGTCGTCTTTTGGGAAATGTCTATTCAGATCATTTGACCATTTAAAAAATTGGGTTATCTGTTTTCTTGCTATTGAGTTGAGCTCCTTGTATATTTTAGATGTTAAAGAAGTATGGTCATCAGAAGTACGGTTTGCACATATTTCCTTTCATTCTGCAGGTTGTGTCTTTACTCTGTTGACTGTTTCCTTTTCTTTGTATAATCTTTCCAGATTTATGATTTTTATCCATCCCAGTCTTTAAGTTGTCCTGACCATGCTTGGCAGTATGTCTTTTGATCTGTTCAAAGCAGTCAACATAGATTTTATAGAAATAATGCATCCTTTTTGCACTTACTGGTTTGGGTTGTAACTGATTATATTATCTACAGTAACAGAACAGGCATAATTATAAGGCAGATTTGGAAACAGAAACCACTGATTCTTGTTAGACATTCAGTTCAACAGGTGGGAGTGGAGATGAGCTTGTATATTGAAAAATAGCTTTGCTGCCTGAGATGGCATCTGGCAAGCTGTGGTTATGTCATCCTATTTTATGGGGGGCCTCACTAGCATAGGTTACTACAGTCAGTTGAGTAGAGTGTTGCCAAGAAAACTTAATGCTGCTTTCTTTGAAGATGAGTATGATGCAGATTCACCATCTTAGGGTGCCTAATGTAGGTTGGTTGCTATGGATCTGTCTTCTGCCAGTCTTTTATCTGTGTGTGTGTGTGTGTGTGTGTGTGTGTGTGTGTGTGTGTGATGGTGTAGGTAGCATATGTTTGTGAGAGGTGGCAAGTTTTGTGGCTAAGAAGATAGACTGACCTAGGACTATCAAGATCCTCTGAGAACAATTACCTGTGGCTCATCACCAGTCCCCAGCACTGAGGAGGGGGACCATGCACTCTGAGTTGAATTCTGTCAGTCGGATCCTGATCCCAGTGCTTTTTAATACTTCCGCCAGAGTCTTAGATGGTAGCACACAGAGTATGCTCATTAAGATTGTGAAATGGCATCAAATTGAATAGGTGGCTCAATAGAAAACTTGATTAAATTTCAGAATACCTGATGGTTCAGGAAAGTTGGCGAATATACATATGGCATTTAGCTGGATCAGGGCAAGATAATTTTCTTAAGGAAAGTAAATAGTTGTTGAAATTTGGTATGGGAGTAGAGTTTTTGTACTACACATGATAGTACAAAGTATCCCAAAGTGCTGAGAAAAACCAGTTAAATAAGGGTCATTGATAATGCTTTTGTAGTTGGTCCAAGTGTTGTGGGTTATTGTTAAGCTGATAATGCCTTTGCATTCAAAATCATTGATAAGAAGTCATATAATTGGAATGGTGCTTATGGAAATTACAGGGCTTCACTGTACTTAGTATTTCACAGTGTAAGCATATGATAGGGATATCAGAAAGAAATGTTCTGAGTGAGAAAACTGTTTGAAAAACTAGTAAATAGTCCTGTAGATGAATGTTGTAGTAGATACTTAGTTTAGAAATATTAGGAAATTTAGTAATTCTCTTAATAAATTACACAGGTATACCTTACAGATAATGCAGTTTTTGTTCCTGACCACCACAGTATAGCACAAGTTACACAAATTTTTTGGTTTCCGAGTACATATAAAAGTTATGTTTATACCATACTGCAGTCTGTTAAATGTATAATAGCATTATGTCTAAAAAATGTACATACTTTAATTAAGATATATTTTTGCTTAAAAATCTGCTAACAATCATCCAAACCTTCAGTGAAGCACAACTTTTTGCTGGTGGAGGATTTTCCCTTGATCAAGGTGGTGGTTGCTGAAGGCTGGGTGGGGGCTCTGGCAGTTTCCTAAAATAAGACAACAATGAAGTTTGCTGCATCAATTGCCTCTTTTTTATGAAATATTTCTCTATAGAATGTAATGCTGTTTGATAGCATTTTACCCACAGTAGAACTTCTTTCAGAATTGGAATCAATCCTCTCGAACCCTGCTGCTGCTTTATCAGCTGAGTTTATGTAATATTCTAAATCCTTTGTTATTTCAACAGTGTTTACAACATCTTCAGGAGTAGATTTAACTCAAGAAACCATTTTCATTCATTACTCATTCATTTCAATTTTATTATGACATTGCAGTGATTCATATCTTCAGGCTCTACCTCTGATTCTAGTTCTCTTGCTGTTTCCACCACATCTACAGTTATTTCCTTCACTGAAATCTGGAACCCCTCAAAGCCATCCATGAGAGTTGGAATCAACTTCCAAACTCCTGTGAATGTTGCTTTTTTGACCTCTTCCCATGAAGAGGTATCACAGATGTTCTTAAGGGCAACTAGAATGGTCAGTCCTTCCCAGAAAATAGTCTATTATTTACTTTGCCCAGCTGTCTATGGCAGCTATATTCTTTTTTTTTTTTTTTTTTTGAGACAGAGTTTTGCTCTTGTTGCCCAGGCTGGAGTGCAATGGTGTGATCTTGACTCACTGCAACCTCCGCCTCCCGGGTTTAAGCGATTCTCCTGCCTCAGCCTCCCGAATAGCTGGGACTATAGGCACAGGCCACCATGCCTGGCTAATTTTTTTTATTTTATTTTTTCATTTTTAGTAGAGATGGGGTTTCGCCATGTTGGCCAGGCTGGTCTTGAACTCCTGACCTCAGGTGTTCTGCTCACCTCAGCCTCCCGAAGTGCTGGGATTACAGGTGTGAGTTACTGCACCTGGCTGGCAGCTATATTCTTATGAAATGTATTTCTTAATAAGACTTGAAAGCTGAAATGATTCCTTGATCCATGGGCTACAGAATGAATGTTGTGTTTGCAGGCATGAAAACAGCATTCATTTCCTTGAACATCTCCATCAGAACTCTTGGGTGACCAGGTGTGTTGTCAGTGAGCAGCAGTATTTTGAAAGGAATTTTTTTTTCTGAGCAGTAGTTCTTAACAGTGGGCTTAAAATATTCAGTAAACCATCCTGTAAACAGATGTGCTATCTTCCAGACCCTGTTGTTTCGTCCCTGGAGCATAGGCAGAGTAGATTTAGCATAGTTGTTTTGTTTTGTTTTTTGAGACAGGGTCTCATTCTGTCACCCAGGCTGGGGTGCTGGAGCGCAGTGGTGCAACCTCTGCCTCCTGTGTTCAAGCGATTTTCCTGTCTCAGCCACCTGAGTAGTGGGGATTACAGGTGTACACCACCACACCTGGCTGATTTTTGTATTTTTAGTAGAGATGGGGTTTTGCCATGTTGGCCAGGCTGGTCTTGAAATCCTGGCCTCAAGTGATCAGCCTGCCTTGGCCTCCCAAAGTGCTGGGATCACTGGGATCACAGGTGTGACCCATAATTATTTTCTTTCTTTCTTTCTTTCTTTTTTTTTCTTTTTTTTTTAGTGGAGACGGGGTTTCGCTGTGTTAGCCAGGATGGTCTTGATCTCCTGACCTCGTGATCTGCCTGCCTCGGCCTCCCAAAGTGCTGGGATTACAGGTGTGAGCTACCGTGCCTGGCCAGGTGTGACCCATAATTCTTAAGGGCCCTAGGATTTTTGGAATAGTAGCTGATCACTGGCTTCAACTTAAAGTCACCAGCTGCCTTAGCCTTTAACAAGAGAATCAGTTGGTTCTTTGAAACGTTGAAGCCCAGCATTGACTTATCCTTTCTAACTACGAAGTCCTCTGTAGTATCATTTTCTAGTATAAGACTGTTTCATTGGCATTGAGAATCTGTTGTTTAGTGTAGCTACCTTCATTTTAGCTAGATCTTTTGGATAACTTGTTCCAGCTTGTACAACAGCACTTGCTGCTTCACCTTGCATTTTTGTTATGGAGATGGCTTCTTTTTTTTAAACCTCATGAACCAACCTCTGCTATCTTCACACTTCTCTTATGCAGCTTCCTCACTTCTCTCAGCCTTTATAGAATTGAAGAGAGTTAGGCTCTTGTTCTGGATTAGGATTTGGTTTAAGGGAATATTATGGCTGGTTTGATCTTCTGTCTTGATACTAAAACTTTCTGCATATTCGTATGTTCACTGGAGTAGGATTTTAAATTTCCCTTCAGAACTTTTTCTTTGCATTCACAACCTGGCTAACTGGCATAAGAGGCCTAGCTTTAGGCCTATCTTGGCTTTCAACATGCCTTTCTCACTAAGCTTAATCATTTCTAGTTTTTGATTTGAAGTAAGAGACATGTGACTCTTTTCAGTTGAACACTTAGAGGGCATTGTAGCATTATTGACCTAATTTTAATAGTGTCCCAAGAAAATGGGAGACAGATGGAGGAATGGCCAGTTGGCAGAGTGATCAGAACACACATAACATTTATTGATGAAGTTTGCTACCTTGGGCTTATCCATTGCACTCTGGATGTGCTGACCCCTGCAATTTTCCACAAATGTGAGAAACTTGACTGCATAATTTATGGTAGTGGGAGGCTGCGTTTGCACTCTCCCCTGATGCTATGTGTTTTTAAAAAATTTTTTGTTTATTTATTTTTTCAGACGGAGCTTCACTCTTGTTGCCCAAGCTGGAGTACAGTAGCACGATCTCAGCTCACTGCAACCTCTGCCTCCCAGATTCAAGTGATTCTCCTGCCTCAGGCTCCCAAGTAGCTGGGATTTCAGGCATGTGCCACCACGCCCAGCTAATTTTTTATTTTTAGTAGAGACAGGGTTTCACCATGTTGGTCAGGCTGGTCTCAAACTCTTGACCTCAGGTGATCCGCCCGCCTCGGCCTCCTGAAGTGCTGGGATTACAGGCATGAGCCACTGTGCCCGGCTGCTGTGTTTTTTTTAACTTAAAAAAAAAAAAAAAAGTTTGCTGGCTTGTATGGGCATAGTTTATGGTGTCCCAAAACAATGACAATAGACATTAAAGACACTGATCACAGATCACCATTGTAGATATAATAATAATGAAAATGTTTGAAATATTGCAAACCTTATCAAAATGTGAAACAGATATGAAGTAAGCACGTGCTGTTGAAACAAAGACTTGCTCAATGCAGGGTTTCCATAAACCCTCAACTTGTAAAAAGTACAGTACCTCCAAAGTGTGGTTAACTGTAGTGCTATAAAACCAGGTATGCCAGCCGGGCACGGTGGCTCATGCCTGTAATCCCAGCACTTTGAGAGGCCAAGGCAGGCAGATCACGAGGTCAGGAGATCAAGACCATGCAGGCTAACACGGTGAAACGCTGTCTCTACTAAAAATAAAAAAAAATTAGCTGGGCGTGGTGGCACGTGCCTGTAATCCCAGCTACTCAGGAGGCTGAGGCAGGAGAATTGCTTGAACCCTGGAGGCAGAGGTTGCAGTGAGCTGAGATTGCGCCACTGTACTCTAGCCTGGTGACAGAGCAAGACTCTGTCTCGAAAAAAGAAAAAAGTAAGGTATGCCATGTATAATTACAGTGGTCTCCCTTTATCCATGTTTTCACATTTCGCAGTTTCTGGTACCTGCAGTCAACCATGTTGTGAAAGTATTAAATGGAAAGCTCCTGAAATAAACATAAGTTTTAAGTTGCACACCATTCTGAATAGCATCATGACATCTCATGCTGTTCTGCTCTGTCCTGCCCTGGTGGCGAATCATCCCCTTCTCCAGTATAACCACACTATGTATACACTACCTGCCTGTTAGTAGCTGTCCTGGTGATCAGGTAGACTGTCATGGTATCTGTCATGGTATCTCAGTGCTTGTGTTTAAGTAATCCTATTTTACTTAATAATGGCCCCAAAGCACAAACATAGTGATGCTGACATAGTGTTAAAATTGTTCTGTTAATTATTGTTGTTAATCTTTTACTGTGTCGGATTTATAAATTTGGAAATCTGTTTGTATAGGAAGAACACAGTATATATAGAGTTCAGTACTATCCATGATTTCAGGCTTCTGCTGGGAGTCTTGAAATGTATCCCTCAAGGATAATGGGGGACTACTGTATATCATTGTGTGATCATAGATTTATAGAATGTTAGCGGTCATTGGTCTCAGTAGCTCACTTTATTTTAATGGGTGACAAAACCCAATTGCGACGTCCCACCTTCAAGCTAAGCCCTTTCTTCCCAAGTCATTGCTCTTAACACTACCCCTGTAGCAACTGTTTTTACCCTGAAGACAGAATTATAAAGTTTACAACAGTGGGAGGAAATATGTGTTGGACATTAGAAATTTATGATTACAAAGGCAATGAAATATGATACACAAAAAGCAATAGAATCTCTGGTGATTGTAGAACAGGAATACTTTAAGTCTTTTTGAGGCAGAGATAGAAAAGATGTACTCTTGAGTTCCCTTCTGTTTTTTTGCTGGGGGTTATAACCAGATAATTTTCTCTTGCAAACTCTGGTCAATCTTGTATTTTGTGATGAATAATTAAAATAGGAAATGAATATTTTGAACTTTGAGCTTCACTTGTCAGTGAGCATTGGACTGGGAATAAGGAAAGCAGTTTATTTTCTGCTGTCACCTTTCAACCATTCCTTATCTAGTTTCGTCGTAGGTGTGGTATCCTGACTCTTTCACAAACTCCCTGAGAATGGCCTAGTAGATTGATGTAAGGTATAAAATGTTTGGAATTTGAACAAATGAAAGATGTTGAAGTACAAATGACATTTAAAAAATATGTCAGTGACATTATGTATACATTAAAATTTTTCTTATATGTGCATATTGCTAGATATTGCTTTCTCCTCCTCCATATTTTGTAGATGTTCTGTCGGTATTTTTATCTTACCTGAATGACATGAACAGAAATGTTGCATCGTGTAGAAGTCTTTTTTTGTTTTGTTTTGTTTTTGTTTTTTTGATATGGAGTCTCGCTCTGTTGCCCAGGCTGGAGTGCAGTGGTGTGATCTCGGCTCACTGCAAGCTCTGCCTCACGGGTTCACGTCATTCTCTTGCCTCAGCCTCGCAAGTAGCTGGGACTACAGGCACCCACCACCACGCTGGCTAATTTTTTGTATTTTTAGTAGAGATGGGGTTTCACCATATTAGCCAGGATGGTCTCGATCTCCTGACCTTGTGATCCACCTGCCTCAGCCTCCCAAAGTGCGAGGATTACAGGCGTGAGCCACTGCGCCTGGCCTGTGTAGATGTCTTTTCCTGGATATCCTCCAGCTTCTAGAAGTACCTTGTGCTTTTCTTTCTCAGCCATACAGCTTCCTTGCTAGCCTGTTTAACCTTGTAGTTTGAACCCTTGTAACTCTATTATCTCCCAGGTTTATGTCTCATTTTCTGACAAGGAAAGATCTAATAATAATACTTTAGGTTACTTTTCATCTTTCATTAAAATTATCATGCCTTTGATTTAATTTACCATAAATATGGATAAATCAGAGCCTCTCTCTGTAAGCCTGAATTATCTTAATGAGAGTGGATGAGTGGATGAAGCAAAAATATTTGGCACTTGGGTAGGACAGGTGAATATTTAATTATTTTGACACACTTTGGGAAAAAGTACTCTGAGCTCCATAAATGTTGTTGTTCTCCCAACCCCACCTATTTTCAAAAGCAACATTGTTAGCCAGAAGAAAAATAAGGTCAGATAATACCTTATTGTTATCTCTCTTAAATTTGTCATTCTCAGTTTAATTCTCAGATACTTGCTCTTGTACTAGATGGTTGGGAAGTTTTCTGTGTGTTTTCAAAACATGAAAAATGCCTTTTTTTTTTTTTTTTTTTTGAGACGGAGTCTCGCTCTGTTGCCCAGGCTGGAGTGCAGTGGCGCAATCTTGGCTCACTGCAACCTCCGACTCTCTGGTTCAGGTGATTCTCCTGCCTCAGCCTCCCGAGTAGCTGGGATTACAGGCATGCGCTACCACGCCCAGCTAATTTTTGTATTTTTAGTAGAGACGGGGTTTCACCATGTTGGCCAGGGTGGTCTGAATCTCCTCACCTCATGATCTGCCTTGGCCTCCCAAAGTGCTGGGATTACAGGCGTGAGCCACCGCGCCGGGCTGAGAGATCTTATATATATGTTCACCCATTTTGTCCTGATGGTAACTGCACATGCATATTTAAAGGTCATGGATTATATAAAATTATATGTAATTTGTATATGCTCGTAATATAAATTTTAAAATGTTACTTTTCCTAGTTATGAACAGATTTAAATTCTCCATGTCTGCACAGACATCAGACTTCAATATTTACCAAATTATTATTTAATATTTACCAAGCCGTTTTAAAAGTTATTGACCATGGTTTTTCAGAGAATATCACATTCATTTTTTTTTTTAGCCTCCAAGTTGTTTGAGATAAAGCACTTTAAAATCTGTAAATGTTGCAGTCACTGGAAAATTTATCCCAAGCCACAAGAATTCATTCATGTAACATTAGGAGAGTTGTCATCATCTTGACGTCATTTATGATCTTCCTCACATTTCAAGGCTGTTACTGCATTGCTTTCTAGAAGATCTTCAGAGGCCTTCTTCAATGGCAGCTACTATTTGTAATCACTCTCCAGAAATAAGTATTAAATCTGTGTTTAAAACCGAATCCTCCCCTTTTTATAAAACTAGTTTGTTGTTGTAACCATGACAAAGTATCCAATATTAGAGTTGGCTTGACATCCTTCCATACCTCAGTGTCCCTGACTAGTGATGAGAACTTCACTGTCTCAGCCATTTCACAGACTAACTGGAGAGATGCCTCTGGGACTGGGACTCTACATTCCTCTTTTGAAATCCCAAACACCATTCCTTTCCCTGGGCATGACTGCATACTTGGATTTCTCTTTCTCACTTCCAGGTTTTTTTTGAAGCTTTTTTTTTTTTTTTTTTTTTGGCCCTTGTTAGTATTTAGTATAAAATAATTGGTGTCTGCCTCAAAAGTAAGGATTTAATTGTAAAGCAATTCCTTCTTTCTGAAAGATAACTTTAGGGAAGAAAACCTTATCTTATGTTTGGGGATATATAGTGGGACAGTTGCAATCATTGTATATATTGGGTGTGTTAGAGTTGATAGCCTCATTAAGTTTCTCTTATGTGGAAAAATTATTTGGCATTTTAATTCACTTCATTGTTTTTTTTTTTCTCCTTTTCTACAGGGGCTTTCATTCATATATTTTAATTTTTCTTGTTCTTCTTTTGACTAGTTTATTGATGGCCATGCCTCATCTTGTCTGTAATTGTTAGATGGTGCTGGACTAAACTTTCAGTAATATATACAGGGCCACAGATGATAATGGGACTAGTTTTACATCTATACACTATAACTTTTAGTGCAAGTACTTGAAACACACAAAAATCGAGGCATTTTGCTCTGCTGTCCTTGAATTTGGGCATAAAATGCTAAAACCACTGCTAATTACAGTAACCCACTTGGAATCTAAATTGTTACATTAAAATTAGTTTTTAAAGTGAGCAGGATCCATATTGCTACATTATAGAAACTAATACCCTTATTAACAGCTCCATCTTCTCCATTGTAATATTTCCTTAAAAAGAAAATTTGCAGACATGGTCTGAATGATTTAGAGTGATGTGTAACAGTTTGGACAGGCTGGTTGCACCCCTGAAAGCCTCCTTTGTCATTGCCAGCTAGGATGTCATCTGTTTGAACTGGTCTTTTTCGTGTTTGCCTAGGGTGAGTAGAGAGTGGTGATTTAGTAGAGCTGTTGGCTGCTTCCTGGCTGCTGTAGGAAGTTAGTTTTTCTGGCTATATGTGTATGAGGCGGGAAGCAGATTGTTAGGAGTCTTTAATATTCTAATTTTACCTCTGAGAAAACTGGGATGACTTAGAGTGTAGTAGGTATTGTGGTTTGTTTTTCCCTTCCTTTCCTTTACCACCCCACTCCTCGCCGCCTTCTCCTTCTCTTTGTCCTCTTACCCATCCCTCCCCTTTCCTCCTTTGTCTGGATTATTAGAAGAGGTTGAATTCAGAAATGTGACTAATTTTTACAGATTGTGTTTTTACAGACTAGTTTTTAGAAATGTGACAGTTTTTACAGATTGACTCCCTTCACTGAAGAAGGAACTTTCTTTGTAGTCTAGATTTTTTTAGTTTTATGATACATGTCTAGTGTAGAGAAGTTCAGGGACCATAGGACTGGAAGAGCTTGGTATACTTACGTGCTGGTACTGTTTTTTTTTATACTTTTCTCTATTTTTCTTGTGCCCTAGGTTTTTCCTTCCAGTTGGGTTAAAAAAAAAAAGTTGTTGAGGAACATTGATATGGTGAAAGAGTTGTTTTTTATTTCCATATTTATATTAAAATAGTTTTTTGCATGTGTATGTTTCTCTGAGTGGGGAGAGATAGTAGTCTTGTGTATGTGTCAGGAAAATATTATAAGATGTTTCCAGAATTCCCAGAAATTAGGACTGTTACTAGAATTCCCCAAGATGAATTAGCATGAAGGCTAATTTGTCATTAAAACATTGATATCCTTCAAAATTGAAAAAAAAATTTAGAAGAAACATTTAACAACATAATCATTTCTGCCATCAAGTAAAAATTAAAAAGTACAACAGTGTTGGCCAGGTGCAGTGGCTCATACCTGTAATCGCAGCACTTTGGGTGGCTGAGGCAGGTAGATTGCTTGAGCTCACTAGTCAGAGACCTGCCTGGGCAACATGGCAAAACCCCATCTCTGCAAAAAAAAAAAAAAAACAAACCCACACAAAAATTAGCTGAGTGTGGTGGCATGTACCTGTAGTCCCAGTTACTTTGGAGGCTAAGGTGGGAGGATGGCTTGTGCCCAGGAGGCGGAGGTCACAGTGAGCCGAGATCACACCACTGCACTCCAGCCTGGGCAATAGAGCCAGGCCTTGTCTCATAAATGAAATATAAAATATAAAATAAAATAAAATAAAACGTTGTTGGCAAAGATGTATTCAAAATAGTATGTAGAACTTACCTGGAAGGTAATTTTGCAATATTTACCAAAATATACTTTTTCATCTAGTAAGGTCTCCTTCTCAGAATCAGTCTTAAAGCCATTCAAATACAGATTTATGATTAAAGATTTAAGTCCAAAAATGCTCATTATAGCAATATTTATAATAGGAAAAATTGGGGAAAAACAATTATACATCCAACAGTAGTAAGAGTGTGACTACATTATAGTATTAGTATGTAATGGATTGTCACAGAGCAACACACATGTTTTTGAAGAATATTTAAGGCGTGATAAATATTAAATGTAAATGTAAATTGAAAAAATGATATCTGTAGATTTTCATTATGCATTTCTTTATGAAATTTTTGTATATACACAAAAGAAAATAGTCATGCATTGCTTCATGACGGGGACATATTCTGAGAAATGTGCTGTTAGTCGGTTTCATTGTGGAAACAAATGTTGAACATCATAGAGTGTCCTTACACAAACCTAGGTGGTATAGCCTACTCCACACCTACACTATATGGTATAGCCTGTTGCTCCTAGGCTACAAACCTGTAGAACATGTTACTATATTGAATACTGTAGGCAGTTGTATTTGTGTATCTAAACATAGAAAAGGTGTGGTAAAAATGTGGCATGAAAGATAAAAAAGTGTACACCTGTCCCAGGCACTTACCATGAATGGAGCTTACAAGACTGGAAATTGCTCTGGGTGAGTCAGTGAATGAGTAGTGAGTGAATGTGAGGGTCCTAGGACATTATGTTACTGTGGATGTTATAAGCACTGTACACTTAGGCTACACTAAGTTTATTTTTAAAATTTTCTTTAATAATAAATTAGCTTTAGCTTACTATAGCTTTTTTACCTTATAAACTTTAAAAAAATTTTAAACTGATGACTCTTTTGTAATCACACTTAGCTTAAAACACAAACACATTGTATAGTTACACAGAAATATTTTCATTATATCCTTATTCTATAAGTTTTCTTTATTGATTGATTGACAGAGTCTCACTCTGTTGCCTAGGCTGGACTCAAAAGTCCTGGGCTTAAGTGATCCTTCCTTCTCAGCATCCTGAGTAGCTGGGACTACAGGTGCATGCCACCAGGCCTGGCACCTTTATTTAAAAAATATTTTATTTTTTGCTTTTAAAGCTTTTTTGTTAGGCCCCAGCACACAGACATGCACACAATTATCCTAGGCCTGCACAGAGTCAGGAGCATCACTGTCTTCTGCTTCCACATCTTTTCCCACTGGAAGGTCTTCAGGGGTAGTAATTGGTATGGAGCTGTCATCTCCATGATAACAATGCCTTCTTCTGGATACCTCCTGAAAGAGCTGCCTAAGGCTGCTTTACAGTTAACAACTACTTCTTCCTCTTCTTTTTTTAGTAAGTAGAAGAATTACAGTCTAAAATAATGATATAAAGTATAGTAAATACACAAACCAATCACATAGATGTTTATCATTTTTTATCAAGTATTATGTACTATACATAACTGTATGTGCTAGACTTTTATATGACTGACAGCACAGTTGGTTTGTTTACTGTGTTGCTCTAACACTACAGCTATGATGCCATTAGGTGACAGGAAGTTTTTGGCTGCATAATAATCTTATGGGACTTCTGTTGTGTATGTGAACTGTCATTGATGAAAGTATCATTATGCAGTGCATGACTATATGTAATGTGTATATATGGTATGAAGCATAATAAAATGAACACCTGTGAACATACCATACAACAACCAATACTGTAAATATAATAAATTCTGAATTATAGATATCTATCTAAAAAAGTATTTCTTATTTTGGGGAATTATAAATGAGTTTTAGTTTTTACTTTTTGTTTTTTTTTCTACATTCTGTTCAAGGGGTATGTATTTTCAAAACCAGAACATACTATTAAACATTATTAGAAAAAGAAAAAAATTTAAGCAGATTTCTCACTCCGTGTCATTAGAAAGAAACTTTTAAAAGTGTCTGCCACCTGTTATATTCTGAGTGACAGATCATGGCCAGATACATAGGATGACGTTATCTACCAGCCATAGGTAATGCATTGTGACAGAGCTCCAGAAAGATGACAGGCTGACAGCCACAGGAATTGTGGAGAACCTGTCTTCTAGCTGGTGTTTGACCTCTACAAAATACATTTCAAATATCTACTTAAGTGCTTTTTTTTTTTTTTTTTTAATGGTTCAGGCCTTCAAAAGAGATTTTATTTCTTCATTTAACAAGCATTTATTGGGTACCTGTTAAATACCAACCAAGAGTGACCAAAGGAGTCTTTGCTCTTATGGCACTTACATTCTAGTGGTGAAAGATAGCAGGCAAACAGGCATGTGGTGAGATATCAAAGAATGATGTGAAAGAAGAAAACAGGAAGAGGAACTGATTTAAATTGGGTGGTCAGGCCACAGGAGTTGTAGCTCACACCTGTAATCCCAGCATTTTGGGAGGCTGAGGTGGGAGGATCACCTGAGCCCAGGAGTTTGAGATCAGCCTGGGCAACAAAGTAAGACACCATCTTTACAAAAAATAATGGACTGATGTGTGCCTAGAGTCTTATCTGCTTGGGAGGCTATAGTGGGAGGATGGCTTGAGCCTAGGAGGTCAAGGCTGCAGTGAGCTATGATTGGGCACTCTGGTCTGGGCAACAGAATGAGACCCAGTCTCAAAAAAACAAAAAATAAAAAAATAAATTGGGTTGTTGAGGGAAGGCCAGTGAGGAGGTTTGAACTAGGATATGAGCAACAAGAAAGAGACAGCATTACAGTGATTTGGGGGTACAGGGAACAGCATGGGCATGAGCCCTACAGCACAGTCAGAGAACAGAGAAAAGGCAAGCATGGTTGAAATGTGGTGAATGAGGGGGCAGAATGATAAGAGAGCAAGAGGGGAAGTAGGCATAGTCAGATCACAAGGAGACTTCCAGACTTTTTTTTTTAAAAACTTTCTCCAGGTAAAAAGTTTGGATTTTATACTCAATAGGAAATTGTTGGATAGTGTTAAGCAAGAAAATAACACGCTCCAACTTGTTTTAAAAGATGACCATAGCTGCTATGTGGAAAAATCATTGTATAGGGTCAAGAATGGGAACGAGAAGACCAATAAAAAGCTATTTACAGTGGCCTAGGTGAGAGTTAATGGTGGCCATCATAGAAGCATTAAGGAAGGAGAGGAATACATAGATTTGAGATCTATTTGTAAGTAGAACTAATGCATCTTGCTGAGTGTTGTATCTGTAAGACTACAGGAAGGACGGGAATCAAAAATGGTTTCTGCTGGACGCGGTGGCTCATGCCTGTAATCCCAGCACTTTGGGAGGCCGAGGTGGGCGGATCACCTGAGGTCAGGAGTTTGAGAGCAGCCTGGCCAACATGGTGAAAACCTGTCTCTACTAAAAAATAGAAAAATTAGCCGGGCGTGGTGGCGGGCGCCTGTAATCCCAGCTACCTGGGAGGCTGAGGCCGGAGAATCGCTTGAACCCAGGAGGCGGAGGTTGCAGTGAGCTGAGATCATGCTCCTGCACTCCAGCCTGGGCAACAGAGCTACACTCCATCTCAAAAAAAAAAAAAAAAGGTTTCTAGATTTTTGATGTGAGCAACTGGGAAGAAGGTGTTTCCCATTTATATGAGTGGAAAAGATGGGTCAGGCAAATTTGTGGGAAATACTGAGAATTCTAATTTGAAATACTAAGTTTGAGTCAAACGTTGAGATGTCAAATAGGCAGTTAGATATGTGAGTTTGGAGCAAGGTAAAGAGATTTGGGATTGAAGGTAAACATTTTTGCATCTTTCGTGTATAGATACAGTATTTTAAAACCATGAAAGTGTGGGAGATCACTACCAAATGAAAAGTAGAGGTAATGAAGACTGAGTTTCTGGACCTCCAGTTAAGGGTCTTTGCAGGGGAGGAGCAGTAGCAAAGGTGGCTAAATGGGAGCAGTTGTGGTGGAAGAGGGTTGTTTGATCTGGGATTTGAGTGACATGAAGGTATGTGAAGAGTGTTCCGGAAAGAAGGATGGATCTAGCTGAATGCTACTGAGAGGGAATATGCTATGATCAGATACATAACCCTTGTATATTAGTTTTCTGAGGCTATTGTAACAAATTACCACAAAGTTGGTGACAGAATAATAGAAATTTATTTTCTCAAAGTTCTGGAGACTAGAAGTCCAAGATCTGGGAGGGCTTCCTTCCCTCCAAGGTGGCTCTGAGGGAGAATCCATTCTTCACCTCTTCCAGCTTCTGGGGGCTGCCCCAGCATTCCTGGGCTTGTAACCCTGTTACTCCAGCTTCTGCCTCCATCTTCATGTGGCTGTTTACTTTGGGTGTCTTTCTGAATTCCCTTTGCTACTCCCTTGCAAAAATGTTCTTTGCCTCTCTCTCTTGTGATGTCATTTAGGGTTCACCTGGATAATCCAGGGTAATCTCATCTCAAAATCATTAATTAATTTGGAAAGGACCCTCCACCCCCTGAGTAAGGTAACTTCGGGATTAAGACTTGATATCTTTTGGTAGCCATTATTCAACCTACTACCCCTTGGTTTTAGAAACGTGGTACCCATTGGAGAGCTCAATAAGAGTAGTTTCACTGCTCCAGTGAAACTTTACCTTTCATGCTTACTGTCAAAAAGAGAGCTCTGTTGTCTGTTCCAAGACCATGCAAGTTGATTACACTGCTTTTTGTTAGGTAGCGAGTAGTTGTATGCCTGTGATTAGCTTCAAGTTTCCCATGTTCAACATGAGAAAGGATCAAAGTTCCCGGAAGTCTCTGCCAGTTCTTTTGGATTCAGTGTTCTTGACCCATGTGATCCAAGCTGGCATTGTTTAGAATGACCATTATTTCGGTAGCCAAAGTCTGGTTTATTTTAGATTTAAAACATCTCTGTTTTGAGTAATAATATCAGTAGTTATATTATTTCTTTTATAACCTGATTGACAACCATGTTGCTGAAAAATTTCTATCCAGAATGTGGAATGGATGTCATTTAGGTAATACATAGGTATGGTAGGCATTTTAAATACATAAATTATCTGAAGAGAGATCAAGGGACTCTGAGAAAAAGGCCATTTTGCCATTTTTTTAAACCAGGTTTCTGAAACTCAGATGTTAAAACTGGCACACTGGTTGCCAAGTTATCCTCTGAAGGCTTTCCATGATTCCTGCTGGGCAATTGGGAGTAGCAGAAGTTATATGAGTTATATCTGGCTTTTTGTGGCATTGCGTGGACAAGAGATAGTGACCGCATCAGAAGGGCGCCTGATTCTCTGGCAGGGAATTCTGGCCCCTTCAGAGAAGTTGAGTGGAGATGAGAGGGGAGGGGACAATCCCAATATTCCAACAATAGAGAATGTTCTGCAAACTACAGATGTGTGTATACTGCATCCATACTAGTCATCTCTTTAGGATGGAGAGGCGCCTCTAGTTCAAGTTCAGTTAGTTAAAACAGGCATGTAGGATTTTCTTCATTCTCACTTCTTCCTTGCGTTGGAACTGAAATGACTGGGAATCTTGGGTTGTTTTCCTATATGCCTGCAGGGTCAGGGAGAGCAGAAGTTGTGCTTCTTCTAGATGAGAAGCTTTACTTTCTCAGGGAACTGACTTGATTTCCATAGACATTCTCACAAACCACCAGAGTGCTGGTTCTGGACTGGTATATGCCCCTCAGCTTCTATATTGGGGCAGAGGCCGAAGTTTGGCATGATGAATAGAATACAGGTGTTGGAATTAGACCAGATTAATTCACTTACTAGTTCTGTAATCTTCGGCAAGTTACATACCCTCTTGGGACCTCTGTTTTCTCAATGGTAAAATGGGGTTGAAGGTATCTGGTATTGTGCCTGCCACATTATAGGCATGTAATAAATGTTAGATGCTACCATTAACACATCTCTTTATCTTTTTACTCATCTTATTCACTTGTTGATACTCAATTTTCCTCATTGCTGTTGTGTTTATATTAAGCAGGATTCTAAAGGAATATCTACTTGTTGACAGCATCTTTTTTGGGAAAGAAATAATGACCCCCTTTCCCCCATCTTGTGACAATTGCTGTTAGGTCTTTGGTTCCAGCACATGGGGCAAACAATCAGCATCAGAGAATACTTCCTGAGGGAGGCTTGCTTTAATTGTAAAACATAGTAAAGAGGGCAAAAGAAGGTTGGCTTATTCTATTTTTAGGGGCAGTTCTGGTCAAAGGCTCAAATCTTGGGAATGGAGTTGCTGAGGAATGAAGTTTTAAATAGGTCAGCTTGCCTAACGTAGAGCACTCCAGGAGGTCTTTGGAAGGAAGAGCTGTTAAGAATGAGTCCGCTTGGGAGAGGATCAGGAAGGGAAGCAGCGGTGAGATGAATGTAACAGAAAAGTCATTATTATTTATTATTACTATTTTTTGGAGACAGAGTCTTGCTCTGTTGCCCAGGCTGGAGTGCAGTGGTGTGATCTCAGCTCACTGCAACCTCCGCTTCCTGGGTTCAAGCGATTCTTGTGTCTCAGCCTCCCAAGTAGCTACAGACGTGTGCCACCTCTCCCAGCTAATTTTTTCTATTTTTAGTAGACATGGGGTTTTGTCATGTTGCCCAGGCTGGTCTTGAACTCCTGAGCTCAGGCATTCCGCCCACCCCTCAGCCTTCTGTAGTGTTAGGATAACAGGCGTGAGCCACCGTGCCTGGCCAGAAAAGTCATTATTGATTGCCCACCATGTAGTCCCTAGGGTGCTGTGCTGTCAGGTGCTGTGTTGTGAACAAAGGATGTTGGGTTGGCCTTTGGAGATAGCTTACACCCAAGGTCAGATATTTTTCTGTAGTTCCTAGCTTTGTGACCTAGAACAGTCTGCCCACCTATGTAATGGGGATGAGACTGTATGTCTTTGATTTCTAAGACCCCCTTCTAAGTTGAATAATGCCTTGGCAGAGGAAGGGGTAACATAGTGTTCCATTATTGGAACACTAAGCATGTGGGAATTATTTATATCCTGCTCAAGGTCATTGCCCTGGTCTCACTGCAAAAATTCAAAAAATTCCAACCTCTGGCATAAACGGGTTAAATTATTCATCGCTTGTAACCAATTCTAAGGTATTTCCTTGTTACAGAAATGCTAATGTGATTTTTTTAAAAGTGCGTTTTAAAAGCAAAACAATATGGTAATACCCATCTTAGTGATGTTGGGACGATTAATAAGATAATGTATGCGAAATGCCCATCCAAGTTAGTATTCAGTGAATTGTAGCTATTATTAATGGATGAAAGGACATGAAAACTAATTTGATTGGCGTATCTGAAGAAAGAATTTTAAACAAGAAGGTCATAATGTGATTAGGATCTGAAATAGGAAAGATCAAAGTTCAGCTAATGTTATAGAGATAAATGACTGTGTATATGAGGAGAAAGTTTTACCCATTTACGAAGTATTTGTGATAACTTCATATATTTTTCTGTATGAAAAGAGGGAATGTGGTAATCATGTGGTTTAAATTGACTCCCATACCATCTTCTGGGCATTTTATAATGTTTCTGAACTTGCTGCTATATAAGCTGCTAATATACGCAATAAATAAAAGCAAACATTGGCTAATTTACAGGTAAAAAATAAAAATAAAAACCAAGTGTTTATATTTTTGTTTTTTTTTTTTAATTTTTATTTTGTTGAGGGGGGAGTGGTGGCTAGCTAGGGACTTGTTATTAATTTATCAGTTTATTAGTTCAGTTGCCTGACCAGAAAGTTCTTTGCCTACGTTTCTGACATCTTATGTTTTGATTAGAGTGATATGGAGTTTTTAGCTCTTCTTTCTTTCTTTTCTTTTTGTTTGCCCCAGGTCCAGCAAGACTATGAATCTCTGTTCCAAATGCTTTGCTGGTAAGTGCAGAAAAAGGGTTTTTTAATTTACTTTCATTTTTCTTTCTTTTTTTTTTTTTGGTTCTTTTTAAGACTAAATCATTTGACCCTAAAGGATTTATGCATGGGGTTTTGTTTTCTTAGCTTGTGTGAGAAAGCAGTTTCACCTTACCAAGGTGCTTCATATATTTGCCTAGGACGGTTGAAACAGTTTTCCTTGAATGAAATCCTATCTCCTATGTACTTGCACCAAACAAACTTTCCTTGGTTTACTGTTGTTGGTATACAGTAGAACTGTAAAAAATGCGTGCTCATCTTGACTTGAATGATTATTGGTTAATGTTGCTCTATCAATGAGAATGTAACAGAATATTTTCATGTTGGAGTCAGGAAGAGAATCAAGCTGAGTTAGCCCATCATCAGATCCATCATAGAGGCTGCCATGGTGTCTCACGCCTATAATCCCAGCACTTTGGGAGGCAGAGACAGGAGGATTGCTTGAGGCCAGGAGTTTGAGACCAGCCTGGGCAACATAGTGAGACCTTGTCTCTATAAAAACAAAAAGCCTCCTGCAGATCCCTCATTCAAATCACCTCGGGTAAGTCACGTAATCTCTTTGGACCTTGGATTCATCATTATAAAATGAAGGACTTGGGCTTGACATGTGCCAAGGTCCTTTTCTAGCCCCAGAGGTAATTGGTTAACTTCTGGAATTATGACTCCTTCATGAAGTTGAAACTTTTAGGTCTTTTTATTTTTACTTTTTAAAAAACTTTCTATCTAGCGATCCTATATAAATAAGTCTTTGCTAATTAGGATATGTTTAACTTTCCTTCTTTATTCATTTTGTCAAAGGTAAACAAAGCTGCATACTAGCTAAAGTTCTAAGGACAGGTTTTAGTCAGTAATACACTTTTGCAATAGGGAAGAGAGTCCAGTATGAAATGAAGTCAATGTTGATTTGCAGAGATGACTGGGAGTTTTAAAGGGAGAATGGCAGGGGACTTGGCAGGGTGGATAAACGGAATCTGTAGACTCAAAGAAGTGAAGAATTTAAAAAGATTGGTAAAATATGGTGATTAGGCCAGCTGTGCCTGTTAGCTGACACTGTGACTGGGGAATAGATACCCTATTTTTCCTGATGGTTACATTTTTAAAGGAATGGCTTTCAGGTCCTTGAGAAAGACACTCCTGAGTTGTAGGAGTACAGCTCAAAGGGACAGAGGAAGGATTCACAGTTGTAAGCCCTTTTTAGTAAATGATCTAAGAGGATAGTTAGGGCCTATCTTCAGATGCTGGCTAGAACAAACAGTAGATTCTTTGGCAGCCTTGAGCTTTAAGAGGCAGACAATTTGAGAGAGGCTAGGGTCATCCTAGGGAGGTAACCTTGAGCTGTTAGAAATGTTAGTATTTAAAATTAGCTGGATGTGGTGGTGTGCACCTGTAGTCCCAGCTACTCCGGAGGCTGAGGCAGGAGAATTGCTTGAACCTGGGAGGCAGAGGTGCAGTGAGCTGAGATTGCGCCACTGCACTCCATCCTGGTAACAGAGTGAGACTCCGTCTCAAAAAAAAAAAAACAAAAAAAAAACCAACCAAACAAAAAAAAGAAATGTTAGTGTGTGTAAGTCTTTTAATGTGAAAGGAGGGAGTGGACCAAATCATTTGTTTTGAGAGTCTGTAGTTTTTAAAGGTCCAGGTTGAGGCCTGGTCCAGAAGAGGGCTCAGAGGAGGCTGGCTAGATTTTTATTAAAGAGATTTTTTTTGTTGTTGTTAATTTTAATCTATTCATTATGCTATTTGGGCAAGGAAGTAATCATGGTGTAAGCTTTAGACCGTTACATTTGTGCCTAAACTAGGGGTTAGATGGGAAAGAATTGGGGAAGCTGACAGCTTTTATAGGTTCAAAATTTGGAATTTGTCAGATACTTAGGTTTTTAAAAGAAAAGAAATATTGGTGGGTTTTTATTCAGCTTTTAGCAGTATTTGTGCCATGTTAAAGGACTGTATTCAGGCCGGGCGCAGTGGCTCACGCCTATAATCCCAGCACTTTGGGAGGCCGAGGTGGGTGGACCACGAGGTCTGGAGAGCGAGACCATCCTGGCCAACATGGCGAAACCCCGTCTCTACTAAAAACACAAAAATTAGCTGGGTGTGGTGGCCCGTGCCTGTAATCCCAGCTACTCGGGAGGCTGAGGCGGGAGAATCGCTTGAACCTAGGAGGCGGAGTTTGCAGTGAGCCGAGATCACGCCACTGCACTCCAGCCAGAACGAGACTCTGTCTCAAAAAAAAAAAAATAAATAAATAAAAGGACTGTATTCTGCTGCTTACCTTATGTATCTACAATTACAGATATGAAGAAATGCTTCTTCACTGATGAAAGGTTAACTTTATAGTGAAGACGAAAGTAGCAGTGAGACAAAATGTATACAGGTTGAGAACCCCAAATCCCAAATCTGAAATGCTCCAAAGTGCAAATGTTCCAAAATCTGAGAAAAACAAATCCCAACACTTCTGGTCTCAAGCATTTTGAATTAGGGGTACTCAACCTGTATTAGATTATATATTTGTCCCCACATGGAGACCCCATTGTAATTTAGTAAAGTATGGCTTTGGGAGAAGGCCAGACACCTTTGAATAATAAGGTGGTTCACATCAAATACTCCTGAGGAACTATCTTGTGCCCCTAAATGAATACAAAGTTAAAAAAATTTTAACTATGAAGCTAGAGTTCAGCCATGGGCTTTGTGTTTCTTTGGACTTGTTACAGTTTTACTTTCTGTGTTTATAATTATCTGTCTCGTGATCTGTGTCTATTTACATTTTATACAGCCTTGCCATTTTTGCTTTTATAAAAATATTAGGACATTTTCAAGTATCTAAAGAAAATATTCGCTTCTCTCTATATTTTTTACCTACACACTACTGCTTTCTCCAGTTGCATTTGCGTGGCATGACTAGTTAATATCCTGTCTGCTGAAACAGAATTTTATGTACCTTTAGAAATTCAAAAGAAAAGAGATCATTGAACTTTAAAAATACATTTTTGGATGTCATCTCAGTATGAACATAAGGAGAGTATAGTGAATGCAGTATTACAGAAGAGCCATGAGTTTTACAAGACAACATAAAGATTATTTTGGCCAAAGCCACTGTGATCTTAAAAGACTCTTTTTAAAGTATATTGTAAAATGTACAGTGTACTTTAAAAGATGGAAAAATCACTTTTTAAATAGTTATTGTTTGCCACTAGGTTAAACATTTTCTTTTCAAGATTCCTTTTCAAAATCTATGTGGTGAAAAAATTAGTTTGTTATAACTTGTTTACATAAAATTGAATGAAATGGGAAAAACATCTTTAAAGTCTTACCGAGAGAATACGTTGTAGGTTAGGAACTAGGGGTGTGTGTGTTTACTTGGAGAACTGTTTTGCTGCTGGTGAAATATTCTGCTAAGTGGTGAGCACACACCTGACCCAATAGCCATCATTACTTAAGCTGTTTCTCCTTTATAAAATATTCTTGGGATGTTTGAATTTAGAGGAAAGGAATAAGAAAGGAGAAATGAGTATATGCAGAGTGACAGTTGCTAAAAGCCATTGAAATGTTAGTTGCTGGTAAACTATATACCAAATTATAATGCTTCTGTGTATTGTTAGAATGAGAAATGTTTGTATCAGACCTTTGCATGTATGTGGAAGAGGGCCCAACCTGGCTGGGCTGGATTTGCTAAAGACTCGAAGCTCAACCAAAATTCCTCTCTTTGAAATGAGAGAGGTTTTTTTGTTTGTTTGTTTGTTTGTTTTTTAAACTTTTTGACAACTATCTTATCATTAACCCTGGTTTGGCCTCTGTTACCTTTAAAGGCTAAAATCATTTAAGACTGTTTAAAGGATCTCTCTCTCTCATTTTTTTTTTTTTTTTTTTTTGAGACGGAGTTTCGCCCTTGTTGCCCAGGCTGGAGTGCAGTGGCGCGATCTCTGCTTACCGCAACCTCCGCCTCCCGGGTTCAAGTGATTGTCCCGCCTCAGCCTCCCAAGTAGCTGGGATTACAGGCGTGCGCCACCACGCCTGGCTAATTTTTGTGTTTTTAGTAGAGACAGAGTTTCTCCATGTTGGTCACAGTGGCCTTGAACTCCTGAGCTCAGGTGATCCGCCCACCTTGGCCTCCCAAAGTGCTGGGATTACAGGTGTAAGCCACTGCGCCCGGCCCTTTTTTTTTTTTGAGACGGAATCTGGCTCTGTAGCCCTGGCTGGAGTGCAGTGGTGCCATCTCAGCTCACTGCAGCCTCTGCCTCCCGGGTTCAAGCGATTCCAAAGGACTTTTCTTCACAAAGACATTTAAGTATACTTCTTTCTCAGTCTTAAGAGAAAGGCCTTGACCTAGAAACCTTTATCATCCAATATTTTCTATGCCAGGATAACTACGACACTTACAGTTAAGTATTCTGGGGAAGTACCAGGAAGTGATTGACTCAAGTATTAGGATTTGAGGTAAAGTGGACTTAAATTGCTCATCTACATTCTCTTTATCTGAGGTCATTTAGTCTATTTAAAAAAAAAAAAAAAAAAAAGTCCAGACCCGGTGGCTCACGCCTGTAATCCCAGGACTTTGGGAGGCCCCAGGTGGGTGGATGGATCATTTGAGGTCAGGAGTTCGAGACTAGCCTAACCAACATGGTGAAACCCTGTCTCTACTAAAAATACAAAAAAATTAGCTGAGTGTAGTGGTGCATGCCTGTAGTCCCAGCTACTCGGGAGGCTGAGGCAGGAGAATCACTTGAACCCGGTGGGTGGAGGTTGCAGTGAGCTGAGATTGTGCCACTGCATTCCAGCCTGGGCAACAGAGTGAGACTCTGTCTCAAAAAAAAAAAAAAAAAAAAAAAAAAGCAAAAGTTAATCTTACCATACTATATTCTCTCCATTCCTGTAAGAATTCCTATTTGTTATTTTTCTACCTTCCCCGTCAGTCCCCCTTTCACATATTCTGTATTTTCTTTTCTCAAATTACAATTCAGTACATTTGTTTGGAAATGTGGATCTATATCTCTCAAGTCTAAGACTATTGTGTAGGTAGAGAAGCCTGAAATTCCTGGAGTTTGCATAAGGACCTTTTAGTTGATATATAATTCTTCCCAGTCAAAAGTGTTGATTATTTTTATATTATTGCTAAAGAAAGGTTTTGCTTAACAGCTTTGCATTTTGAAGTTGTGGAGACTTTCTAAACTATTGAAAAGGATGGTATGTAAGCACCCTGGGACATGAGTTATCAATTGATTTTGCCACAAATCTTTCCAATTATCAGAGCTGGTCTGAGGATCTCTTATGGCCTAATTTTGGCTTTTCTTACCCCCTTGATAATATTCTACCTGTCACACTGTCCTTTCATTAAATATTTTTATATTGTTTTATATATGATTTTACTTAAATAAGTAAATGAATATAAAAAGCGAGAAAATTTTATGACATAGTTATGGCAAATTAACATTTATTGGTTGAAATACTACCTCTTAATGCAGTTTTTCAAACTGGGTATTGTCACTCATTAGTGGGTAGACAATTTAATGGGTCATGATTAGTATTTAAAAAATTCTGAGTAGAATAGAAAATATCAGTGTATTGCACATAGTAAAGTTATTTTGTGAAACCTTTGTTTGACTTGCATTGAGTTGAAAATAATGTGTAATGGGTTATAATGTAAATATGTGTATATTACTATTATGATTTTAAGTTTGAAACCCAGTGAACTGCAGGAGTATGGCTTTGGAAAATCTTGGAATCTAATTTGCTTTGTAAAATAGGGAATATTTCATTTGTGTCTTCAGGCAAGAGGTTAATAGTTGATTTCTTGTGATCTTTGTCAGTTCTGAGCTGTTGAGTAGTTTAGAAATGAAGCTTAAACTAGACCCGATAGCCTACTACAGTGTTAAAATACATATGAAAAGTCAAGCATAGAGTCTAATGAATATTCCTGCCTCTTACAAAGGTAGAAATGATACTGCCTATGGTATTTTTTTTTGTTTGAGTGCAAATCCAATTCATGAATTTGTGCATTTTAGTTGACCAGTGTTTAATATTTAGGAATAGTTAGTACCTAATTCATGATGACCTCTTGTTCTAGCATACTGAAGGCCAGCTATCATTAAAGCAGTGCTTTTCACAGAATGGTTTTGCTGACCTCCTAAATAGAAGTGTGGATGGCAGAAGCATCAAAGAGGATGATCACAAGTGGGGAAGGCAGAAATTTTAAAAGAACTGACTGAAGTAACTCCTCTACTAATGTGACACCATCTCTATCCCCCACAAACCCTTGGAAATACTAGTTTTGGGAGAAGAGAGGAGTATGGTGACTAGAAAGTAGCTATAACCTGTTGATCATTGTATACTTTATAAGGCAGTGAGTCAGAAGATATGTTTAAGAAATGGAAGGTTGTTGGAGTAGCTCTGATGACAGATGCTTATCATAAGGCAAACTTAATATATGTTCCACAGTGTTCAGAATACCACTTGGTCGGTGGACTTTTAAATGTGTGCATACTTAATTTTTAATAAACCGTAGACATGGTATATTTAAACATACTGTTTCATTTAAGACTAACTTTTAAGAAATTTGCTATCACGTGGTTCACATATGATGTACAAGTGTATAGTTGCATGAGATAAAGCTGGAAGATGACATGAAAAATTTAATTGTGGTAGTCTCAGAGTAAGAGTAATTGGGGAGCTTTAAATTTTAATTTTGTCTGTGTTTTCAGATTTAAGTATTAATGTAATTGCACAAATTACAAATGTTTAAAAAGTGAAGTGAATTTATACAATCTAGAAGTGGTTTGTTTCTTTCTGGAATGAGCAAAATAAAATTAGCTATCGCCTGCAGCATTGGGAATCTAAGTGTTGACATCTAAGGTGAGTGATATAACAATGCTGGGCGCAGGGTGAAATGGTAGATAAGCCAAAATGCTAACATTTTTCTTGAAAGTGACTTGAGTTTCATGATAGTTCCAGAAGAGGATAACAAATTCCCATTTCATACCAAGTAAATTAAAATATTTCCTTATGAACTTGCAACTTAGTGGTTGCAGTTACATACTAATCTCTTTCCTGCTTTCATTTCCTGTTAGAATACCAGAGTAAAAGTGGTCTGATTCTAGTCACTTTTGAAAAGCAAAGAGTTGTAGGTTACAGCTGAATTTTGAGGCTTTACAGTAAGAGAAACAGAGTGAGTCTGACAAATTTTAAGCTCATATATTTTCCTTTTAGAAATGTAGGAACTCTGCACAAATAATGTAGAAACAAATTACCAATTTCAATACAAAAAATTTTGCAGGATAGTGGAATTTGTAAGCTTGTCATACCTTGATTTTTTGAATTCACCTTTTCCCAAAAGAAAGCAACTGTTGGCCAGGCACAGTGGCTCATGCCTGTAATCCTAACACTTTGGAAGGCTGAGGTGGGCGGATCATGAGGTCAGGAGATCGAGACCAACCTGGCCAACATGGTGAAACCCCGTCTCTACTAAAAATACAAAAATTAGCTGGGCCTGGTGGCACATGCCTGTAATTCCAGCTACTTGGGAGGCTGAGGCAGAAGAATCGCTTGAACCAGGGAGTCGGAGGTTGCAGTGAGCCGAGATCACGCTGCTGTACTCCAGCCTAGCGACAGAGCGAGACTCCGTCTCAAAAAAAAAAAAAAAAAAAAGGCAAAAAAAGTAACTGCTGCTCTTAAGACGAAGTGTTTGAATAGAGTATTTCTGTTTTTGTAATCTTTTTGACTTGATTGCTTTTGTATACTCTTTGATTTCTTCTAAGCCAGACGCCCAAGAGGGATTTCTCGTGTAACACACACACACATTTTGGTCATGTGTTTGTTAAAAGGGGACAGCTCAACTTACCAGGCTCTTCTTAACCATTATGTGTCTGTTGGTAGGTATCTGTTGGATGGTTGGGTGTCTGACATTCAGAATATCCACAAACCCACCCAGAAGTAACAAATGTTAATGTTTTGCCTTTTTTCTTATCACACTAAAAAGGGCACTAAAATGTCACAGTTTTCTTTTACCCTAGTCATCATCTTCCCAACTCAGAGACAACTACTCTCCTTCTTATCCTTGTATTTACACTTTTTATTATGAATGGGCATTTATATAAATATTGTTATGATTCTGTTTTTAAAATGTTTAAATGGTATTTTGTACTAGTCTACAACCTGTATTCTTTTAAATAATGCTTTTAGAAACTAATCATGTTGACACGTTGCTCTTGTTCATTTTAACTATAATATTCCATTATAATTAATGTCTAGATTTACCTAGAACAATCTCCGTTTATGCATTTTGTGCCAGTGAAAATACTAATAGTACCTCTTTGTACCAAACTGGTACTATTGTAAGTGTACCAATTTGTTTGATACATTAATTGGTCACCTTCATTATAATGTGCCCTAATTTATTTATCTAGTCCCCTGTAGAGGGACATTTGTTTTCAGTGGCCATTTTTATACCACAGTTGCAATCCTGTGTTTTCTCTCTCTCTTTTTTTCAGCACTTGCTTGACTATGTTAAAAGAATGTTTCTGTAGGAAACTCTGTTCTTTATGGTGTAGCCTCCCTTACTCTGAAATGCAAGCAAGACTCGGGCAACAGTTCCTTAACGGATTAGCAGTGCTGGACTGTGGCAGCCTTTTCTAATCTCTTAGTCTATAGCAGTTTGATGTCTTACTAATAAGCATTCTTAAATTGTGTGGTTAATTATTATGCTAGTCAAGATACATGAAGCAGTGTGTTAAAGATGATGATGATGATGATGTTATGGAAA